>NT_167245.2:1338534-1638534 GCF_000001405.40 Homo sapiens
GGCCAGACCTTCCAACACTATGTTGAATAGGAGTGGTGAGAGAGGGCATCCCTGTCTTGTGCCAGTTTTCAAAGGGAATGCTTCCAGTTTTTGCCCATTCAGTATGATATTGGCTGTGGGTTTGTCATAGATAGCTCTTATTATTTTGAAATACATCCCATCAATACCTAATTTATTGAGAGTTTTTAGCATGAAGCATTGTTGAATTTTGTCAAAGGCCTTTTCTGCATCTATTGAGATAATCATGTGGTTTTTGTCTTTGATTCTGTTTATATGCTGGATTACATTTATTGATTTGTGTATATTGAACCAGCCTTGCATCCCAGGGATGAAGCCCACTTGATCATGGTGGATAAGCTTTTTGATGTGCTGCTGGATTTGGTTTGCCAGTATTTTATTGAGGATTTTTGCATCAATGTTCATCAAGGATATTGGTCTAAAATTCTCTTTTTTGGTTGTGTCTCTGCCCAGCTTTGGTATCAGGATGATGCTGGCCTCATAAAATGAGTTAGGGAAGATTCCCTCTTTTTCTATTGATTGGAATAGTTTCAGAAGGAATGGTACCAGTTCCTCCTTGTACCTCTGGTAGAATTCGGCTGTGAATCCATCTGGTCCTGGACTCTTTTTGGTTGGTAAGCTATTGATTATTGCCACAATTTCAGATCCTGTTATTGGTCTATTCAGAGATTCAGCTTCTTCCTGGTTTAGTCTTGGGAGAGTGTATGTGTCAAGGAATTTATCCATTTCTTCTAGATTTTCTAGTTTATTTGCATAGAGGTGTTTGTAGTATTCTCTGATGGTAGTTTCTGTTTCTGTGGGATCGGTGATGATATCCCCTTTATCATTTTTTATTGTGTCTATTTGATTCTTCTCTCTTTTTTCTTTATTAGTCTTGCTAGCGGTTTATCAATTTTGTTGATCCTTTCAAAAAACCAGCTCCTGGATTCATTAATTTTTTGGAGGGTTTTTTTGTGTCTCTATTTCCTTCAATTCTGCTCTGATTTTAGTTATTTCTTGCCTTCTGCTAGCTTTTGAATGTGTTTGCTCTTGCTTTTCTAGTTCTTTTAATTGTGATTATAGGGTGTCAATTTTAGATCTTTCCTGCTTTCTCTTGTGGGCATTTAGTGCTATAAATTTCCCTCTACACACTGCTTTGAATGCGTCCCAGAGATTCTAGTATGTTGTGTCTTTGTTCTCGTTGGTTTCAAAGAACATCTTTATTTCTGCCTTCATTTCGTTATGTACCCAGTAGTCATTCAGGAGCAGGTTGTTCAGTTTCCATGTAGTTGAGCGGTTTTGAGTGAGATTCTTAATCCTGAGTTCTAGTTTGATTGAACTGTGGTCTGAGAGATAGTTTGTTATAATTTCTGTTCTTTTACATTTGCTGAGGAGAGCTTTACTTTCAAGTATGTGGTCAATTTTGGAATAGGTGTGGTGTGGTGCTGAAAAAAATGTATATTCTGTTGATTTGGGGTGGAGAGTTCTGTAGATGTCTATTAGGTCTGCTTGGTGCAGAGCTGAGTTCAATTCCTGGGTATCCTTGTTAACTTTCTGTCTTGTTGATCTGTCTAATGTTGACAGTGGGGTGTTAAAGTCTCCCATTATTAATGCATGGGAATCTAAGTCTCTTTGTAGGTCACTCAGGACTTGCTTTATGAATCTGGGTGCTCCTGTATTGGGTGCATATATATTTGGGATAGTTAGCTCTTCTTGTTGAATTGATCCCTTTACCATTATGTAATGGCCTTCTTTGTCTCTTTTGATCTTTGTTGGTTTAAAGTCTGTTTTATCAGAGACTAGGATTGCAACCCCTGCCTTTTTTTGTTTTCCATTTGCTTGGTAGATCTTCCTCCATCCTTTTATTTTGAGCCTATGTGTGTCTCTGCACGTGAAATGGGTTTCCTGAATACAGCACACTGATGGGTCTTGACTCTTTATCCAATTTGCCAGTCTGTGTCTTTTAATTGGAGCATTTAGTCCATTTACATTTAAAGTTAATATTGTTATGTGTGAATTTGATCCTGTCATTATGATGTTAGCTGGTTATTTTGCTCATTAGTTGATGCAGTTTCTTCCTAGTCTCAATGGTCTTTACATTTTGGCATGATTTTGCAGCAGCTGGTACTGGTTGTTCCTTTCCATGTTTAGTGCTTCCTTCAGGAGCTCTTTTAGGGCAGGCCTGGTGGTGACAAAATCTCTCAGCATTTGCTTGTCTGTAAAGGATTTTATTTCTCCTTCACTTATGAAGCTTAGTTTGGCTGGATATGAAATTCTGGGTTGAAAATTCTTTTTTTTAAGAATGTTGAATATTGACCCCCACTCTCTTCTGGCTTGTAGAGTTTCTGCCGAGAGATCCGCTGTTAGTCTGATGGGCTTCCCTTTGAGGGTAACCCGACCTTTCTCTCTGGCTGTTCTTAACATTTTTTCCTTCATTTCAACTTTGGTGAATCTGACAATTACGTGTCTTGGAGTTGCTCTTCTCGAGGAGTATCTTTGTGGCGTTCTCTGTATTTCCTGAATCTGAACGTTGGCCTGCCTTGCTAGATTAGGGAAGTTCTCCTGGATAATATCCTGCAGAGTGTTTTCCAACTTGGTTCCATTCTCCCCGTCACTTTCAGGTACACCAATCAGATGTAGATTTGGTCTTTTCACATAGTCCCATATTTCTTGGAGGCTTTGCTCGTTTCTTTTTATTCCTTTTTCTCTAAACTTCCCTTCTCGCTTCATTTCATTCATTTCATCTTCCATCGCTGATACCCTTTCTTCTAGTTGATCGCATCAGCTCCTGAGGCTTCTACATTCTTCACGTAGTTCTCGAGCCTTGGTTTTCAGCTCCATCAGCTCCTTTAAGCACTTCTCTGTATTGGTTATTCTAGTTATTCATTCTTCTAAATTCTTTTCAAAGTTTTCAACTTCTTTGCCTTTGGTTTGAATGTCCTCCCATAGTTCGGAGTAATTTGATCGTCTGAAGCCTTCTTCTCTCAGCTCGTCAAAGTCATTCTCCGTCCAGCTTTGTTCCATTCCTGGTGAGGAACTGCATTCCTTTGGAGGAGGAGAGGAGCTCTGCTTTTTAGAGTTTCCAGTTTTTCTGCTCTGTTTTTTCCCCATCTTTGTGGTTTTATCTACTTTTGGTCTTTGACGATGGTGATGTACAGATGGGTTTTTTGTGTGGATGTCCTTTCTGTTTGTTAGTTTTCCTTCTAACAGACAGGACCCTCAGCTGCAGGTCTGTTAGAGTACCCGGCCGTGTGAAGTGTCAGTCTGCCCCTGCTGGGGGGTGCCTCCCAGTTAGGCTGCTCGGGGGTCAGGGGTCAGGGACCCACTTGAGGAGGCAGTCTGCCCGTTCTCAGATCTCCAGCTGCGTGCTGGGAGAACCACTGCTCTCTTCAAAGCTGTCAGACAGGGACATTTCAGTCTGCAGAGGTTACTGCTGTCTTTTTGTTTGTCTGTGCCCTGCCCCCAGAGGTGGAGCCTACAGAGGCAGGCAGGCCTCCTTGAGCTGTGGTGGGCTCCACCCAGTTCGAGCTTCCCGGCTGTTTTGTTTACCTCAGCAAGCCTGGGCAATGGCGGGCGCCCCTCCTCCAGCCTCGCTGCCACCTTGCAGTTTGATCTCAGACTGCTGTGCTAGCAATCAGCGAGACTCTGTGGGCGTAGGACCCTCTGAGCCAAGTGCGGGATATAATCTCCTGGTGCGCCGTTTTTTAAGCCCGTCGGAAAAGCGCAGTATTCGGGTGAGAGTGACCCGATTTTCCAGGTGCCCTCTGTCACCCCTTTCTTTGACTAGGAAAGGGAACTCCCTGACCCCTTGTGCTTCCTGAGTGAGGCAATGCCTCGCCCTGCTTCGGCTCACGCACGGTGCGCGCACCCACTGACCTGTGCCCACTGTCTGGCACTCCCTAGTGAGATGAACCTCAGATGGAAATGCAGAAATCACCTGTCTTCTGCGTTGCTCACGCTGGGAGCTGTAGACCGGAGCTGTTCCTATTTGGCCATCTTGGCTCCTCCCCCCATCTTCTCAGTTTTCTCAAGGCCTTCTTGTTCTCCAAGCCCTTAGCAGTTTCCATTTTTTTTTTGTTTGTTTGTTTGTTTGTGACAGAGTCTCGCTCTGTCACCAGGCTGGAGTGCAGTGGCATGAGCTCAGTTCACTACAACCTCTGCCTCCTGGGTTCAAGCGATTCTCCTAGCTTAGCCTCCCAAGTAGCTGGGACTACAGGCACATGCCACCACACCCAGCTAATTTTTGTATTTTTAGTAGAGATGGGGTTTTGTCATGTTTGCCAGGCTGGTCTTGAACTCCTTACCTCAGGTGATCTGCCTGCTTCAGCCTACCAAAGTGCTAGGATTACAGGTGTGAGCCACCGCACCTGGCCAGCAGTTTCCTTTTAAGAGCTGTGCATTCATTCATCCATTCATTTAATCATTCAACAACTATTTACTAAGCACCTACTATGTACCATGCGTTGTTCTAGGAGTTAGGAAGAGTGGAGAGCAAGCCAGCCATAGTCCCTTGTCCTCTGGTAATTTAGATTCCATTGAAAAAGGCCAACAATAAGCAAGTAAACAAATAAATTAACAAGATAATTATAGATTGTGATCAGTGCTTTGAAGAATACAAAGTGGGTAATATAAGAGGAATTAACTGGAGGAGGTGTGCACTACTTTTAATAGGATGTTAGAAAAAGCTCCTCTGAGAAGGTGAAGAGAGGGAGCCAGCAATGAGAAGAGTTGGGAGAGAGCAACAACAGCAGATGCAAAGACCCTGAAGTGGGAAAGATCTTGAACGTATGAAGTGGGATGACAATGGTTTGATGTGAGATTGGAGAGGTACTAAGAGCCAAGCTGTGTAGGACCTTAGGGACCAGGATAAGGAGTTGATCGTTGTTCTAAGAGCAGTGGAATGCCACTGAGTAGCTGTAAGTGTGATATTTACGTGGTCTAATGGATTGATTGATTGATTGATTGATTGTAGAGATGGGATCTGGCTGTGTTGCCCAGGCTGATCTCAAGCTCCTGGCTTCAATCAATCCTCCCACTTTGGCCTCATCTCCCAAAGAGCTGAGATTATAGGCATAAGCTACCACACTCAGCATGATTTATGTATTTTGAAGCTCATTTTGTCCTAGTAGTCTTTTCTCTCAGTTTTCTTTTTCTAATTCCTATTCCCCTTCACATTATTTACATTCAAGACGATCATCTCATTTCCATGTCCACTTCCCCATCGGGGAGAATAGGTCTTCCAAACAAGTTATTTATTAACCTGTACAAGGATCGCTAGTAAGTGCACCAAATATAGCTAATTTGATTCTGGCTCCCACCTCTATTAAAGACTTCAAAGAATCATAGATTTGTAGAATGCTAGAGTTGTAGGGAACATTAACAATGTGTAGTCTAGCCCTTACAATATGGATAAGAAAATTGATTCCCAGAGAGATGATCTTGCTGGTGTGTAAGTAGGGAAAACTTTCGGATCCTCATCTGTCAAGAATGCAGGAGCAGGTTCCTTCCTGTCTTTTAGGCGCCTGTTTCAATTAAGAAAAAAAAATATTGGCTGGGCACGGTGGCTCATGCCTGTAATCCCAACACTTTGGGAGGCTGAGTTGGGCAGATCACAAGGTCAAGAGATCGAGACCATCCTGGCCAACATGGTGAAACCCCGTCTCTACTAAAAATACAAAAGTTAGCTGGGCATGGTGGCACATGATGTAGTCACAGCTACTTAGGAGGCTGAGGCAGGAGAATTGCTTGAACTCAGGAGGCAGAGGTTGCAGTGAGCAAGATCACTCCACTGCACTCCAGCCTGGCGACAGAGCGAGACTCCGTCTCAAAAAAAAAAAAAAAAAAAAAAAAAAAAAAAAAAAAAAAGTCAGGATGTCCTAACTGGTTTATTGGCTTCAAGGTCAATCACCATAGGTCAGTAGTGCTGCAGCTACTGCTAGCATAGCAGCCACGGGCCCAGCTGCCCTACCCCCATGCACATTTCATGTTTATTGGGGCTCATCCATGCTCTTCTATAGGAAAATAGCCTCTACCTCACTTCTGCATTTCAAATCTCATAGAAATACATTTAGTTGGAAGGACTTATTTCATGTCCAGAATCCTAGCTCCAAAAATTCTGAGAAATAGAGTTTTTTACTTTTCAATCTCTTCAATAGAAAGGAAATGAGGTCATTCCATATATGTAGGTTTGGCAGATAAAATGCAGAACATCCAGTTAAATTTGAATTTCAGATAAACAATGATTTTTTAGTATAAGTATCTCCCAAATACTGCATGGGGCATACTTACACAAAATACTTGTTTATTATTTATCTAAAATTCAGATTTAAATGGACATCCTGTACTTTTATTTGATAAATCTGACATTTTGACAAATCTCCAGCACAGAGACTGAGAGCAGAAGTCCTTAATTTAGATGGGGGACATTGAGGAAGGCCCATCTTCCAAGGTGATATTTAAGGGGAGACCTGAGAGATGAATAAGAGATCATCATGCTCAAAGAGGAGAGAAGGGCATTGCAGGCACAGGTAACAGCTTTGCAACAGCCTAGAGGCAAGAACAATTTGGGCTAATTTAAGCAAAGTTGACACATGATGAGTTAGGAGTAAAGATGGCACAAGATAATAATGAAGACGTAGGCAGAGACTAGAGCAAGTGAAATCTTAAGTTTTAGTAGTGGAATAAACAAGAGTGGAATGGGGGAGACCCAGGGTCACTACCTGCTAATGGCATTCCCAGAGTTGTATACGGCAGTCATCCCAAAGAGAGAAAACTATGCCAGTAATTTAGGTGAGAAAGGATGATGGCTTGAGATAGTGGGATCCAGTGGAGCTGAAAATGAGCAGGCCAATTTGAAGTGTATTTTGTAGATAGAATTGACAAAAACATTGAAGTGGCCTTTGGGTGATGAGGGAGGGGAAAATCAATCATGAATTTCTAATTTCTGGAATGGATGACTGTGTAATTGCAAGGCTGTTACAGAAATGGGCTACATACTTAATGAGCTTTGGATGTTGAGATGGGATCACAAGAGAGGGGGTAAAGACAAAGTGATGAGATATTTTGTTTCAGTTGGACCACAGTCCACAATAACTGCTTCTCCTCTCTGCAGAATATTCACTAACATGCACGAGACCTGTTTGCTCTGTCCTTCTCTCCTTCCTCCCTGCCCTCCCCTTCATCATTTTCTCCTTTTTATTCTCTGTCCTTTCTTTCTGTTCTGTAGTCATCCTATTTCCTTGACAGAATCGAAGCCTCAGCCAGTGAGATAGATGGAGTGTAGGCAGCTAGAAATGGAAAGGATTCCTGTGCTTCTGTGATTCACAGTCTCCCAGTGGGCCTTTAAACCATTTAACCTCTGTTGTCCAGACCCCAGGAAGAGGGGAGGCTGGAAGAGGGAAAAGAACTTGGACTGGAGCAGCAGGGGAGGCCCTGGAGGAAGGAGCAGGTATCATCCTCCAGCAAATGGGCAATCCATTAGTCCAAACTCCTCATTTTAAAATTGAAAAAACTGAAGCCTTTGCCCATTTTGACTAAACCAGATAAGAAATTATACAGTATGAAGGAACATTGACACCACTTAGAAACAGTAGGGTGTCAAGATTTGACTTGACTCTTGTTAGTTTTGTGACTATAAAGTGAAAACAATTATATCAAAAAATTTGTTTTAGGGATGATAAAAGTAATTTATACTTATTCGTTCAAAAGTACTTATTAAGGACCTACTATGTGCAGATACAGTGTTGAAAGCTAGGGACTCAGTGGAGATCAACACAGACAGGAACCTGGCCTCATGGGAATTCTAAACTCTAGCGGGGAGAACAGCTCATTAACAAATAAATAAGTGTAATGTATGGTAGGTACCACGAAGCAACATAAAGCTGGGAAGAAAGACACAAATGCTAGCATAGTTTTCTCTCTTTGGGATGACTGCCTTATACAACTCTGGGGAATGCCATTAGCAAGTAGTGGCCTCGGATCTTCCCCCATTGCACTCTTGCCTATTCCACTACTAAAACCTAAGTTTTTGCTTGCTCTAATCTCTAAGTCTTCATTATTATCTTGTGCCATCTTTACTCCCAACTCATCATGCG
Source organism: Homo sapiens (assembly GCF_000001405.40). Lineage (NCBI taxonomy): Eukaryota > Metazoa > Chordata > Mammalia > Primates > Hominidae > Homo > Homo sapiens. The sequence continues at coordinate 1,346,625 of NT_167245.2, forward strand.
TCAACTTTGCTTAAATTAGCCCAAATTGTTCTTGCCTCTAGGTTGATGCAAAGCTGTTACCTGTGCCTGGGATGCCCTTCTCTCCTCTCTGAGCATGATGATCTCTTATTCATCTCTCAGGTCTGCCCTTAAATATCACCTAGAGAGATGGGCCTTCTCAATGCTGGATGGAGTGCTGGATGGAGTAGATAGAGTTACAATCTCAATAGATTCTATTTGAGCAAAGATTTGAAGGTGGTAAGAGAAGTCGTCAAGTGCTTATCTGAAGGAAGGATCATCCAGATGAAAGGAAAGGCAGAGGCAAAGGCTGTGATGCTGAAGCTGCTGATGTGTTTGAGATTTAACATGAGGCCATGTGGCTGGAGCAGAGGGAGCAGCGGGTGTGGAGTAGGAAGTCAGAGATGGGACTGGCCGACTGTGCAGGGCTTTGTCATTGTCAGGACTTCATTCAGTACTGGGTGAGGTGAGCCTACCAGGGGTTGGAGTTGGTGGGAAGGGGCTGACTTCTGGACGTGAGTTACTGCATTGGTTGTGGAGTGTGAGAGCAAAGGAGGAGGCAGGAAGCTCTAACGAATTTGGCCCCACCATGGGGAGGATGGAGCTGCCAGTGACTGCAGTGGGAAGAACTGTGAGGAGCTGGCCTGGGCAGGAATATCAGGGGTGGCATGTTGGACATGTGAAGCCAGGAGGCCTGTGGGCCATCCAACAGTGCTGTGAACTGTGCAGCCCGATGTAAGCATATCTGACATTAGGAGTGGTGGAGAAACAAAAAGAACAAGGATAGTTCATTTTAACACAGTAATAATTTTATAATTTTATAATTTTCAAATCATTAAAGATTTTACTACTTTCTTAACTACTCCAGGAGCCTGTGTCACATTCCAGTCACAGGGAGGAAACTGGGGGCCATGCAGGATAAAGGTCAAAGCCTGCATGCTGGGACTCAAGTGCTTCCTCCCCAACAGTATTAGAACACCAACTCCCAGGAGCACAGAGACTTGAAGAGAGTGTCCGGGTCGTGGACTATGAGTCAGAGAAACCAAGCCAGGGGCATGCAAGGCAGCACGAGGCAGAGCAGGGAAACCCAGCAAGGGAGGTGGCAACGCAGAGTGACCTAGAAAAGCCTGATGAACTGAGAGCCAGCCGACAACAGGCCCCATGTGCCTCTGTGTCTTGGTCCACATGATAGACTCTCCCTCCCTCCCTTCCTTCCTCTCCTCTGGTGACCAGTAGCTAAAACATCACTGGCACGCTGCTGGCATCCAGCCTGCCAATTAGTTCAGGAGCCACTCCCTCTGACTGCCTCCTGAGCCTCAGATGTTACCTCCCCTGTCTCCCAAACACACCCCTCCAGCTCTGTCCTGCCTGCCCTGAATCTCTGGAAGGAAAACTTGCCCTGGGACCTGCCTTGGACTCTCTGGTTCCCCTCATCCAGCCCCTCCCTGCGCAGAACATGGCATGGCATCTCGTGCCCTTTTATCTGCCATTTCTGGCCACCTTTGCAAGCGTCCTTGAAACCAGCGCTTGGTAGAGTTATCCACACCCATGTGAGGCTCCCCTGCCCCCTGGGTGGTGTATGTGGCAGGAGGAGCAGGGAGGAGCTTCAAGGAAGCAGAGGGAAAGGAACCTATAAGAGTTCTTGGGATGGCTTCCAGGAAGCTGTGAGGACAGAGCTATGCTGAAAGGAGAAAGGCAAAGGCTACAGAAAAGTGAACACTGAAGAGGAATTAGGCAAGAACAAAGCCTACCAAGTTAGAAGAAGGGAATGAGAGGGCGAAACAACAGCACCAGAAAGGAATGAGGTTGCCGGGCACGGTGGCTCATACCTGTAATCCCAGCACTTTGGGAGGCCGAGGCAGGCGAACCACCTGAGGTCGGGAGTTCAAGACCAGCCTGACCAACATGGAGAAACCCTGTCTCTACTAAAAATACAAAATTAGCTGGGTATGGTGGTGCATGTCTGTAATCCCAGCTACTCAGTGAGGCTGAGGCAGGAGAATCGCTTGAACCCGGGAGGCGGAGGTTGTGGTGAGCCGATGCGCCATTGCACTCCAGCCTGGGCAACAAGAGCAAAACTGCATCTCAAAAAAAAAAAAAAAGAAGAAAGAAAGAAAGAAAGAAAGAAAAAGAAAAAGAAAGGAATGAGGATCAGGAGTCCGGGGGAGAGACATGATCTTACAGAACGGGCTGGACCTGGGGAGAGGATTTTGTCAGAACTATGGAAAGTTTGAAATGAGGTTGAAGAAGGAGTGATGGTAATACTTTTTACATTTTTAGAACATCTTCTTATATTTTATTTCATCATTCATTCATCATAGATCTCATTACCCCCATTTTACGGATCAAGAAACTGAGGCTCAGAGAGGTGATGTGAGTTGTCCAAGATCACACAGCTAATAAGAAGGTACATTCTCCTCTATACCACAGAGCACCTCTTCTGTGTGTGGCATATTACATAGAAAAATGAGATTAGACATTTAAAAGTTGAGGATTCTCATCCAGCAAACACTTATGGGGCACTTTTTATGTGCCAGGCAATATGCTAAGCACTGAAGATACTAAGACAACCTGCTTTCAAAAGATTGACCTTCTGGTTAAGGAGTGATATCAGTGGTGCAAACCAGGTAGGGGGCGGGGCTGCCCATAGGCTGAGGGCTCCTCTGGGAGAGGGCAGCTTAGGGAAGCTTTTACAGCGGATGTCTGGGAAGAAGGGAACCACTTCCCCAGTGGATGGTGGAAGGGGATAGCAGAGGGCATTTCAGGGAAAAGCAAGCAAGCAGAGTGTGTGGGAGAGCTCCAAGGAGTTGAGATCCACAAAAGAGGGATGTGTAGGGAGCTGGATGGAAAAGCTAAAGAAATAATGGGGAGAATAGTGATATTAATTAAATTCGTGATCTGTTTAAAACCATTGCATAGGGCAAGGCACAGTGGCTCATGCCTATAATCCCAGCACTTTGGGAGGGTGAGGCAGGAGGATCACTTAGCCCAGGAGTGAGAGACCAGCCTGGGCAACATAGCAAGATTTGTCTCAATGAAAAAAAATACTAAATGTTTTTAAAAGGCACAATGCATAGCTGTAATAAGAGTTGAGGAGGAATCTTACAACTACAGTGTTAAAGGAGACAAAGGGTGTTTCTTCATTATGTTGCGGTGATGGAAACTTAAATGAGATAAGGATATATTTGAGTCTTCCTATATGCCAGATGGCATGCAAAATGTTTTTATATACATTATGTAATTGAATTCATGTAACAGTGAAAAATAGTGAAGATGACCTATTTGGGTTGACATGAGAAGATCTATAAGATCGTGGTTAAAAGAAAAAGTCAGTGCAGAACATTATGTACTATAAATTATGACCCATAGTAAAGAAACACATACAGGGGAAGGGTTTTGGTCAGAGGGAGTACAGAGCCAGGGCAGCCAAGAGAAGGAGGTATGTCTGAGCCTGGTGCAGGCTGCGTGCCTAGGGCTGGCACTGAGAGGGACATGGAGCTTGTCATACTGAGGGCATAACTCAATCCTGTTACACTAGGCAAGTCTCAGAGAATTTTCAAGTGGAAGTGAAACACACTCTGGTGACACAGGTTGTAGAGATTGTTCTGTCTGCAGGTGGATAGATTGGAGGCAGGAGGAGAGCAGTCAGGTAGGAGAGATCCCGAGGGGTGGACAAGCCTGGCCCCTGGAAACAGAGTCGGGGGAGAGGAAGCAAGGGTGAGAAACTGGGCTGAGGAAATGAGTGGGTGACAGATCTTCACATGGCTGGTAGGGGGAAAAAAAAGGAACACAGAACACAATTAGATTATTTTCAGGATTTTCATCGCAGTTATATATGCAAATAAAAAGTTAAACAAGTTGATGAGTTAATTTTTTTAAATGGCAGCCCTCACCCCCATCTCCACTACTTTCAACTCTTTTAGCTGTTTTGGTGTTCACCTTCACATCTGTAAATACAAGGATTATATTATTACTATTTGCTCTTCTAATTTTAGGCATTATCTATTATTGATTTGCTGTTATCAAAGATATAGCTTTTTCTTGTAACCACAACCTCACTTGATCCCACAAACACATATCCTCACTATTCCCACTGTCCCTGGTTTATAGCTATTTCAAATACACACACACACACACACACACACACACACACACACACATTTCTATGTGTATAAAACACAAATATGTAAATACAAACATGTCCTGAAGGATCAAATCAAACTAGGATTCAGGAAGATCATAGCTAAAGAAGACTTTCGGCTTGCACGGTGGCTCACACCTGTAATCCTAGCATTTTGGGAGGCCAAGGTGGGCGGATCACCCAAGGTCAGGAGTTCGAGACCAGCCAGACCAACATGGCAAAACCCCATCTCTACTAAAAGTACAAAAAATTAGCTGGGTGTGGTGGTGGGCACCTGTAATCCCAGCTACCTAAGAGACTGAGGCAAGAGAAGCCCTTGAACCCGGGAGGCTGAGGTTGCAGTGAGCTGAGATGTGCCACTGCACTCCAGCCTGGGTGACAGAGCAAGGCTTCATAAAAACTTCATAAAAAAAAAAAGAAGAAGAAGAAGAAGATTTGAACCAAAAGGTAGAGAAGCACAAGACAAGAGGCTGTGAAAAAGCAAGTCATGCATTGGTGAGTATGTGTGTGGAGGGCAGGGATGAGGAAAATTTCAGAACAGAATCAATTCAGCCTTGTGCAGAAAGGAATAATGAAGGCAGGAGGCAGCAACTTCAGGGCTGTCTGATTTGAAGGAAATATTAAAGCCTTTATCAGGAAAGGGGAATCACTAACAGTCAGACAGAAGCACCAGACTGAAGGAAAAAAGATCACAGCCCCATATCCTTAGAGAGTATCAGAGACCTCAGATGCCAGGCATCTGCCATGCTGTTGATTTACTCTGCAGTGAGTCACTGGATCCTTGAAACTGGGGGCAAGGGTGAGATCATTACCCCAGAAGGCAGGGAGCAGAGACAACAAGGCCCTTGGGGTCCAGGCAGCTGAACCCGTCTGGTCAGAGGACACTGTCACAAAACCAACAAAGAATTCATATCTAATAGGTTTTCCTCAGGGCTCAGATGAGTAGGTTTGGGAGTTACTGGGAGGCTGTGATACCAGGCAGGATGACAAACAAAAACAGTCAGCCAAGAAAACAAGCTTCAGAGTGTTTGCCCTGGGAGAACAAGGGATGTCCGGGTAGAGCCAAAGCCACTGGCTCCTCCCTCCCCACAACTCAGAGCCACCAGGGACCTGGGCCATGTGTCCCTTTCCATGACCATGGGGTGTGTGACTGCGGGAGGCTGAAAGTGTCAGCACTGTGACCTGGAAATATATGCCTGGATTGGGGAGGTGGACACCTTGGAAATAAACTCCAGACTTCCTCTATTTGAAAAATTTTGTGGCCGGAAGCGTTGGCTCAAGCCTGTAATCTCAGCACTTTGGGAGGCCGAGGCAGGTGGATCACGAGGTCAGGAGATCGGACCAACTGGCTATGGTGAAACCCCATCTCTACTAAACAAAATACAAAAAATTAGCCGGGCGTGGTGGCAGGCACCTGTAGTCCCAGCTACTGTGGAGGCTGAGGCAGGAGAATGGCATGAACCCGGGAGGCAGAGCTTGCAGTGAGCCGAGATCGCACCACTGCCCTCCAGCCTGGGCAACAGAGCAAGAGTCTGTCTCAAAAAAAAAAAAAAAAAAAGAAAAAAAAAAAAGAAAAGTTTTTTGCATTGAACTGGATTCTGCACATATCTATACACATGCTCCAATCCCACTAATTCATCTTTTTTCCCAATGCCCAACCTAAACACTGAGAGAAAAAAAAAGAGCAGCCTCTGACATTCAGAAGTTGGCCTAACAGAGCTAAACCATGTTATTCACCTAGTAGGCATAAACTATATTACAGAATACCAATCTCAGACAAGTTTACTCCTAGACCTTGATAAAGTGAGACAATGCAAGGCTGCTTCACAAGTTTTTCTGAGCACAGATCCAAAAAAAGACACTGTGCCACCCACAAAATACCAAACACCCCTTCTCTTGGTTAACAGAAATGTTTGCTACTTCTTTACCAATTATAGCTTTCCCCTCGTTCTAGTCTCCCCTCCCTATAGAAAATATTTATTTGGGTATTCATTCACAGGATCTGCTCTGCTTTCTAACAGCATTAATCCAGAGCAAACCCCCACTTCCTTAGACCTTTCCCCAAATCACCTAACCAAAACCCAAACCCTATCATAGGTTTTTTCCTAACACTCTTATTAAAATGTCCCACACTCCCCATGGGGTGCATTCTCCATTGCTGCAAGGAGTAATAAACCCAGCATGTTTAATGACAGTTATGTTCCTGGGGGGTCTTTGGCTGGAAAACACGGGTAACACTCAGTGTTCTTTGCTTCCTTCTTAACTCTCTGGGATCTACATTGAAGACCTGGCCCCATGTTGTGTGGGAGAAGCTGGTACAAAGGCAGGAGGTGCTCTTAGAAAGGACAAAACCAGTAATGCATTCACTCAACAAATATTTATGGAGCACCCACACATGCCACAGACTGTTCTAGGTACCAAGGACAATAGACAAATAAAGCAGGATCCCTGAATTTTTAGGAAGCTCTCAGTTGGGGTAGAGGTGAGAAACACACATAAACAGATCGTCTTGATTGTGGAGATTAGTGCAGTGATCAAGGTATGCCCTGGGGACTGCTATGTGCTTATAGATGTGGTGCCTAAACCAGTGTCGGAGAGGAGTGGGGGATCAAGAAAGGCTTTCAGGGAAGGAGGCGTTTGAGGCCCTGGAAGGCTGAGGACAAGCTAAGAAGAAGGAACAATGAAAGCGGGTCAGGGAGATGTAAACAGTGTGGTGAGTGGGGAATTTTAGGCAATTTGGCCTTTCTGGAGTGAAAAATGGGAAGCAGGTGGGGGCAGGGGTTAGGCTGAAGGCAGGCCAACGTGGAGTTCAGGCTTTATCCTTTAGAGAAGGGAGGCATTATTGAAAGTCCAACAAGTTCTAACATGACCAGATTATATTTTTAGAAATCATTTGAATATCTGCAACTTACTTTAAAATGCATAAAATTATAAGATGGATAGAAGGATGAAGGAATGGGTCGACGGAAACATATTTGATAAAGCAAGTACAGTAAAATGCTAATGAGAAAATGTAGGTGGTAATATTTGGATGGTCACTGTAAAATTCATTCAACTCTTCTGTCAGAAGATTTTCAAAATAAAATTTTAGAAAAGCATAGACTTTGGCCTGGGTAATGGAAGATGGATTGGGCAGAATAAGTCTGGAGGCAGGGAAATGAGAAAGGCAGCTGTCATAATCCAGGTGAGGGCTGATCTAGACAGTGCTAGGAGGAAGATGGGTGGAGTCCTGTGGTAGGCGCTAACATCAAGGAGGTTGGGGCCTCAAGGACTGTAAGAATGAGGAAGAAGAAAGAGTTGAAGATAACACCTAGGTTGGGTGACTGTGTGGGGGTTGGTAGCAACAATGAGTATAAAACAGGCAGCAGGATCAGGTCTGGGAAGGGGGACAAGATGACTTCATGACCCCAGAGTTTCTATGGGAATATGCTTTGGGAGCTTGCAGACCCCTGGCTCCTCAAGGGGGCCACTCTGGTGGGGGAAGGGACTCAGTACCGTGGATCTCCATCTCTTGACACTTGCCCCAGTTTTCACTGGATTTCCCCAGGAGTGGAGTGGCTCTTACTCTCCCTCCCTAGGGAGCAGCTCTTCCACCCTCCTAATGACTTCTCCACTCCTGCCATGCTTTTTCCTCTTTTAGCTTTTGAAAACCATCTTTCTCCTTTCTCTGGTTTTCCAAGCCAGATACTCAAATTTGACCCTCCCTGGAGAGTACACCCTCTATGCTCACTATCTCTTTTCCCTTCTGCTCATCTTAGCATCCCCCAAGTGTTGCCCTTGGCTCTTTTCCAATACCATTGTTTCTTTTTTATGTTCTCGCTTTCCTGTGGGTGACAGATTATGGAGTTGTGGGTTGAATTTTGTCTGCCAAGGACATATTGAAGTCCTAGCCCCAGGTACCTACGTATGTGGCTTTATTCAAAAATAGGGTCTTGGCCAGATGAGGTGGCTCACCCCTGTAATCCCAGCACTTTGGGAGACCAAGGTGGGCAGATTGCTTGAGCTCAAGAGTTGGAGACCGGACTGATCAACATAGCAAAACCCTGTCTCTACAAAAAATACAAAAATTAGCCAGGCATGGTGCTGTGTGCCTGTAGTCCCATGTGCTGTGTGCCTGTAGTCCCACCTACTCGGGAGGCTGATGTGGGAAGATCACTTGAGCCAGTGAGGTGGAGGTTGCAGTAAGCCGAGATCATGCCACTGCACTGCAGCCTGGGTGATAGAGCCAGACCTTGTCTCAAAAAAGAAGGAAAGAAAGAAAGAAAGAAAGAAAGAAAGAAAGAAAGAAAGGAGAAAGGGAGGGAAAGAAGGAAGGAAGGAAGCAAGGAAAGAAGGAAGGAGGGAGGGAGGGAGGGAAGGAAAGAAGGAAAGAAAGAGAGAGAGAAAAAGAAAATAGGGTCTTTTCATCAAGTTCAGATGAGGTCATATTGGATCAGGGTGGGCCATTATAAGAGGAGGGAAATTTTGACACAGACACATGGGAGACGGCCATGTGAAAATGCTGTCAGAGATTGGAGTGAGGCATCTACAAGCCAAAGAATGCCACGGATTGCCCGCAAACACCAGGAGCTAGAAGAGGCAATGAAGCATTTTTTCCTAGAGCCTTTGGAGAGAGCATGGCTCTGCTGACACCTTGACTTCAGACTTCTTGCTTCCAAAACTGTAAGAGAATGTGTCATTGTTTCAAGCCACACAGTCTATGGTGATGTGTTATGGAAGCCCTAGGAAACTAATATAGCAGATAAGTTGTGTGTGTGTGTGTGCATGTATACGTGTGTGTGTGTCCGTCTGTGTAGGGAAATACCGTGGAAAGTTACTATTTGTTATAGCCATTTTATCATATATTTTATGAGATTTTATCTTTTCAAGTCAACTTTGCATGTGCTTTGTGTTGAAAGACCTGAGTTTGAACATTCATACCATATTTGGAATATGGGAATGTAACGATACCTAATTTAAGCAGTTGTGAGAAGCAAATGGAATAATGTATCTGAATCCATTTAATAAACTGTTCAACATTGTAAACATGCTGTTAGTAGTATCATAACTGTGTGAAGAGGCAGAAAACACTTTGGACTGGGGGATGGAAATCTTGGCCAGGGTTCAGTATTCACTTGACTTCCCGGCCATAACATCGAATGAATGGCCAGGACTCTCTTTGAGTAAATGAGCTTCTGAGAGGCTCCTAAAGAGGCGACCCCCATCCCTCACAGCTGAGAAGAGTGTGATCATCGTTTAAGGTTAAGGTCCAGGTTGGAAGACCTCCCCAGATTTAAACCTTGCTACAAAGTATTCTTTCATTTACTTTGAACCCTTCCTTCATTTACATCCCTTTAGGAACCAGGCCCTGTAGTGCTCAAGGAGGGTGGGAGAGTGAAACGAAAAGGAGTGAGATGCTGCTTCTGTTCTCGAGGACTTCACAGTCAACTTGCGGTAAGTGCTGCAGGGAGATGGCTGTAGTGGCTTTGGGAGTGTGCACACTTTTCCAACAGAAAGTACCAGGAACCCTGCCTGGGGAAGGCTTCCTGGAGGAGGTGAGGTGGAGCTGGTCCACGAAAATTGAGTGGGATTTCCAAGACATCAGTCTTTCGCGGGAAAAGAGAAATTAGGGCATGGTTTTAATTTAGTAAATATTTATTAATCAAGTACCCCATTCTAGGGTCCGTGCTAAGTGTCTGGGGTTGGTAGAGTCAGGAAGTATAAAATCAACTTAAGACATTTGGGAAAGATCTCCCTTTGTAGTAAGGAAGTTGAATCTGTACACAATGAAAGGAAACAAGGTAAAAGGCGCGAAGTCCATGACCATGACGAGGGCTGTGAGAACTGTAAATAGGGATTTGGGCAGTCCCGGCTGATTCTGAATAAAAGTCCGGAGGGGCGTTACTTTCGGGTCTCGGCCTGTGTGTCCCCAGCCCTTTGTTGTCCCCTCCGCAGGAAGGTGAAGGCTGTTTATGTAATCGGCGGCGCCTCGCGGGCGACTGGGGGAACTGGATGGGGGAGCCTGGCCAGGGCTGACTGAGCGCCCCTGGAATCCGTGCTCCGGGCGTTGGCTCACTCCCGCCCCGACACCTGGGCCCGCCCTCCCGCTGCGCAGCCACGCGACGGGCAGCAGCGTGGGCTGGCGGGCGACTCCCCACGCCTCCTGCAACACCGCCCTCTCCCTACCGGAGCGAGGAGGCAGGAAAAGCCTAGAGACGCCTGGTCCCATCCGCCTACCCAGTCCCCAGCCGGCCTGAAGGGAGGAAGAGGAAGGAACCCATAATCATCCCAAACTGGCGCAAATGGTGGGTTTTACTGTCCAGAGGTCATTTCGTCTCTGCGTTTCCAACCTCCTCGCCCTTTTACTTTTTTTGGGCTCACTCAGGAAACTGGAGCAGTCCTTCTCTGGGTTTAACTTCAGTCCCTCACATGGCAACACTAGGAATGATCAAGACTTTTGTTGCGGGTAGTGGTGATGTGGGTTTGAGAGGAGGATGCATCTGGTCGTGGGATTAATTTTGGTTTCTGAGTATTATGAAGAACTAGAAAAGTTTTGCGTATGTCGGTTTTCAGGATGGGGTTCAGATGGGTCAAAGCCCTGTGCAGGTCCACGGGGGCTGCAGGAGGTAAAATGGAGGAGGAGACAGGCGGACAAGCTGGGGTCAGTGGTCCACTCCCCTGTGTCTGTCTTAACCGAGATGCAGCTGGATGCTTGCACGTGGCAGCTTTTTCAACCACCTGTTGATAGACGTTCGTTTCCAGTCTTATCCTGTTACCAACTGTGCTGCAATGAACAGCCTTGTGTATAGCCTTTTAGTGTATTTGAGCCTTTCTTTTCGACCCAGGCATATTGTAAGGAGAGAGGAACTGAGATAGAAGGAATATTTAAAGCAGGGTCAGAGAAATCAGGACTGGATCAGGAGGAAGCCCGAAGGGTGTAACCTTCCCATAGGGCTGCTGGAAGCCTAGCTTCAACCCTTCCAGCTGCAGCACATCCCAAACTGGGGCGAGAAGCGAGTGAGGAGGAGATGCAGAGGAAGGCAAAGAACAACTCTAGCGACCCAGGGTGATCCGGGTGCCGGAAAACAGAAGCTGGAAAAAGGAGATCTGCCCCGGAAAGGAGGCATGGAAAGTGTAGATGTGGGTCCTCGAGGTGGCGTCGTAGAAGACTACCTCTCCGCCCTAGTAATCCACGCGGACGCCCACTTTGTTCGGACAGACCGGGAGATCCTCGCGGGAACCGCTCTCGATGAGCGCCTGGCACTGGGAGCCGCTGCTGTGCAGCTCCACGAAGCCGGTCAAGGGCTCCACCTCCAGGAAGCCCCGCCTGGGAACCAGCTCCAAGGCCAAGCCCAGCACGCAGGCCCCGCCCCCGGGCCCTTGGAGCTCCGCCTCCCAGGCGCCGCGGCCGGAGCAAAGGCCCAGCGAGCCCAGCACTCAGCGGAACCTGTAGAAGCGTCGGGGGTTGCCCCGCTTCTGCGAACCGCCCTGGGATGCGAGGTTCAGCGTCACTATCTCATCCTGGGAAAGGATGAGATCCGGGTGGGCCGAGGCTGCGTCCAGTGTCACAGGGGCCGTGTGAAGATGAGGAGAAAGAGGTGGCCAACCCCGGGTCAAGTTGTCCAAACCCCCTACCTTCCTCTGATACCCCCGTCCCACCACCCGCCCCGCTGGATGCCGCCAGAGAGGCTTTCTCTTCCCAGTCACAGCCTTTGTGGTCCCCAGAGAAGTCTTAGGCCCGGCCCCGCCTCCTCCTCCTCAAAGTTAATCCCTAAATTTCACAATGTGTTGTTCTGTGGGCGCAGAGAGAAGTTCTTCATTGGTGGTGGTGGTGAGATCATTTCAACACCCGAAGATGAGACCATCTCTTCCTTGTCCATTTCCCGTGGCCCCTAATTCCCATGTCTAAGACAAGAATTGAGTCTAGTATAAGAGGTGTCAAGGCTCAGACTTTCTGAGGGCCAGTAATTTTCTAAAGTGGAGTTCCTCAAACACAGGGATGAGTGAAAGTGTTGGAATACAAAAGGAGGAATAGTCATCCCCCGCCACACACACATACACTTTTACTAGGATTCCACGTTCAGTCGCAGTTTATTAAAGTTAGAAGTGTCTCCATCCACCCCCTACAGAGGCTTGCGTGGTGGTTCCAGTCTGCTAAATATTTCAGAATGGGGACCTCATTCTATCTACTGATTTATCAAATCTCATTAATTAATTTCCCTTGCTGATATGAGGGGTTGGGAGAGAAGGGGGACGTGGGAATGTAAGGAAGAGCGAGAGTGGTCGGGCTCATGGGGTTTGATGGACTGTGACCCAGGCTGGCGTTGCTCGTCTCTGGATTTCACTCCTGGCTGAACTGGTGCCTTCGGTAAACAGCTGCTTAAAGAGTGCGGGGACTGCTGCAGGGACTTCCTTTTTCCACTAGGCGGCACCACAGCCAAAGTGATAAGAAGTCAAGCGTGGGGCGGGTGGCTGGAGATTGTCTCTTCCCCTCCTTTTGCTCAAGAACTCGTCCATTCCTTCTCCAACTCTCTTCACCACCACCCCCGCCCCCATCTCCACTCTCAGTAGCCCGAGCCCTCCCATTCTCCACTCCTTCGACCCAATTCCACTAAGTCAAGAACCGTGGTCGGTCTCAGCCACTCACTCAGCGCCACTCTATGCTCCGAAGTCCGTGGAGCACCACCGCTCCCCGTGTTCTCTGAGCTGGCTTAGCTTGAAGGAACCTTACAAAACCAAGCCCGGATCGCTGTCAGCCACTCACTCAGTGCCGCATGGAGCTCCTCGGACAGCGCAACGTCAAATGTCTTCGTATCCTGAGAGCTCGCTCCTTGACCAGAAATCTCATCATAAGAGGCCAGGAGACATACTGGAAAAGTGACTTTCCCAGCAGACGAGGCCCGAAACAGGGAGTGGGATGGGGCTGAAGAGTGGTGATTTGGTGGCCCCGATGTAGTTCTGCCGCCTTTGCGGGAGAAGGAAAGGAGAAAAGAGGTCAGCGGGAGCACCTCGGCAGCAATCCTCCATTGCCAGACAGCACAGCTGAGCTCTACATACAGCAGGAGGGATGGAGGTGAAACTCAAGAAAGTACACCTGAACAAGTCGGAGCGCCCTCTGTTTCCTGGCAGAGGTGTAATTTGGGGAGGAACTGAGGAAATGGAATAAATGAATTCATTCATTTATTCATTTATTCCATTTAGTGGAATTGGGTGGATACAGCATTTTGACCACCTGTAGACTTAGAGGTCCCTTAGTATTCAGAGACAGGACTCTTACCTGCAGAAGATGACCCGGGCTCTGAGGTTTTGTTCATTTTATGATTATTTTTCTGTAACAAGCCCCCTAAAAATTGGGGAGAGAAAACCTATTTGGTCTTGATAACCAGAAGCTGCAAATTAAAAACAAAAACAAGCACCCTGCCATCATCAATCAGAACAGTCAATGGTTCTCAGTGGGACCCATTCCCCACCCAGGGGGAAGTGTGGAAACCTTTCAGGTTGTCTCAGTGACAACAAGAGTGTGGTTCTCTACTGGCTTATAGGGCTTTCTGGGGCCTGGGATACTAAGCATTTAACAGGGCAAAAGTCATGGAGCATAACAAAGATGGCCTTTCTAAACACCGGTAGCTCCTTTTGTGGAGAAATGCTGGTGGAATAGGATCCCTAAATCCTGCTCTCTGGCTTTGGAATGCATTCTGTAGTTTCTGGCTTTGGAGAAAGGAGTTCTAATTCTCTCTCTTTCACTTAATGATCATATGACCTGGGTAACTTACCTCCCCTCCCGGAAGCTACATGGACCTCACTGTAAGTTGCAGATAATAACACCTATCTTGGAGGATAGTTGTGGGGTTTTGAAATATTAGATGCGCACATAGTGGTCCTTTAAGAAATGGTACTTCTACTGTTATTATCTTAGGTGGCAGAACCATATCTAATGACTTTAGCACAGGCTGTTATTACAGTGGGTCTCCATCCCCTGAGCTGTACTGACCTCACACCCAGAGGAGTTTGCCTCGAAACCTGGTGCCCTGTAGGGGCAGCAAATACTACAGAGGTGGAGCTGCCTCCTTCTTGTCCCACTTTTTCCTCCCTGTCTCTAGGAGTGAAGAAATACATTTGCAATTTTCTATTACTTCTGAATACTTCAAAGTTTGGGATTAGTGACTGTTTTGTGAGTTACCTGAGTTTAAAATAATAAAACAACCATATGCCTGTTCTCTCAATTGGCTGAGGAATCGGCATTCACTTATATCTGGCCTTCATGTAATCATAGAGACACAATTCTTCCCCTTTTCTCACTTTCCCCAAATGGCAGAAGCAACCAACCATCATTTCTCACTTACAGCTCTTCATGTCATTTTTATTCATGCTTTTGAAGAATCTGTTTTCATCTTTTTTCCTATCAGCCTGGAGTTGGTCTGGGGAATAAAGAATGGGATGAAATGGTGAGAGTCCAGAGGGGTTGAGCAAAGAACTCACTATCACACAGCAAGGCACTAATTTGAAATGCCTGGGAGAAGTAGAAGCTGCATTTGACTCTCATATTCTTATTGGACCAGGAAGGTATGCAACCCTTGAGAGATGCCCTTTCTGCTTTCCTGTGGTGACTGCCTAGCCCAGCACTGTCCAGTATGAATGATGAATGTAATCTGAGTCACGAATGTGAGCCACTTATATATTTTTAAATTTTCTAGTAGTCACATTTAAAAAGTAGAAAGAAACTAGTAAAATTAACTTTAATTATATATTTTATTTAACTCAATATTCTCAAAATGTTATTTCAACATGTATTATAAAAATTATTGCTATCTTTTACAGTCTCTTTTTACACTCAATCTTGTGAAATTAATGATTCTTCACATATAGCATGTTTAAATTTGGACTAGCTACATTTCAAGTGCCTGTCAGCACATGTGGCTAGCAGCTACTAAATTGGACAGTGCAGAGCTAGCCCCTTTCTCACTGCCTGACAAAGGTAGGTGCTCAGGACAAAGAGTGCCTTGAGGCTTCACCCTTTAGCTTCAGAAGGCCTACTGTAGGGCTAACCACCCAGGAGCCAGGTGGGGTAAGGGGGGGCCCCACTCTCCTAAAGCCTGGATGGCAGTCCTGCCCTCTTTCCCATGAAAGAGGGCTTGAGAGGGGGAACGAAGACAGAGCTCCTGCAAGGGGAGGCCGAGTGCCTTCATCTCCCAGTTCACCCCTGCCAGAAGAGACTCCTTTTGCAGGTAGAGGATGAGCCCAGAAGTTGGGGACAATGGCCCATTCCTGGCCTAGATTTCCTGTAGGGGTGCTGGACTGAGTGGAGAACTATAGGGTGGAGCCCCTAGATGGGGAGCTACTTCTGGCCCCAGCACCCTTCCCCCAGTGTCTTGCAGCCCCAAGACAGCACAAGACAGCCTGGGGCTAGGTAGTGGGACAAGCGTGGGCAGCTTCCCTGAGAGCCACCAGCCCAGTCATGGGGACTGCTCAGGGGAGACGCGGGGGCCCTCTTAGGAGGGGTCTGCAAACCTAGAGCATAGGAAACACTGCCTGGGAGCACTTCACCTACAAGGGCCTTTAGCGGCTTCAGGGCCCAGCCACACCCTTCTCCACGTACGTGTTCCAGACCCAGTCACCCCGAGCAGGGAGAACCAACCCTCATAATAAGAACTGTGGAGATTGGACCTGTGGTATAAGTAGACTCCCTACCACCTCCTGTATTTCCTAGGCTTTAATAGGGCCAGGTGGCCATTGTGCCTTCTTCTTTGGGGTAAAAATAAAATAAAAATAAGAGAAAAAAAAAAGAAGGAAATAGGGCCAGGTGGGAGTTGGGGGACTGTGTGTGTGTGAGTTTGTGTATGTGAAAGAGGGAAAGAAAAGGGGGATACAGAGTAGAGCACACCAGTCTCCCCAACTCCAAACCTGATGAAGTGGAAAGGGCTGGGCTCCTTTATTGAAATTCCAAACTAGAACCAAGCTATTCTTGACCTGAAGAGCCTAGAAAGGTGCTGGATCGGGCTGGACGTGGTGGCTCACGCCTGTAATCCCAGCACTTTGGGAGGCTGAGGCGGGTGGATCACAAGTCAGCAGTTCGAGACCAGCTTGACCAACCTGGTGAAACCCCGTCTCTACTAAAAATACAAAAAACTAGCTGGGCATGGTGGTGTGTGCCTGTAACACCAGCGACTTGGGAAGCTGAGGCAGGAGAATCGCTTGAAACCAGAAGGCGGAGGTTGCAGTGAGCCGAGATTGCGCCACTGCACTCTATCCTGGGCAATAAGAGCAAAACTCCGTCAAAAATAAATAAATAAATAAACAAATAAATAAAGTTGCTAGATCGGCTGAGATCATGCCCAGTGGGGTGGGAGGAGCTAGACAAAGCAGAGCAGTTAGTGGACAAAAGAAAAGCTCAGACAACAAAATTAAGAATAAAACAAAACATGCTTTCCTGTTTATGTCTGCCGAGTGGAGATTCCCGGCTGAATGGGTGGAGATCTTGGGGCATTGCCCTGGTCCTCCTTTTCCGTAGTCCCAAGGGGAAGTGTTTGTGTATGGGGGGCTGGGGGTTGGGGTGGGGGAGGTGGGTGTGGAACTCCAGGTGATAATTTCAGAAGATTCCATCTAGCTGTCTTTATGCCCACCTTAGACCAACACAGTCTTCACATTAAGGGGAGTCCTTACAAATACTAACCCTTCTTCCTAGTTGCAAACACAGAAAGGTTTATGAAAAATATCTGGCCGAACATCTAAAACCCAAGTCATCCACTACTGTTCTGCTGATTTCTGTTTCCCTGTAAGGCTGGAAGAGGTTTCTCCCCAGAATGTCACTGATTTTGAATTTATTTTCTCTTCTTCTGTAGGCAGGAGGAGACACCAGTGTGCACCAGAGAAGGAGAAGTCAGAGATGACAGTCCCTGCCTGAGGCCATCTCTGGTCCACCAGACAACTCATCACCAACTTCCCAACAGCCACTGCTCTAGGCCAGGTGTCCACATGGGGAATAGGTCCAGGCCCTCTATGGCTCTCGCAGGAGTCAGGGAGGCAGATAAATAACATATCACGAAGACAGAATATAAGAAATGCCTGGGAGGAGGCATACTGATGCGTGGAAAGTACTCAGCCAGAAGCCTGGCACTAGAAGGGCCCAGGGATTGTTGGCATGTATGAGTCACAGTTCCATTTCAGTGGAGTGAGCAGGGAGAGAATCTCCTGGAAGTAGGTGAATAGAGAAAATACAGCCTCTTCCTTACCTTTGAATTTTTTCAGGCTCCCTGTGATGGAGTCGTGTCTTGATTTTGCTTCACTGAGTTTTTTCTCCAGTTCCAGAGGAACAGGGGTTGGGTTGAGAAACTGAAACTCTTCACTTCTAGGAAGATGTGGTTGAGCTGGTTGGTGAGATCAGGGGATGAGGTGTGGGAGAAGGAGGATCTGAGATATGGGGTTGAGAAATGAGGGGATGAAGACCTGGGGGTAGAACTGAGAGCGGTGGCTCACACCTGTAATCCCAGCACTTTGGGAGGCTGAGGCGGGTGGATCACCTGAGGTCAGGAGTTCAAGACTAGCCTGGCCAACATGGTAAAACCCGGTCTCTACTAAAAATATGAAAATTAGCCAGGCTTGGTGGCAAGCGCCTGTAGTCTCAGCTACTTGGGAGGCTGAGGCAGGAGAATCACTTGAACCTGGGAGACAAAGGTTGCAGTGAGCTGAGATTGCACCACTGCACTCCAGCCTGAGCAACAAGAGCAAAGCTCCATCTCAAAAAAAAAAAAAAAAGAAGAAGACCTGGCGGTTAAGGGATAGTGAGCTGGGAGTCAGAAAGTCAGGGCTAGGGATATGGGGCAGGAGTGAGGTAGGGCATAGGGAGATATGGAAATGAAGATGGGAGATGGAGACAGAGAGGAGGGAAAAAAACAGGGTCAGGGAGACAGAGTAGGGGACCCAGGAGCTATTCAGTTGAGCAAGGGGGCATTCAGGAAATAGTAGAATCTGTGCTGAAGAAGGAGGAAGGCTGAGAAAACAGCTGGTTTCTTTAACAACCAACCACGTGCTAATATGGTTGGCATAGGCATTCCCCAGCTGCAGCCTAAATGTATGAATGCAGAGTTAGAGGTGGGTGGGTATTTCTGAGAGAGGAATGTTGACTGCATTTGGATATACGCTGAGAATTGTATGTGGATGAATCAGTAGGCAAAATACATTTGGGGTGGCCCATCATACCTGCACAAGACGACTTTGATATCCTAGAAGAGAAAGAGAAACAGCACAGCCTCAGCACTTGGCTGATTCCCAGGAGCCAAGGAGGAGATACAGAGCCTGCTGGGTGTGGGGCAGAGCAGGAGGAGTAAGAACCCCTCCAAGTCTCTCTTACCCCATCCTCCTCCCCTCTCCCCACCACGAAGGGCTTCTCCAAGAAGCACTGCTCTGCCAGTAAGCAGAAAAGTGTTTTGACCTCAAGAAGAACTGAGTGAAGAAGAGAAGAGTGAGATTTAGAAGATGAATTTGGCTCTGAGACTGAACAAGGGAGCCTGCTAGCCAGGGCAGGAGAAAGGCTAGAATGGCTTTGCATGATCTTTCTTAAAATAAATAAATAGGTTTTTGAACCTGTGGGAGAATAGATGACTTGAGGAGGAATCATCTCAGCTTATTTTAAGCACCAGCTAGACTTGCACTGTCCAATATGGTAGCCACCAACCACATGTGGCTACTGAACATTGGAAATTGTGGCTAGTGTGACAAAGAACTGAATTTTTAATTTCATTTTTACTAATTCAAATTTAAATTAAAAATAGAGGCCAGGCACGGTGGTTCACGCCTGTAATCCCAGCACTTTGGGAGGCTGAGGTGGGCAGATCACTTGAGGTCAGGAGTTCGAGACCATCCTGGCCAACATGGTAAAACCCCGTGTCTGCTAAGAATACAAAAATTAGCTGGGCGTGGTGGTGGGGACCTGTAATCCCAGCTACTTGGGACTTGGGCCTAGGAGGCGGAAGTTGTAGTGCGCCAAAATCGCGCCACTGTACTCCAGCCTGGGCAACAGAGCAAGATTCCATCTCAAAAAATAAAATAAAATAAATAGAAGAAGGGTAAAGTACTTTTTCCATTAAACACAACTTTATTGATTTGGTAAGACTATATTTTACTTTAACAATTGACAATTTAGCATCTGAATTGAGATGTGCCAAAGTGAAAAATATACACACAATTTCAAAGACTCAGTGTAAAAAAAAAAAAAAAAAAACCACCAAAAACCCAGAATGTGAAATATCTCATTAATACTTTTAAAATATTCATTACAGGCTGAAAGGATAATATTTCAGATATATTGAGTTAAAATATTTTATTAAAATTAATTTCACTTTTATCATTTTAATGTGACTAACTAGAAAAATTTGTAATTCCATATGTGGCTGAAACTACATTTCTAAATCACACATGTGGCCAGAATTATATTTATGAATTACATATGTGGCTCACATTTTCATTCTAATACATGCGGCTCACATATTGCTATTGGACAGCACTGGGCTAGAGGTAGGATGGTTGGGGCAATCTCAGGTATTCTGCCAGTGGTCCATGCTCTGACCTGAGACTAGGGATGGGCTGCTACCTCTCTGCAATTCTGCCCCCAAGGGACTCACCTCCAGCAGCTGCCTGGGTGGCATGTTCTGCTTGGTCTTCAGGGAATCAACGAGCTTCTTGAGATCGTTCAACTGTGGCTCAGTGGAGGCAACATAGTGTTTCCCCGCTTCCGTTCCCTCATGACCCAGCCAGTAAATCCGTGATAGCAGGAAATTCTTCTCCTCCTCTAGGACTTGATGCAGGAGTTCAAATTCTGTGAGGATCCTTTGCTTCTCATGTTCTACCTGGTCCTAAGAAACAGGGACAGGCAGAGGGTGAGAGGATGGCCTCGAAGGTCCTTCTAGCCCACTTTATTCAGCCATTAATTTTATTAAGTTTGTGTGGAATTCCCAACCAGAGCAATGTGCCAGGGCAGACCTGGAAGAAAGGAAAGGAGAGGAGAACAAACTTCTAAAAGCACCTACTACGTGCTCAGCTTTAAGCGAAATTATTAATTTATGGTTTACCACTTGCCTTCAAGGAACTGTCTAATACAATTCCAGAAGGCTTTTCAGTTTATAATCTTTCATATAGATTTTATTCCTTTCACGCACACAGGAAAATAGGTAAGTGGGGTCACAATGTCTTCATTTTCCTTCTGTCTTTTTTTTTTTTTTTTTTGAGACAGTCTCTCACTCTGTCACTCAGGCTGGAGTGCAGTGCACGATCACGGCTCACTGCAGCCTCATCCTCCCAGGCTCAAACAATACTTTCACCTCCCAGCCTCTCTAGTAGCTGGGACTACAGGCGTGTGCTACCACGCCCGGCTAGTTTTCTTTCTTTTTTTTTTTAATTAAGAGGAGAGTCTCGCTATGTTGCCCAGGCTGGTCTCAAACTCCTGGGCTCAAGCGATCCTCAGCCTCCCAGAGTGCTGTGATTACTGGCGTGAGCCACCGCGCCCGGCCAATGTCTTCATTTTCTAATTGGGGAATCCGTTGAGGGCGCAGCTCGGCCTTAAAAACCTGTACTTGCGATTCTAAGACCAGCGCGGGTTTTCCGTGCCCCACCTTGTCTGCCGGTGGAGACTGAGCAGTCAGCCCGCTGTAATAGCGAGGCCGACGCGGGAGGTGATGCCGCCTGGCCGGTCAGGTGCTGAGGCGCCGAGGAGAGGACATGGCTCACTGGATCTTTTTCTGAGGGGTCAGTGTAATAGGGGATTCCAGGAGCTTTGGCAGAGATGTTTCTGCTTCCAGAGATCGTGGGATGGAGTTTTTCTTACCGTGAAGACATCGACCCTGTGTACACCTTGTGCCTTCACTTGTACTGTCTCCTTCTCCTTTTGCTGCAAGACTTGGATCTGCTCTTGAATCTGCCCCTGCGGAAAGAGGGCCGTTTGGACAGGCTGTGCCTGGAGATTTCTGGCCTCATAAAATCCTCCTGGTCTCTTAGGAGAGCTGGTGACACTCTCCAGGTGAGTCCTTGTGTAATTATTAAGGACTCGCCTTTCTCAAGCTGGCGGGGAAAGGGGTTGCTGAGAAGGGAGAAATCTGGAGCCTAAGTGACCTAAATGACCAGAACATAGTTATTTATGACTAACTAGGACTATGGATGGTGCTTTGGAATTATCAAAGAACTACAAACTTCCCTTCATCTGTCCTACCAACAACTTTAAGAGAGTTGTTTTGTTTTTGCCATTTGAAAGGTGAGGTACCTGAGGCTCAGAGAGGTAAAGTGATTCCTTGCAGGTTGTACAGTAAACTCACAAGACTGGGCTTGAGCCCAAACCTTCTGAGTCAAATTTTCACATCCTTTCCATTCTCCATTGCACCTTGATTTAGAGAGTCAGCAGTTCCCCAGACTCAGCTCTTTGAACCCACTGTGCCTGACTGCGAGCTGCCCACTCAAGCCCAAGGGGTGGGGGCAATGGGGTGCAAACCCTCAGTGGGAAGGTAGCAGTTTCCAGGGCCTCACTGAACTCCTGGGCTGATGGGGGAACAGGGAAGAAACCTCAAATGCCTACCTGATAATTCTGGGCAGCTTCTTCGATCAAGCTGACATTATGGGATTTGTGGTCCTTGGATTCACGACACACAAAACAGAGGAACTTCCCATCATCCTCGCAGAAATAGTGGAACATCTCCTGGTGCCTCGGGCATGTAGCCTCTTTCCTTTTGGACTGCACCTCAGAGGCTTGTAGAGCTTGGATTTTCTCCACCAGATTCCGCAACAGCGAGTTGAACCTGATTGCGTTCTTCCTTACGGAAGTTTTGCAGAGGGGACATTTGAAAAATCCACATGATGTTTCCCCAATCTGAGTGATGCATTTGAGGCAGAAATTGTGCCCACAGTCGATGGTGACAGGTTTCTGCAGAATGTCCAGGCAGATGGGGCAGATCACTTCCTCTTGCAGTTTGTTCACAAACTGCCCACTGGCCATGACAGAACAACAGGGCTGTTTCAAGACTGTAGGAAGCTGTGCCAAGTCTGTAGGAGCCCCGGAGTCCACTGTGGATACTGTTTCTAGGAAGGGAGAAGGGAGTCAGAGAAAGTGGAGGTCAGAGATTCTGCCAATTAGTTAGAAGAGCAGAGAGAGAGGAAAAGAAGAGGGAGAAAAAAATAAAGAAATGATAGAAAAGCGTAAAATTTAGGATCTAGAAAATATTATAAAGAGAGGAAAACAGATGGGCAGTCCTACCTTGCTACCTCTTGAGAACAAATGGATACTTTGAATGTGTAATAGGCTGCTTATAAAGTGAAATAAGTTGTCCTGAACTTTGGACTAAAGGTATGTTTGTATGGTGGTTGACTAAGATCAGAATGACCGGGGCACCAAACACCACTTATGGGGGATTTCCCAATCAGCTCTGAGTAGGGAGTGGAGGGGTGGGTGGTGATGCCTACTGAAAGGTCACAGCCAGTTCACTGCAATGCTTTGGGCATCTTGTATGCAAAGTTCAAGCCTTGGTAGAGCATCTGGAAAGTAGGGGAAGGGCAATTCTCTACCTCAGGTGCTTTGGCTCCTCACAGAATTTTGTGAAAATGTGGAGGTTATCATCACCTACCTTGGGGAATTTCCAGTCACAGGGTCAACCAACCACTCCCTAGCTCAGTAGGATAGGCAAGGAACTTCCTTTCTAAAGAGTTGTTCTTTGTTTTTGCACTTTGCTCTTGCCCCTGGTGATCTTCTGTCTCCCCACAACACCTGTAGTAGTCTGTCCTCTGTTGATTTTTTCTCTGTATGTCTCCAGTATGCTGGTGTCTCCGTGCCCATTCTTTGCTTTGCCAATTCTGTCTATATGTTCTTCTTCTTCCTTCTTGGTGCTTCTCTGATCCCTGACTTGCCTTCTATGGCTTTTGTTATGACTAGGAATATATCAACCAGTGTTACATACATTCCCTTCTGTACATTCATGTCCTAACCTTCCCTCCTTGCCTCTTGTCTTAAGGAAAAGGGTGCTTCCTCCCTACCCCTTCTCTTGGTATAGCTTCCACCCTCACCTCCTCACTCTCCATTATCAGCCGTCTGTCCCCAGCAAGAAGTACACCATTAATTTTTGTCTGATCTTAATCTTAGGTCAAACAGGGCTTGTGGATGACTATTATAATAATAGCCAGAGTGATCATACACTCTGCTTTGCCTGGAACCATCCTGGGTTTCACTTTGTCCTGGTGTAATTATTAATAGCACCTCCTTTCACTTTCAGAAATGTCCAGTTTGGACTATAAATTATGTGGCTCCCCTTATAGCAACTGCTGTAAACCAAAGACTTTCAGAAATGTTATACCTCCAGACCTTTCTTTTTGTTTGTTTTAGGGTTAAATTAAAACAGTCTAACATCTGTAAATTGTTTTACTTACACTCCTAAACTGCTGGCCCCTAGAAGCAGAATTTAACTTTTGACAGGTTTTGTTTGACTGGCATGATGATTTAGAAAATAATGATAATGTAGATGCCTTTAGAGAGGGTGGCTATGTTCCCCACCGCTCTGCTACCTCACGTCTCCTTGGCCCTTGAAGGCATTTGACATTATGACTCTGATTTATAGATTTATTTTGCTTATATTACCTCATTTAAGTCTCACCTGTAAGAAATTATCTTTATCCTTTCTCAAAAAAGGAACTCAGTATTCTTCAGAATCACTTGGAAAACTTGTTAAAATTCAGATTTGCTGAACTCCAGTAGAGACTTTCTCTTTCAACAGGTCCTTGGTGGAGCCTGATGATTGACATCTTAAGCAAATTCTCTGGAGAAGTCGATGCTCCTGATGGAGGCTCACACATTGATAACCCCTGGTTTAGAGACACTACTAATTGTTCCAGCTCATCCAGCTAATAAATGACAGATCTCAGACTTAATTCCAGGTTTCCTATTCCACATTAAGTCTTCTTTATTCTTTCTTGTTTCAGCATTAATGAAAACAAATAGTAATCTTTAAAAATGATAAACAAATATTTTAAAAGAACATTGGTATTTCAATGAAGCTGGGCAACCCAGCAGAGAGAATGAAAATACTCATATGAACACCACTGGAGAGTTTCAAAGAACTGTCACCAAACAGGTACTGATGGCTTCATGAGGAAGGAAATTTAGACATAAAAAATGAGAATCTACAGTGTTTCAAAGGTGCTTTACTCTCTCAGAATTATTATTGTTATCCTGGGTCATCCATCCACTGGACTGAATGGAGATATATATATACATATATTTTTTTTCTTTCTTCTTTCTTTTTTTTTTTTTTGAGACAGAGTTTCACTATTATTGCCCAGACTGGAGTGCAATGGCGTGATCTCGGTTCACTACAACCTCTGAATCCCCGGTTCAAGTGATTCTCCTGCCTCAGCCTCCCAAGTAGCTGGGATTACAGGCACCTGCCACCACATCCAGCTAATTTTTTGTATTTTTAATAGAGACGGGGTTTCACCACGTTGGCCAGGCTGGTCTTGAACTCCTGACCTCAGATGACCCACCTGCCTCAGCCTCCCAAAGTGCTGGGATTACAGGCGTGAGCCACTGTGCCCAGCCCTTGAATGGATATCTTAAACTCTTAGTAGGCTCAGTAGTCTGAAACCAAATGCCTCCAATTTGCAAGGGCTAGGGTCTTGAGATAGTTGGTATTGTGTTAGTTCCAAAGGACTTCCAAGCCAATTCTGAGGCATAGAGTTTATAAAAATTAGCCATAGAACAGGAAATGATGCAGAGCCTCATGCACATGAGACAGCTGTCACACACAAGAAAGCAGACACAGAGCCATGCAGCAGCGAGTGCACAGATCTGGAGGGGACCTGCCAAGACTAATGGGATGAGACACCTTATCAGAGGCCAGTGAAGGCTAGAGGCAGCTCAGTTGTCAGACTAGACAGCCCCACAATGTTACATAAGCCTCCCTGCATCACGATTCCAGCTACAGAAGCTTCCCCTGCCTCAGGATTCACATTTCCGGGCCTATGTGAATTGGTAGAATGTCTATGGAGGAAAATAATGTGATATGTTTCAAAACTACAAATGCTCATTCCCTTTATCCCAGAAATTCCACCTCTGGGAATTTAGTCTACAGATATACTCACACATATAAATTTATTTTGGACTTTGTGGTAATGTTTGCATTAGCAAAATATTAGAAAACAATCTAAATGTACATCAGTATGGAAATGTTTAAATAAATTATAGCCCAGCTTTATAACAGAATAGAAATAAAAAAGAATCAGGGAGTTCCTTATTTACATATGGAAAATATGGCCAAGATATGTTGTTATGTGAAGAAAGGAAAAAACAAATAATGCAGAAAAATGCATGTACTATGCTACCATTTGGGTAGAAAAAAAATACTTATTTTCTTGAATATCCAAATAAGTTCTTTCTGGAAGGATAAGAATTTAATAACTAACAATGGTTGTCTCTAAGGAGAGGGACTGACTAGCCAGGGAACAGGGGTGGAAGAGAGGCTTTTCTTTGTATGACATATTACATTTTGTGAATTTTTAATTGTATAAATACATTAAGTTTTTTTCTTTTTTAGTACTTTTTACATTATGTTTTACAACATTAAATAGTAAATCAAAAAATGGACAGAGAATGAAATGGACATTTGCAGAGCAATAAAACCAATTAACCAATAAATACTTGAAAACAGTAATCTTGAAAATGCACGCTCAACTCATTGGCTCATGCCTGTAATTCCAGCACTTTGTGAGGCCAAGGCAGGCAGATTTCTTGAGCATAGGAGTTCAAGAGCAGCCTGGACAACATGGTGAAACCCTGTCTCTACAAAAAATACAAAAGTTAGCTGGGCATGGTGGCACACACCTATAGTCCCAGCTTCTTGGAAGGCTGATGCAGGAGGATTGCATGAACCTGCGAGATCGAGGCTGCAGTGAGCCGTGATCATGCCACTGCACTTTAGCCGCCCTACTGCACTCCAGCTTGGGTAACAGAGCAAGACGTTTCCTTAAAAAAAAAAAAAAAAGAAAGAAAGAAAGAAAAAGAAAAAAGAAAATGCCAATTAAAATAAAAGAAGATATCAGTTTATATCTTAAGTTTAAGTCTGGAATATCAAATATAGCCAAGGACATGGAGAAATAGGTACTCCTATACCCTACTGGTGAGAGTATAAATTACAATAATTTAAAAATATTTAGTAGAATTTAAACGGTGTACTTTCATTTCAAGGTTCTGTAATGATAATGATGATGATGAAAATACTGCTACCAGTAAATAAAAGCTAACATTTCTTGAATGCTTACCATGTGCCAGGCACAGTCCCAAGCATTTTGCGTATTAACTCATTTATATAGAGAAGTATTATTATTCCCATTTTGAGGACAAGTCAACGGAGATCAAGAGAGATTAAGCAATTTGCCCCAAAGGTCATTCAGTAAGTAAATAGTGGAATGGGGACTTGAACCCAGGTAGCCTCTAGAGCCTTCTTACACCCTGTATGATTCTGCCTCTCTAGAGAAAACCTTGCACATGTGCACTCAGAGATGCATGTAACAGTATTAATATTGGCTGGGTGCGGTGGCTCCCGCCTGTAATCCCAGCACTTTGGGAGGCTGAGGCGGGCGGATCACGAGGTCAGGAGATCAAGACCATCCTGGCTAACCCGGTGAAACCCTGTCTCCACTAAAAATACAAAAAATTAGCCAGGCATGGTGGCCGGCGCCTGTAGTCCCAGCTACTCGGGAGGCTGAGGCAGGAGAATGGCGGGAACCTGGGAGGCGGAGCTTCCAGTGAGCCGAGATCGCGCCACTGCCCTCCAGCCTGGGCGACAGGGTGAGGCTCCGTCTCAAAAAAATAAATAAATAAATAAATAAATCCTATGTCAGGGTTTTTCAATGATAGCACTGTTGACATTTTAGGCTGGATAATTCTTTGGTGTGTGGTGGCCCTGTGCACTGTAGGATGTTTACCAGCATCCCTGGCCTCTACCACTAGATTCCAGTAGCACTCCTATCCCCCAGTTGTGACAAACAAAAATGTCTCCAAGCATGACCAAATGTCCCTGGGGGACAAAACCTCTGATGGAAAACCAGTGATCTGTATGTAGTCATATGGCTAGGTCTCAAAACAGTAATGAGTATGTGGTGATTTATATACACTTAGAAACACACAACACTTCATATAGTTTGCAGTTTCCATATATGTGATAGAAGTTTAAACACAAGGCCTGAAAGGATACATACTAAATTTATGGCAGTGTTTGCTTCCGGGAGGAGAGAGAGAAAGAGCGAGAGAGGAATGGAACTAAGAAGAGAACTAAATGGACAGAGGGATTCTCAAATTTTTTTGAGATTAAAATTTAAAAAATTAAATCTGTAATATTTAATTTTTAAAAATCTGAGGCAAACATAGCAAAATGTTTGTATTTGTTAATTCTAGGTTGTGGTTATAAGGTGCTTGTTATATGATTTTCTATTATTTTCTATATTAAGTTTTTCCAAAGTAAAATATTTTAGTTAAAATAGGAAAAATGTTGAAAATGAACAATGGATAGAAATAAAAATAGAAATTCAGAGGAATTCTAAAATAAATTCTAAAATTAAGAAAAAGTTCAACTCCTTTCCTACTACTCAGGAAAATACAAATAATGCGATACAAATACAAAAATGAGATAAACTTTGTACTCATCAGATTGGCAAAATTTTTCAAAAATGTCCAGAGCTGATGAGGATGTGGAAAAATGGGACTCTTCATATGCGGCTGGTTTCAGTGTGAATGGGCACTATCTTTTTCAAAAGCCTCAAGGCAAATGACTTAAAATGCATTTGAACGGTGACTAGAAAGAATATTATAAGAAAAGTAAAATGCACACAGGATTTCAAAAGGGTTTTTAGGCTTCAAGATAAGTCAGGGACGGTGGGGTCGAAATGAAGTCAAGGGACAGCTTACACAGAGATACCCTATAACCAGTCTCCCAACAAGAGAGCTAGATTTTATTTAGTTAAAAATAGAAATTAGAAACAGGAGGTAGTAAAAACAGGGTTTTCTTCCTTTCTTTCTTTTTTTCTTTCTTTCTTTCTTTCTCTCTTTCTTTCCTCCTTCCTTCCTTCCTTCCTTCCTTCCTTTCTTTCTTCCTTCCTTTCTTTCTTTCTTTCTTTCTTTCTTTTTCTTTTTCTTTTTCTTTTCTTTTCTTTTCGAGACAGAGTTTTGCTTTGGTTGCCCAGGCTGGGGTGCAATGGTGCAATCTCAGCTCACTGCAACCTCCGCCTCCCAGGTTCAAGCGATTCTCCTGCCTCAGCCTCCCAAGTAGCTGGGATTACAGGGCTGTGCCACCATGCCTGGCTGATTTTTGTATTTTTAGTAGAGACAGGGTTTCACCATGTTGATCAGGCTGGTGTTGAACTCCTGACCTCCAGTGATCAGCCCGCCTTGGCCTCCCAAAGTGCTGGGATTACAGGCATGAGTCACAGCACTTAGCCATAAAAAAGTTCTGTTTAAAATACCAGAATGATTAAAATGTTTGCTTTCTGTTTGCATGTATATCATCCCATTAAAAATGAGTTTAAAGTTTTCTATAGAGATATATACATGCAAACAGAAAGAAAAAAAAATAGGAGGGCCATCAAAATAAATGGAGCAACAAAGTTCAGTTTATATATAGCAGTCAATATAACATTGGGCTGAATTGCTCAACCAAAGGATCAGTCATGAGATTAAAAACCCCAACAAAATGTAAAGCTCCCTTTCTTCCTTAGAGAAACCCATTAAAACATAGAAGCATAAATCCAGAGATAGTTTAAGGGCTGCTGTGCCTGTGCAGATGGGAGAACCTCATGGTGGTCTCACTCCTCTCCCTCTGCCAGGAGAAACTGCAGTCTCCTAACACCGCGACTCCAACTTAGGAGCAAGGGCAGGGGGAAGAAGCTGAAAAGGCCTGGCCTTCACTTGACTCAGTTATCCAGATTATTTAAATTATTGGATTGGCCGGTGGAATGGTTAATTTTATATGTCAACTTGGCTAGGCCGCGCTACCCAGTTATTTGCTATGGTTATGCTGCTTCTACAATAAATGACATCAGAGAAAAGTGGTTGAGAGAAAAGTGGCAAGAAGAAATAAAAATATGCTTGGGTTTGAGGATCTAAATGCCCCCATCAGAACACATCAGACTATGTAATATTCTTGTACCACAGAAGTACCGTGTCCAGAGCCTAACACAGAGCTCTTGGTAACTCACTCTGGGAAGCGCATTTTAATAAAGGTAACCGCAAACTGGACTGCCTTGAGAGGAGGTCACTTGGATGGCAAGCAGTTTTGAAATCTCATTTCAGGAGGCATGAGGAGGATCTGGTTGGCCCTGAGAGACTCAGGAGTACAGAGTGCTGCCTTCCAGATGCGGGGAGGTTTGTGGTGGATGTCTGTCTCTCCCATGGTCTCAACACTTCTATGCAGATTTCCGCGGGCTGAATTGTGTCCCTCTCACCCACTGCTCCAAACTTGTATGATGAAGCCCTAACTCCAAGAACCTCAAAATGTGACTATATTTGGAAATAGGGCCTTTGAAAGTTGATTAAATTGTCGACAAAGAGTCAAACTCTATAAAATATTCAAAGAGATGTATTTTGAGCCAAATATGGGTGGCCATGGCCCATGACACAGCCCTCAGGAGATCCTGAGAACATGTGCCTGAGGTGGTTAGGGCACAGCCTGGTTTCATACATACATTTTTGGGAGACATGATACTTCAATCAAGTACATTTAAGATGTACATGGGTTAGGTTCAGAAAGGCAGGATGACTCAAAGTAGGGAGCTTCCAGGTTATAAGTAGATTTAAACATTTTCTGGTTGACAGTTGGTTGAGTTTATCTGAAGACCTGGGATCAATGGAAAGGAAATCTCTGGGTTGAGATAAAGAACTGTGGAGAGAAAAGAGAAAAGTTCCTTTTTTTTTTTTTTTTTTTTTGAGACAAGGTCTCACTCTGTCACCCAGACTGCAGTGCAATGGCATGATCTCGACTCACTGCAACCTCCGCCTCCCAGGTTCCAGCCATTCTCCTGCCTCAGCCTCCCAAGTAGCTGGCATTAAGGCATGCACCACCTCGCCTGGCTAATTTTTTGTATTTTTAGTAGAGATGGGATTTCTCCATGTTGGTCAGGCTGGTCTCGAACTCCCGACCTCAGGTGATCTGTCTGCCTCGGCCTCCCAAAGTGCTGGGATTACAGGCGTGAGCCACCGCACCCGGCACAAAGTTCTTAATGTGCAGAGGAAGCCTTCAGGTAGCAGGCTTCAGAGAGAATAGATTATAAATGTTTTTTATTAGACTCAAAAAGGGTGCCAGACTCTTGATTATCTCCTGGACCTGAAAAAAAGGGAAAAGGGGATTCTCTATAGAATGTAGATTTTTCCCCCACAAGAGACAACTTTGCAGGGCAATTTCAAGATATGGCAAGGAAATACATTTGGGGTTAAAATATTTTGATTTCTTTCCTTATTTGTTATGTAATGTTATGCCAGAGCCAGTTTGGAAAGTAGGCCACATTAGGGTTAAATAAAACCCCTCTGATGAGACTTTACGGTTTGTAGGGCATGACTCCCCAGGCCCCTTAGGTAGAAATTTGGGCAAGAGAAGGAAAAAGGTCAGAGTTTAGTCCTCAGAGGTAAAATAAGCCCATCAGAGCAGACCTTTGTCTAATCTGACTGGCGTCTTCATAAGAAGACGAGATTTGGACACACAGAAGGGCACCAGGGATGCTCCACATGAGGAAAGACCTTGTGAGGACTCACTGAGTAGACGGCCATCTGTAAGCCAAGGAGAGCGGCCTCACAGGCAACAACCTTGATCTTGGACTGTCAGCCTCCAGAACTTTGAGAAAATAAATTGCTGTTGCTAGAGCCACCCAGCCTGTGGTACTTTGTTACGGAGGTCCTGGCAAAAGAATACACAGATGAACTCCCATATCACCGCAGAGCCCACCTTCCATCCCCACAACCCCAGTTCTGAGTTTCCAGCTCTTCGCAAGGGATCTCCCAACCCTTACACCTCCTACTGGATGGAGCAGTGCTCATCTCCTCTTCTCTCTATTGCAAACTTCAGTGCAGGCACTCCACAATCCTGCAGCTGCAATGTGAGCCAGTTTAGCCCCTCTGGACTGTGTGTGGGCAATATACACCAAAATTATTTTAAAATGCACCTAAGACCGTTTGGCCCAGTAGTTTCATGTCTAAAAGTTTTCCCTAAGTGAAGCCATCCTCACAGGGTTAACAATAATTCTGGACAGAAATATAATTATAATTAAGCCTTAATCAGACTGCACTTTGACTCACTTCCTTGAAACCAAAAGTCATGTAACACTAGACACTGACCAGTCATATCCCCATTGTTGCTCTAGGTAGGATTTCTGACATAAGAATCAGCCAAGGCAGGAGGATTGCTTGAAGCCAGGAGTTCGAGACCAGCCTGGGCAACAAAGCAAGATCCCATCTCTACAAAAAAAATTATTAATTAAAAAAATTTTTTTAAAGAATTGCTTAAGCAGATCCTGAATTTTAGTAGAACAGCTGATGACAACTAGTTTAAGACCTCCACAAAGGAACTGTTTTCTCAACTTGATAATACAGCTTCTTCATCTCCTTGTCCCATGACTTCACCCTGCACTCTTCAGCCAGTCACTTTGGCCAACTCCAAAATCTTTAAAATCTCTAGCTCCAAATTATTTGGGGAGATGGATTTGAAGTTCCCTTCCATGTCCTCATTTGGCGGCCCTACGATTAAACCTCTTTCTCTGCTGCAACCAGGTTTCAGCTTACTGACTTTCTGTGCCTGTTGGGCAACAAATCTGTTATGGTTACATAAGGAAGTAATCAAAAGCATATATAGTCAGAGAAAAGAAACCAGAAGGATAACTTATTTGTTCATTACAATGGATACTTATTACTATGTGACAGGCATAATTCTAGGCACTTTTATTACAGTGAATAAAGTATACAGAAGCCCCACCCACTGAGAGCCAGGCAGTAAATCAGCTAACCAAATGAATCATACATTAGGAGGAAATTTTTTTTTTCACATTAAGGTTCTAAGGAGGAAATAAATATTATGGAGGAAAAAATAAAGCAGAAAGGGAGTATGAAGAGCAGTCGATATGGTTCCAGTTTTCAATAGAGCTGTCAAAATAGGCTTGAGAAGGTGAAAACTGGCATCAACTTGCAGGCAGTTAACAGTAAGGTGCCAATAGTTGTTATTGCTGGTTGGTGAAATTATGGGTAATTATATTCTTTTATACTTTTCTGTGCTTTCCAAATGCAGCACAATTAACATATTTGCTTTTACAATTAAAAAAATCCCACAATAAATGTTACTTAAAAAAAAAAACTGACACCTTCAGTTGTTCCCCATTTTCTACAGAATAAAGTCCAACTCGTCCTCCATTGGCCTCTTCCCTTTCATCTAAACTTATCTTTCATTCCTTAACTGTCTTTTCCAGTTGGCCTGATACCCTGTGACCCAGATTTGCCAAACAGGGTTGTCAGATTTAGCAAATAAAAGTACAGGACACCCAGTTAAATATGAACGTCAGATAAACAATGAATAATGCAATATTTGAGACATACTAAAAAACTACTTGTTGTACATCTGAAATTCAAGTTTAACTGAGCATCGTATGTTTTTCCTGACAATGTGACAAGTGATCTTCCTTCCCCTGTGCTGGAATAATCTCTTTTCCATCTTTCCAAATTTTTCCAGCTAATCAGAGGGTGGGGAGGAGGGATGGATGTGGGTGGGAATGAGAGATAAGCCTGCCTATCAACTCCTGTATTTAATATAGGATATTCCTGGGGGCCAGGTGTGGTGGCTTATGCCTGTAATCCCAGCACTTTGGGAGGCCAAGGCGGGTGGATCACCTGAGGTCAGGGGGTTCAAGACCAGCCTGGCCAACATGGTGAAACCTTGTCTCTACTAAAATACAAAAATTAGCTGGATGTGGTGGCGCATGCCTGTAGTCCCAGTTACTCGGGAAGCTGAGGCAGGAGAATCACTTGAACCTGGGAGGCAGAGGTTGCAGTGAGCCGAGATTGCACCACTGCACTCCAGCCTGGTGACAGAGTGAGACTCCTCACCAAAAAAAAAAAAAAAGAAAAAAAAAGATATTCCTGGGGAGTAGATGGGTGGTGGAGGGCGGGGGAACAAGGGTGGGGTATTGTTAAAACATCGTAAAAGGGCTCCTTTTTTGATCTTGAATTATGACTTTCCTATAGATAAAAATTGCACCTTTAATCAGAGAACAATGGCCCAGGTGTCAGGTATAGGTGAAAGTCCAAAGTTCTCTTCAGAAAAGAAACTCTATTTTAGTTATACAGAACATTTATTCAAATCTTCCACTATTTAATTTATGTAAAATATCCTAGTCAATGTTTTTAACCCGAGTGTTTTTAAACATTGCTTTTTAAAAAATAAAAAACTTTTAAAATATTGAACCATTTACGGGGGCTTTAAAAACAGACAGCTTTTGTTCCAAATGAGGATGCCTCTCCTTCCGTTTGTCTGACCTACCCTTTGCCCCCATGGTCCCCTACTCCATTTATTAGCTCCACAGAGACCTGACAGAACCTTAAAGTTGATCCCTGAGTCAGACTGGGCCTGTCTCAAGGTCAGCTCACATCTGAAATCAAGCCTCTGCTGAGTCTGTGGAGTAAAAGGCTGATACTCCCTTCTCTCCTGCAAGACAGCTGTGTGCTCTGGCCCAGAGTGGGCACAGAACTGCTGGGCCCAGGCTGTCAGAAACTTCTGGGCTGGCATCCAGCTGCTCCAATGCACAAAGCCAGCTAACGCAGGCCAACCATGCCAGTGAGTCCACATTACAGAAGGACGGGAAGCAGTGGGATGCGGTACCCAGGGGTAGCAGTCTAATCCCTCCCAAAGCCAAATTCTAGAAAAATTTTCCAAATTTAAAAAATGGAAAAGGGAAAAATGGAAAATGGAAAAAATTTTAAATTTAATTTTCCAAATTTAAAAAATGGTAAAAGCTCTTACCCATGGCCATAGTTTTTCATCTTGACATCCTCAGCACTTACCATGGTACCTGGCACAAAACAGCTAATTTTTCAGTTGCCATACTGAACAGCCATTGTATACAGGCTCTCTATATTCCAATGACAACAATCTTTAGGCAACATTGTTAAGTGACAGAACAGTGTTTAGTATGCAAAACTTTGCTTAATAAAGGGGAGAAATACCAATATATATAGTTGTATTTAACTTCTATTTACATAAAGAAACATTGAAAGGATACGCAGAAAACTAATAAAAGTGTGTACCGGTGGGCCAGGGACGGGGGTAGTGGTAGGTGGAATGAATGAAGAAGGGCAAGGTGGTCACAGTCCTACTTAATCTATACCTTTTAATATATTATTTTTTGAGCCAAGTGTATGTATAACCCTTTAAGTTACATAGTTAAAATCATCTATTTTTGGTTATATAATTTTGTAGTAGCAAAAAACTCAACTGAAAAATAGGAAGCTATTCTCTCCATTTCTCTCTGTGGTCACATAGCCGCTCACGTTTAATTCTTTCTAAGCTCACAGATTGACCAACACAGCCACCATACTTGAGTTTCCATGACTTTATAATTCTAGTGCCCATCACTGTCTCAATCTAGATTTCCTTTTCCCCAAAAAAAATCTGCTACGTCACTTGCTATAATTTCTAGCTCTCTGCCAAATGTTTCACACATAGCTTTTATCCTTTTGAAGATAGCATATACATTGTTATATAGTCTATGCCCAATAACCCCAGAGTCTGGAAGCCCCATGGGTCTGATTCTGTTGTCTGTTTTTATTTTTGTTTTTTTTTCTTTTCTTTTCTTTTTGAGACAAGGTCTGGCTCTACGGCCCAGGCTGGAGTACAGTGGCATGATCTCAGCTCTTTGCAACCTCTGCTTCCCAAGCGCAAGCCGTCCATCCACTTCAGCCACCCTAGTAGCTGGGACTACAGGTG
Source organism: Homo sapiens (assembly GCF_000001405.40). NCBI lineage: Eukaryota > Metazoa > Chordata > Mammalia > Primates > Hominidae > Homo > Homo sapiens. The sequence goes on from NT_167245.2 coordinate 1,381,710, forward strand.
TGCACCACCACACCCAACTGACTTTTGCATTTTTTGTAGAAACGGAGTTTCACCATGTTGTGCAGGCTGGTCTTGAACTCTTGAGCTCAAGTAATTCCCCAGCCTCAGCCTCCCAAAGTGCTGGTATGGCAAGCATGAGCCACTGCACCTGGCCTGTTTCTGCTTTTCTTATGGCAATCTCGCCTCTCTGGGGCTTGATTATTTTTGCTTGTTTGCTAGATGCATTTGAGGCCTAGGATGCTATTATCTTCTTCCCAGAATGATTGTTTTTGACACTAGCAGTTTAGAGTCACTTTGAACAAGTTCAATGGTTACTTGAGATTCTCTGGGCTGGGACACCATTTCTACTCCCTTTAAGCCTTTAAAGGCTGCCAAAAATGCAGCTTGGATTCTTAAACTCTCTTCAGCAAATGCTCCCAGAACAGAAGCGACCCCAGTTGCAGGCTCACCTCCATGTTCCTTTCCTTTCCCAAATTTTGGCCCAGCAATTCCTCACTAACCTTTGAATATTTAAGTAAGATACTTAAAAATATTTTACCCAGCATTTTTAGTTGTCTTCAAATGGAGGCTTGGTCTGAATTACTCAGTCCATTAATGGAAGCAGAAGCCCTTCTGATGCAGGCCTTAGTTTTTCAGTAGTTTGCTCTTCTCTGGGCCTTAGCTTTCAGAAAGATTCTCTTGTCTGTAGTAGTAAAGTCTGTATAAAGTCTGCATGGACTTTTCTTGCGTACACACATTGCCACATCACCTCCAGTCAAGGCTGGAAGAGAATCTTGCATTTTACACATCTAATATTTCAGAAGAGCTGGAGTCACAGCAGTCCTCTTCACTGAGCTCAGAAACAAAACCCTGCTTGTGCATATATTCAGGCTGGGACCTCTAAAATGCAGACACCTAAGTGCTCCAGCTTTGAGAATTCTAGCTTCAGTGTGACAACGGCATAAGGAGTTGCCCTACGGTGTAAAGGCCCCTGTGAGGTCTCAGTTTGCAGACCAGGATGTGACAAGGAGATTGGAGCTGCAGTCAGCTCTAGAGGCCGAAAGAGGAGCCAAACAGCAAACAGAGGTGCCAAATGCTGCCTTAGAAATCTGTAAGCCAGCTAAGAGTTCTGCAGTCTCAACTAAACAAAACTTTTTTATTCCATTGGTTTGGGGTGTACTGTTCTTAGGGCTTTTGCCAACTGAATTGGTCTGTGGTGTCTTGAAAGATTGGGGGTCTGCACGGAAAAGGCTCGGAGGCCAGTTCTCTGAGGCTGCCTTTGTTGCAGGAAATAAAATGAATCTTTCCAGAGCCACAGCACTAGCATTTGGAGACCACTCTCAGGGGCTTTGGGGCGTACGACTTTCGGGGCTCTGGTCCTCTGTTTCCCTATCCGTAGAATGGAGACGGCTACTCTGTGAGAAGCCCGAGGTGCGCAGGACCCAAGTGAGGAGCCGGCAACCTGAAGTCCTCAGGATGGGGAGGGATCCGAAGGAGGCGGTGTGAAGACTCAAGAGGACCGCCTTGGGGTGGGAAGAGGACAGCCCGGCACTGGCTGCTGGCCCAGGTGCTGTGATGGGTTTCGTGCGCAGAGAGGCCTGACAGCCTCTGCATCAGTGACCGGGCGAAGAGTGGGGCAGCTCGGACGGTGGTTGGGGAACGTTAGGGAGATTGGCGCGCGGACCACTGGGTGAGCGCCCAGGAACGCCGGACGCGCGCCTTCACGCCCGGGTGCCTGGCGGCGTTTTAGAAAAGCTGTATTTGAAAAGCAACCGATTGGGGTGAAGGCGGGGGAGCGGAATCCTGATTACACTGTCCCAATTTCAGTTGAGGTGGGCTTTTAAAAGAAATCCCAATTCACACATTCGATCAGGTTAGTTACAAGAAAGGCTGGGAGGAGGTGGGGCTGGAAACACCAGAGGGCCCAGATGTCCGTTGGCGACGGTCTTCTGCAAACGACAGAGCGCAAGCCTTGCCCCTGGAATTCTAGAGCCGCCGCAAAGATAGGAACTCAAAACGACCCGAGCCCCGGAGCCGCAGCCCCTCGGGACGGTCACGAGCAGAGCTCCCAAGGGGACCGCTGGGGACTGGGCGGGGGCTCTGCTTCTCACCTGTTCCTTCTCTATCCACTGAGCCCTGACACGTAGGACCAGCGCTACTAACAGACTTGTTTTCCGGTTCAGCTCCCCTTAGGGCTCCTGTTGGAAACCGACCCTATCTGGGGAGCCTGTCTGGGCCACTCCCATTGCCGGAGAACTCTCCTGGGGCGGGGAGATGGCCCAGGTTTGTGGGGCTTGAAAGCTTACACAGTGTTGTGTCTTTTCAAGAAAAAGGATACAGCCGGGCACGGTGGCTCACGCCTGTAATCCCGGTACTTTGGGTGGCCGAGGTGGGTGGATCACGAGGTCAGGAGATCGAGACCATCCTGGCCAACATGGTGAAACCTCGTCTCCACTAAAAATACAAAAAATTAGCTGGGCATAGTGGCATGTGCCTGTAATCCCAGCTACTCGGGCGGCTGAGCCAGGAGAATCTCTTGAACCAGGGAGGCGGAGGTTGCAGTGAGGCAGTGAGCCAAGATCGTTGCCACTACACTCAGGTCTGGCGACAGAGCAACACTCCGTCTCAAAATAAAAAAATTAAAAAAAAAAGGAAAGAAAGAAAAGAAAAAGGATACAGAATTTGACAAAATTAAGAATAAAAGCAAATATGACTTACAATGAGGAAAAACAATGACAGCAAATGATAAATGTTTAAAAACTGACATATCACAAACATCAAAAAATCCCCCCAAAATTCTAATAACTGCTTGAACCACCCCTATATTTTCCCATTTATATTTTTTGATTCCCTCTTCATTCGACAACACTTTTGTAATGTATTTTCCTGGGTGAGAATGAATAATTTGGTATTTCGTCTAGCATAGTTAAGCAAAAAAAGTTTTTATTGAAAGTTTAGAAAAGTTAATATCCATTTCACAATCGTTATTGGTAATAATATGCAAATTTTTAGTGCTATTAATTTTGGAGAAGCCTCTGTGAAGAGTTTCCTATGTAAGCCTGAGATTTCAGGGCATTTCAAGTTTTCTTGGGCAGTGACTAATCTTAAATACTCTTTTAAGTTGCTGAAAGTCATTGGCCTGTTTTTCGTTAAGTCCTTGTTGTAAAGGTGTAGTATGAAACTGTTTGTAGATGTCAATATTTTATGCCAAAACAACAAGTTTTTTAAGTTTTAATGTGTTTATGTGGTTAATTCTTCATCAAGTGATTGTCAAACAATCTAGGCATCTATTCTATTTAAAATGTATCCCTTCCCTTCAATAAATTGCTGGTTTTGGCTGGAACCAAACTTTTTTTCTTCTTCCAATTCCTTTTCTGATGTCAGAATAACTTCTATTAATTTCATGTGCAAATATGCAAGAGATCATTTTATTTCATGATGTATGTATAATTGTATATGCATATTTAATAAGTATATTCCTAAAGAAGAGAGCTTCCATTTTGACTAGACTTTGATGAGACTGAGTAATACGCTTATAATTTTCTACATCTAGGGGTTAAAAGGATTTATTGGCTTCACTGTCCACAGACTTCTGGTGCCTCATGTCACAGCACACATTCTTATTGTGACAGATCTCTGACCTTTCACTTTAGTCTCTGATGTCAGGTGAGTTATCTCAGTGGGTGGTGGTTCCTGTAAGCCACTTCTACACTGAGACGGGTAGCAATAACTTGACTATACATGAAAGTGCTTATGAACCACATATCCTAGTAATCTCAAACAATGTAATCCCAACTTAATTTCCCCTTAGCTAGAACCCCCACATGCTACCTGATACAAGAGAAACTGTGACAGAGGGAAGTTGACGTGGAAGGAGACAGTAATCCTAACCGTGGTTAAAATATGTTACTTTTGCAAATTTTACAAAACACTTAGCATGACCATATTGAACACATTGCTTGGAATTCCAGGGTCTTGGAAAGAACCAGTGCAAGGGATGAACTTAATGGCAGAGCTTCCTCTGCACACTTCACGACTGCAACAGGCTTGTCCCTGAAGTCTCTCCGCTGGGGTCCCACTTCAGGCTGACGTACTGTCTGTGTCACCGAACATCACTCTCTGCATTTGCTTACCCTTTTTGATTCTTCCCTGTGCCTCAGTTTGGAGTTGGAAGCTCATAAATTCCCCTATTATAGGGAAGTGGCTGATTGTGTAACCCTATCCTTTTGTTGAAATAGGTGTGTCCAGTTAAGTATTTACTGTAAACCAGCCCCTCATACGCATTCCACTGGGGGTGGATTCATTGCTTTCTACAACCTCGCCATATGTAATGTCCACACTGGTCCATCTGGCTGTGCTTCTCAAGATCAGCTGTTTTGTAGGACTTGAAATAAGGATTCCTTAACAACCTGGTGAATGCCTAATAGCCTCAATACATTTCAGGCTGTTTTAGTTTTGTTTATTTGGTTTTCGTGTTTTGTGGTGAGAACACTTAAAATCTACTCTCTCAGCAATTTTCAAGAACACAGTGTACCATTACTAACAAATCACCAGAAGGTACAACAGATCTCTTGAAGTATTCCTCCTTGAAGTAACTGAAACTTTGTATCCTTTGACCAACCCATCCCCATGCCCACCACGCCCAGACTTTGGTAACCACCATTGTATTAATACTGTCTGCTTCTACCAGTTAACCTTTTTACACTCTAAGTGAGGTCATGCTGTATTGGAGGTTGTTTCCTCCACGCGACTGGGTGGAATTCAGAGGTTCCTACCAATAACTCATTTCTTTCACCAGCAGCTCCCAAGGGCTCTGCTGAGTCCCCCATGCCTCCTGAATCTGAGATCTTGAACCCCTGCTCCTCCCCAACCCTGTTTTTCTGAGAACTGCCTCATCAAACATAGAGCATAGCAACTTTCCTGAGATTTCTCTAAATTTCCTCTTATTCAGGTCACTGTGCATGACAGATTGACTGCTTGATTCCTGGAAGTCTAGGGATAAAAAGTATTGAGTGCTGGTCTAAAGGACAGGTTTCAGCAGAGGACACAATCTCAGAGCAGACAACTTAAGTTTCAGTATTAGGCATTTCCGTTCTTAAACATTCCTTCACTATTTCTGCCCAAGACATTTCTCACTGGTAAACTTTCCTTGTTGGTTACCTGCCTTCTGCAGCCCTGCAGGCTCTGTCTCTCTCCTGGGCCACCCCTCTTCCTCTTACACAGTTTTATGCTCCCCTTCCCTTCTCTTTCCTTCCATCTTCAGTCTACATATTTCACGGCTAGCTTTCCACAGCCAGATGTTTCTTGCCCTGAGGAATTATGCTATCAGTTTTTAAGCCACCGTTTAAAAGACGGTTGCCAGTGCCCTAGAGTCTTGGCAACAATGCTCCACCTTCCGGAGGTGAAGCGAAATGGTGTCCTGTCTTGAAAGACAGCGCCACCTACTGTCCATCAAGAGACAGCTGCCGAAAACAGCTGAATGACCCTGTTCATTGCCTGTTCTGGGGAGGGTGGCAGATAATCCAGGCAAGAATAATTCGAAGGTACATTGAACTTGAGGTGGTGATGGAACACTTAAGAATGCACAGAAGTTTAAACTCAATAGGGATAGTAATACCAAGCTGGCATCGGGCCTCAGGGAGGTTACAGGATCTGCATAGTGCTAACAACTGTGCATCGGTAGAATGGGAATCTGAATCCGGACACTCCGCCTGTGAAGTCCACGTAGCTCCACCTCGCTGCACTAAGATAGAGTAGATCTCCTTTTATGGATGATCAAATAAGTGAGAGGGAACCCAGGAGCCAGTGGAGAGGAGAATTTTAAGGAGGGGACTGCTGATGATCTAAAGTTTGAGTCATCAGTTTGGATGTGAACTGAGAAAATACCGCTGGGATTTGAGTTTAGGACTTAGTTGGAGACCCTTAGAGAGTGGTTTAGGGTGCCCAGCCCTGGGATAGGCATAGGAGAGTATGGAAAGACAGAAAGACATAGTCCTATCCCTCATGAAGCTAAATGTGAGCCAAAGCCAGGGAAGTTGGCAAAAATCAAATGGTAATAAATGAGACGGTGATTTAGGAAAGAGAGATCCATGTAGAACCTGCAGGCCCCTCTGACACCTTTGTGAAAATTAGGATGGATCAGTTCACTTTCTTGGGGCCATTGCTGCCCTGAGCCAGAGCCCACAGCTTGGCAAGCAACCTCTGGGCTAGGTCTCAGCCCCCATTCATCAGAATGAAGACTGACTTGTTAGGAAAGTTTCATTCAGGAAACTGGGACTTGAGCTGGGCTTCCACTGATGTGAAGGGTTTGGAGCAGCTGTGTGAAAGAGGTAGGAGTTAGGTCTTCCCTGCTGGGAAATGTCAAAACAGAGGCAATTAAGAGTCATAAAGGAGAGAGAGAAGACAAAAATCACCTGACTCTTGGCTCCAGTATTTTTAAAGCATGAGAAATTAGATAAGATCACTCCTTTAAAACAGTTACTGAGCACCTAATATATTCAAGGAGCTATGCCGAATAGGCTGACTCAGGGAAATAAGGACCCTGACAGTTGCGCATTAGTTTGTAGTTTATGAAGCACATCCATTTCCAGCTATGACATTTTGTCCACTTTCTTGTAAAGGAGGCTGAAGTTGTGGCTGCCCCTGAACATGAAGCTACAAATCTCCACAATTAGGACCATAATCCAGATTCTTTGACTAGTCCAGAATTCCTTTCATTCTGACCATCCTCTTCTTAAACATTTTAAAATTTAGGTAATTGTTTAGATAGATGGCACATTTGCTGGCTCAAAATTTTAAAAACACAGGAAAAAGTCTCCCTCTTGCCCCTGGTTTCCACACATCTAGTTTCTCTCTCCAGAAGCAAATTTTACTAGTTCATTGATATATTCTTCCAGAGATGTTCTTTGCATAAAAAGCAAATAAGAATATTTATTCTTCCCCGATTTGTGCAAATAATAGCATATTATACACACTGTTCTGTACCTTGCTTTTAAATTTAATTTATTTTTATTTTTTAAAATCAGTAATCTATGTGTCCAAAGCATAAACCAGGCATGGGCATAGACCAGAAGCCAAGCTGGGATAAACAGGGGGTTGCTTTGTTCCTGTCTGATGTGAGATGGGCACCATTAAGCTTTTTTTTTTTTTTTTTTCGAGACAGAGTCTGGCTCTGTCATCCAGGCTGGAGTACAGTGGCGCAATCTCGGCTCACTGCAAGCTCCACCTCCCGGGTTCACGCCATTCTCCTACTTCAGCCTCCCGAGTAGCTGGGACTACAGGCACCCGCCACCATGCCCGGCTAATGAGACAGGGTTTCACCATGTTAGCCAGGATGGTCTCGATCTCCTGACCTCGTGATCCACCTGTCTCGGCCTCCCAAAGTGTTGGGATTACAGGCGTGAGCCACCATGCCTGGCCAAGCTTTTTTTTTTTTAATGTATCAATTTATGTTGGAGATTATTCCAATAGCAAAAGTTCCCTTCCACACCCCACCCCCTACTAATGGCTGCACAATGTTCTATTGTATGAATGTAGCTAGTTTATTTAGCTTAACTTCCGTTGATGAACATTTGTTTTTTTTCTAAAATTTGAAGCAAATGTTTCTAAAACATTGATGCAATAGGTATATGCATATATTATTTCACATATGCATGAATATATATGTAAAATTTCTAACATCAGAATTGCTGGCTCAAAGAGAATGTACATTTGTAATCTTGGAGGAAATTCTCAAATTCCTACTCCTCTAAAGGAGGAGTACTAATTGGCATTCCCATCAGCAGTGTATGGGAGTGCCAATTTCCTCACACACTTACCAACACTGTGTTACCAAATGTTTGGATTTCTGTCAATCTGATAGGAAAAATAGTATGTCAGTGTTATTTTAATTTGTATTTTCTTCATGAGATTGAGATTATCTTTTAATATGCTTTAGAGACATTTGGTATTTCTTTTTCTATGAAATGTCTGCTGAGATACCTCTGCCCAATTTTCTTCTTGGTAGTTGATAAATTCTTATTTGCAAGAGCTGTATATAAAAGGTAATTAGCCCTTTGATTTTGATGGCAGTTGTAAATATTTTTCTTCTTCCAATGGTATTTCGTCATTTGTCTCTTGACATTGCACTTACGGTTTTTTTTCCCCCATGCAGGTCTTTTTTAATGTGGCTGAATTTATCTTTCTTTCCTTTTATGGTTTCTACATTTGAAACATTCTCAAGCTACTGCTAGTTAAATACAGTGGATTTCTGCCTTCAAGTTGCTCAATAAACCAGTAGGAAAATCAAGAAAAGTACCTAAGTAACTAGTAGAAGTTACTATATAGTCAGTACTATAAGTTGGTACAAAGTGCTGTTTCTTCATCTGTCTATCCATACATCTAATTATCAATCTATCTTTCCATCTGTCCATTAATCCATCCATTTATCAAGCTTTTACTGAATCCTTTCTAAGAGCAAGAAAAGGTATATATAGAGAGATGACATTTTATGGTAATGAAGCCCATGGGCTGGGATAAGAGACACCCAGATCTGAATCCCAGCTCTATGTTTACACCACTGTGGCCTTGGGCAGGTTACTTAATCTGTCCACATTTTTGTTTCTTATACTATTTCATGAGATACGACAGGAATGTAGATTGTGGAGGGGTCAAGGATTGAAGGTTAAAAAACAGACATTGTTGGAAATGCCTTAGGAAGAGAACTATAAGTGAGTACAATGCCTACATTTATAATTTCAGGTGGTGAAATCTGAATCCTGACAAGGTCAAGAGAGTGGCCACTAGGGTGGGTGGCAAAAGCAAAGGTCATTGGATGTGAGCAGGACAAGAACTGAAAGGCCTTGGTGTTAAATGATCATGTACATAGTCTTTGAAATCACCAGGATCATGGTAATTTCACAGCCAGATGAAGGGCAAGTTCTGGGAGGATCCTGAGCACAGGAGCTTCTGTCCCCGGTGGAGTGTGGGATGTGCCACCCTCCCAGCATGTGGATGCACTCACCAACCTGGAATCTCTCCAAACCTCTTTGTTCAGGATCTTACAGAGGTTCCATTATTTAGGTATGATTGATCAAATCACTGGCTGTTGGTGATTAACTCAGTCCCTGGGCTCCTCTCCCCTCCCCAGAGGTCAGAGGTGAGACTGAAAGTTCCAACCAGCCAGGCGTGGTGGTTCACGCCTGTAATCCCAGCATTTTGGGAGGCCAAGGCAGGCAGGTAACCTGAGGTCAGGAGTTCGAGACCAGCCTGGCCAACATGGTGAAACCCCGTCTCTACTAAAAATACAAAATATTAGCTGGGCATGGTGGTGTGCACCTGTAATCCCAGCTACTCGGGAGGCTGAGGCAGGAGATTCGCTGGAACCTGGGAGGCAGAGGTTGCAGTGAGCTGAGATAGTGCCGTTGCACTCCAGCTTGGGCAACAAGAGTGAAACTCTGTCTCAAAAAAAAAAAAAAAAAAAAGAAAGAAAGAAAGAAAGAAAGATCCCACCCTCTAATCACAAGGTTCTTCTGCCAACCAGCCCCCATTCTTCCTCCAAGAGTCACCTCATTAGCATAAACCCTGGTATGGTTGAAAAGGGCTTATTATGAATAATAAAAGATACACTCATCAGAACATAACCATGTGGTAAGTTGAGGTGCATCAGGAATTAAGATGATTCAACTTAAAATTTTTGACTTTATGATGGGTTTACTGGGGTATTGAGTACACTTTCACCTTACAATATTTCTGACTTCAGTGAATTCACTGGGACGTAACCCCATCATAAGTTAAGGATCATCTGTTCAAGGGTTTTAGGAGCTCTGTGCCAAGACTAATTATATATATATCTCACAAGATCACACAACCCACAGCAAACAGTGGCAAAGTGGGATTGAGGGAGGAGGCTCTGAAATGAGGTTTTCAACAAGCGTCTTGGACCCTTAGAAGTTTCAAGTGACAGCCCTTATTAGTGGCACCCCTTAGGGGCTCCCTCAAACTCAATGCCAAGACTAGCCTGACTGGAGGGAACTTAGACAATGGAGTGGGCATTTGATGTTCCAGCATCTTGAGTGGGTGCCATTATTCTGTGACACCTGGATCCTGGGGTTCCATAAGCTGGGGTTCTAGGATGTCCATTCTTAGTTGAGTCTCATTTCCTGTCATATCGACGTCAAAGGCCCAAGACCTTCCTCCTCCCCTTGAGCAAACAAGCCACGCCCTGCACCAAAGTCCATCTCACCTTCCAGCTACCCTAGGTAATTTTCCTGGTAATTCAGTGTTTCTAGGAAAGCATGAGTCTTTCCACCCCCCGCCCTGAGATTTACTGACATATGAACACATATGATTGGCATGATATAAGAACCACTCATCTGCTGGCCATCTCTCCAGGTCTAGAGCCAGAGAAGATGATCTGAAATTGTAGCAGGAGAAATTGAGGTAGGATACTAAGAAAGCTTTTCAGGAGTGGGGCTAGGCAAGAGGTGCAGCATGAGGGAATAAGAGTGAATCCTCAGTATCTAAGGGAGGTGGCAGGTGGCGGGGGACTTCTTTCTTTGGGTCATCTTTGGTGGTGATTTGACAGGAAGGAACAAAGTGGCTTCAAACATTATACAAGTCTCTAGTCTGTTCTGTGTCCTGTTTTCTTTCTCATTCTTTCAGTGTGGAATCTATATGACCCTGGGAGGGATGTTGGTTGGAAGAATGACCAGCTGATGGAGATGCTGCTGTAATTATTGGTGGTAATAATGGGCAGCAGTGAGCCACCCGGTGTGACAGTGTAGGAGAAAACAGTCCAAACTCCTGCCAAACTCTCTCTACTGATGGCAAATCAGAGGAGACTCAAATTGTAAGTTTATAGTGGTCTGGCTTTTGGCCATGACAATGACACCTTGCCCTTTTAATTTGGGGCCCGTGCAAATATTCACTGAAAGCTGTCAAGAGGAAAACAGAATTGGTTATTGAATCACTTGCTTCCTCTAGGTGTATGAAAAATAATTTCAAGTTTAACAAACACAAGGAAACCGCAGGGTCCATGTCAAAGCTGATGAGCTATTTCTGAAACTCGTGAAGAATTGTGGTTTGTGTGGTCTATGTCACGGCACCCTTGAGGGAGAGTGGGCAATTGCCTGAACTTGGAGGCTGTGTCCTGTCCCCAGGCTGCTCCAGGGCTGCCTCCTTCCGACTGGGCCTTCTTATCTGGGACTGTTGAGGGCAACAGGCCTTCCGAAGACCAGTGAAGAAGGAGGCCCTGCAAACAGGAGGCTGACAGGGTAGGAACGAGGCCATGATCCCTTTGCAGAAGGACAACCAGGAGGAGGGTGTCTGCCCCATCTGCCAGGAGAGCCTGAAGGAGGCCGTGAGCACCAACTGCGGACATCTCTTCTGTCGAGTGTGCCTGACACAGCATGTGGAGAAGGCCTCAGCCTCTGGGGTCTTCTGCTGCCCCCTCTGCCGGAAGCCCTGTTCTGAGGAGGTGCTAGGGACAGGCTATATCTGCCCCAACCACCAGAAGAGGGTGTGCAGGTTCTGTGAGGAGAGCAGACTTCTTCTATGTGTGGAATGCCTGGTGTCCCCTGAACACATGTCTCATCATGAACTGACCATTGAAAATGCCCTCAGCCACTGCAAGGTAAGCCTGGGTCACCGCAGCCAGGCCCTGCCTCCACCTCGCTGAGGTGCTGCATCCTACATGTTCATCATGCCTGGCACCTCAGAGTAGCTCAACAATGGACATCTCTCTTTGTTTCTTCTGCTTCATCCTGTTTTGGACCCTTGTCTTGCTTTTCTGTGTATATTTTGAGGCTGATGTTTCCATGCATTAATGTGAGTCTGTCTAAAAGAGGATATTGTCAGTGTGATGTTAGAGTCCCAGTCTGCTCATCTGTAGAATAGAGTAATTGGACTAACTAATGCAAAACCCTTTCAGGACTAAAACTGTGTGAACTCCTGGTTGATAGTACTAGAAACTTGGCTAGAAATGTAATCAGGTTTTATATACACTAGTAATTATCCTGCAAATATATTAAAACCTGAAAGTTACTACATAATTTTTTCTCTCTTTTTCTTCCTTCTGCATTTGTCTTATCTTTCCTTTTCCTTTCTTTGCTATGGCAATTATTTTATCTTATTCTGTTAAATTTTCTATCACAAAAGTTACATGCTGTAGGTAATAAATTCAGAAAGCACTGAAAGGTATAAAGTCAAGACTAAAAATTTGTCTTCCTTTCTCCCTCCATTCATAGTCCTCAGAGGTAACCATTGTTTGATTTTTGTACATCCTTCCAAAAAATGTGTGTGCTTATGAATGCACTCTTACACACACACACACACACACACACCCTCAAAGGATTCTCTCTATATTTTTTTCTGTAACTCATTTTTGTTATCTAAAAGTGTGGCTTGAACATTTTCTCATCAGCATGTATAGATCTTCTGAATTATTTTCAAGAACTGTGTGGTATTAAATTCTATGAATGTACCATAAATTGGCAGACATTGGGTCATTTCCAAGCTATTGTTTTGTTTTAAGATTACACAGAACGTTCTAATGAATATCCTTCAACATATATATTGGAGGACCTAGAATATCCAAGATATATTTTGGTGAGAGCATAAGGTAGAAATCTAACTTTAGTTTTTCCAAGTTATAATCAATTTGTCCTATCACCATTTGTTGAATGATTCATATAGTTTCCCCATTGATTTGAATGCCAATGTCATAATATACCATATATGCATATTTTCTTGCATACTGCCTTGATTCTTTGTGCTGTTCTATTCTGTCTATGCTTGCCTATAAGCCAAGGTATTTTAGAGATTTTATCCTTACCATATATTTTAATGTCAGGTATTTTGATAGAATCCTCACAATACTCTTATTTTTCAGAATTCGTGCAGATATTTGTATATCTTTATTTTGCCAATTAGCTTTGGAATTATTTTTATCAACCTTTCCCCTGACCCTAATCCAGTTAGTATTTGACTGGACAATTGACAATATTTTCACATGGCATCCTTCTATCCAATAGTGAAGGCTGAACTTCCAAAGCTGAGGTAGCTTTGAGATACTTGACTTTTGGAGAACATGTTATGATACAGAATGAGAAAGTGGGGAGTCCAGATTAAAAGTGACTACAGAAAGGTAGAGAAATAATTGAAAAAGCCAGAGGCAAAGTTCTATTTGGTTCTAACATCATTCCCTCCAGGTGCAATGTCCACAGGAGAGTGGGGAGGGATTCCTCACCTGCCGATGAAGCAGCATAAGATGGAGAAATTTATTTCCTCACTAAATGATTTTTTCAGGTCTGTCCTTTGTGTTAGATGTCATGCTAGGCATTGTAGAAAGTACAAAGATGATTCATAATTCTTGTTTCAAATCTGTCTTTAAATAATGACAAGAAAGCTAAAACAAATAAATAACGATGACACTTGTTCATTAAGTAAAAACTTAGTAAGTTCCTGCTGTGTGTGAGAAACTGCAGCATGTGCTAGGAATCAATGAAGACAGATGCCATTCCTTCTGCCAGGAGTTTGCAGTGTAGTAAGGGAGACACAAATAAGTAATCAAAGAACTGTAACTTTTTTTTCTTTTTTTTTTTTTTTTTTTTTTGAGATGGAGTCTCATTCTGTCACCCAAGCTGGAGAGCAGTGGCATGATCTCGGCTCACTGCAACCTCCGTCTCCCAGGTTCAAGCAATTCTTTGCCTCAGCCTCCCGAGTAGCTGGGATTACAGGCACCCACCACCAGGCCTAGCTAATTTTTGTATTTTTAGTAGAAACAGGGTTTCACCATCTTGGCCAGGCTGGTCTTGAACTCCTGACCTCATGATCCATCTGCGCTGGCCTCCCAAAAGAACTGTAACTTTTTATTAGTTAGGAAGAAAATAAACAAGGGTCTGGGATGAACAGTAATGGGTGGCCCATGTCCATTTGGTCAGTGAGGGCCTCATAGAGGAAGTGACCTTGAAGCTGAGGGCTGGCAGAAGAGAAATCAACCTGCAAAGACAGGGGGTAGGGAGTGCATACAGATGCCCACACCTGAGAAGTCTTGTTATATTTGAAGAATTTATCATTAGAGTTTGAATCGACAGGACTTACTGAGAGATTAGAAGTGGGTTCTTTGTAAGAAAAAAACAACCCCATCAAAAAGTGGGCAAAGGATATGAACAGACGCTTCTCAAAAGAAGACATTTATGCAACCAACAGACATATGAAAAAATGCTCATCATCACTGGTCTTTAGAGAAATGCAAATCAAAACCACAATGAGATACCATCTCTGCCAGTTAGAATGGCAATCATTAAAAAGTCAGTAAACAACAGATTCTGGAGACGAAGTGGAGAAATAGGAACGCTTTTACACTGTTGGTGGGAGTGTAAATTAGTTCAACCATTGTGGAAGACAGTGTGGTGATTCCTCAAGGATCTAAAACCAGAAATACCATTTGACCCAGCAATCCCATTACTGGGTATATACCCAAAGGATTATAAATCATTCTACTATAAAGACACATGCACACGTATGTTTATTGTGGCATGGTTCACAATAGCAAAGACTTGGAACCAACCCAAATGCCCATCAACGATAGACTGGATAAAGAAAATATGGCACATATACACCATGGAATACTATGCAGCCATAAAAACAGATGAGTTCACGTCCTTTACAGGGACGTGGATGAAGATGGAAACCATCATTCTCAGCAAACTAACACAAGATCAGAAAACCAAACACCACATGTTCTCACTCGTAAGTGAGAGTTGAACAATGAGAACACGTGGACACAGGGAGGGGAATATCACACACCAGGGCCTGTGAGGGGATGGGGGGTAGGGGAGGGATAGCATTAGGAGAAATACCTAACGTGGATGACGGTTTGATGGGTGCAGCAAACCACCATGGCACGTGTATACCTATGTAACAAACCTGCATGTTCTGTCCATGTGCCCCAGAACTTAAAGTATATATATTTTAAAAAGTGGGTTGAAGGAAGGAGGAAGGTCAAAGATGACTTCATGAGTTTCTGGTTTGAGAAACTGAATAGATGATGTGAAAGATAATAACTTGGTAGAACAGGTTTGAATGCAACACCAAGAGTTTCATTTAAGACAAGTTGAGTCCAAGTTGAGACACATCAAAATAGGATCTTACATACGCAGCTGGATCACAAATTTAGATCTCCAGAGTCTTATTCCTAGAACCTAGAACAAAGATCCATCCAGGCAAAGACAATATTTAAATCCAAGAAAAGCGGGCACGGTGGCTCACACCTGTAGTCCCAGCACTTTGGGAGGCCAAAGTGGGAGGATCGCTTGAGCCCAGGAGTTCAAGACCAGCTTAGGCAACACAGTGAGATACTATCTCTAGAACAACAACAGCAACAACAAAGTGAAATTAACAGGATTTAAAAAAAAGAACGTGACAATTTGGGGCTGGGTGCAGTGGCTCACGCCTGTGGTCCCAGCTACTTGGAAGGTTGAGGTGGGAGGATTGCTTGAGCCCAAGAGAGTGAGGCTGGAGTGAGCTGTGATTGTGCCACTGCACTGCAGCCAGGAAGACAGAGCAAGACCCTGTCTCAAACAAAGAAACAAACAACCAAGAAACCAAGGAAACTGATGTAATTGCCTCAAAAGAGGCTAGACAGAAAAAGAAGTTTTGGGGTAAGGTTCTGGGAAAGGCCGTCATTTAGATGTAGGCAGAGGAGGACCCAGCAAAGGAGACAGGATGAGTTGCCAGAAAGGCAGGAGAAAAACAAGGGGAATGGTGCCCCAGCTGCTAAGAGAGAAGGGTATTTTAAGAGATTATAATAGATTGCATTGAACAATGCTAACACTTCAGTAAGATGGTGGCAGAGGCATGAGAGCTGAGTTGGGAGGAGGCACACTTCTTCCATAGTAATAACAGGGAACAAGAGAAGGTGTCTGCAAGCCTACATAGTTTTGCAGTTTTGGAAATCCAGGTTTTGTTCTGGTTTTTATTTTCTCATAATATTTGAGGAAGGAACATCAGCAGTATGGGTGGGATCAGGATGGATGTGAAAGGTTTGAAAAGAAACAAGATGGTGTGATGCAGTGTGGGAGAGCGCTTACAAGAGAAACTATGTAGGGTTGGCAGACAGTATGTAGCACCAATTTGAGGTCTGAAATGTTTAACATGTTTCAGGAGGCTGCCTGAGGACAGACAGCAAACAAGAAGGTGATGGTACATTTTACCATGGATAAGGAGTTGTCTGAAAAGTAACACAAAGAGGGAGGGTAAGGGAGTTGAGTATATTTCTGAAGAAGTGATTATAATGGTGGACCTTATGTGTACTCATGGATATTGACAGCGTAATTTTGAAATTAAGGAGGGTTTTTTTTACTGATTTTTTCACCATATCTCTATTTATTTGAATTAAACTTTGTAGTTAAGTATTGTAAATTTTGTTCTTTTAAAAGAATCATATAATCCCTGACTGTACTCTAAAAAGACCGAAAAATTTATAAAATCTACAAATTCTTATTTGTATACCTGTTTCCTCACTGACCAGTCAATGTCAGTGTCAATCACTTTAATGTATTTTGCTGGTTTAGTAAGTGTGTGACAGTGATGTACGTTGTTTTACTTTGCTTGATTATGAATGCTAGTAGTGGTGAGGCTTTTATCCATGAAGACTCGCTGTCTGCATTTTCCCCTAGAATCAGGGCATAAATTCTACATGATTGCATCAAAATAGTTTATCTTTTGGATAATGAGCTCCATTAGTTGTGTTTGTTTAACCTACATTTTTTTATTCTGTTATTTCTTCTTAATTATATTTTTGGGCAACTTTTTAGAAATTTGCATTTAAATTGGCTCTATTCTTTTTTATAATATAATCTCCATGTCTTAAATACACAGAAATTTGTTTAATATGAGTGTGCTGCTCTGTTTTATTTTTAAAGGTTTATTAATTCCTGGCTTACTTGGAATTTCATATAGTATGTTGTGTGAAGGATGACTCCACGTTAATTTTTCTTTATTCTGGTATCCAGTTGTTCCCAAAATATTTATATAACAGTGAGTCCTTTCCACATTTACGTGTTGTTTCTCGCTTGACATCAATTAAGTTCTCATGATGGGCTGTTTTTTTTTTACTCTAGTCCATTGATTATTCTTTCTGTTATATAGTTTTGACAACATGTTACTTTATGGTTTATTTTTAAATCTAGCAGCATTTTTGCCATTTAATAATTTTATTACCTGATATTTTTGCTGTCTTTTAAGATGAGTGCTTTTTTACAATGTTTCTAAATTTCATAGATCATTCCATAAGATTTTAATGGTTATTGCATTAAATTTGTTGATTACTAAGAATCATGACTTTTGGGGGTTTAGTTAGTCTTCTCAACCAGTACCAAGATACATCACTAACGGCTTTCCACTATGTATCTGAATCAGATATTAAATTGTCTTTACTTAAACCTCATGTGCCCTGACTCTATTGAGGGTAGCTATGTATTTTACAACACTATTTTTTTTGACAATTTTTACTTGTAGATTCAAATGAGATTCTTTGCTGAGCTCATGTATTTACCATACATTTTTAAAAATTTTCTGACATTTTCTAGATCATAATTGTGTGAGTGATGTTGTTTTTAATTCATATTTTTGGACACAGTTCTGTAAGGAGCATGCATTTTGAAAGCTGTTAATTTTTCTTTTTTTTTTTTTTTTTCAGTGTCAGGGATAGGTACTTTTTGTCTGTTAACCACTTTTCTTTTGTACATTGTGTTAGCAAGTTGTTTAAGAACAAATTTAATGCCCTTTTTTGTCAGATTTTAAAAATTTAATATGATTTAACCTGAATGACAGAATTTTAAAATATTCATTTAGACAAGACAGGTCTTCGACTATTTTCTAGATTTCAACTTGTCTTTTTTTCTCTGAGGAATATTTTGGTAGGTGAAAGTGTATAGAATTTAGCTTTTCAATTCTAATGAGTGTCTTATTTATATTATATGCACCCATTAAATACCTTTATGCAAAAATTGGTGAAAAAGTACTTTTTAGAAACAGAGGACTTTACCTTACTCATTTTGAATATTGTAAACAATATGACAGTATTATCTTCAGTCATTCTATGCCTTTATCTTTATTACTGTTATCTTTGCCTTCTTTTTTTCATTTACACAGTGTCTGTAGTTGGCTTTATTAAATTTTAAACTGCCAGATGATAGGACTGTGGCTTTTTGAACTGGACCTTAATAGGCCTGACTTTGACAGGCAGAAAAATAAAGCACTCCTGACAGAGAGAAGTAAAAGGCCATGAGGAGGTGTGGCTGCACGGGTGTGTTTGGGAAGCAGAGAGCAATGTTGTGTGCTGGTGAAGAGAGTTCAGTGAGCAGAGAGAGAATCCCGGACAATGTCAGTTGGGGCTGGGTCCTGGGGCACCTTGGATGCTGGGTGAAGGAGTTTGGGCTTATCTTTGTTGCTGAGAAGCCATTTTGAAGGGAGGACTAACATCAACAAAGGTGAAATGTGACAGATTTCAAGCTGAATGGCAGGCAGAATGGCAGTCCCAATGTCAGAAACATGAAGGTCAAGAGGAGTGGACTGCAGAAGAGCTTGGGGAACTGGGCAGCATGTTTGATTCTACCATATTGATTTTGAGCTGCCAACAGGGCAGTAGGCAGCACTTAGCTCTCACTTGGAAGCATGAGATGGATTGCTAGGAAAAAAGATTTGGTTTTGGAATTCTAAGATCTGAAGGCTCCAGAAAGGAAAGCTAAGGACATAGTCTGAGATAGAAAAGGGTTGAGGAGCCAACTTCAAGGCTCCTTTTTACAGAAAAAAATGAAGAGGCAAAGAAGCAGTGGCAGAAGGCACAGGTCTAGGAAGGATGGGGTGGAGAGGAGGTACAGAAAGGCACCTGCGGATTTCATGGCTGGAGATCTCAGGTGACTTTGGAGAGAGAGGCTTTAAAGGAGTGATGAGAAACAAGGCGGCTGGCTGAGGAATGACGACAGTGAGGAGGTGAAGACAGCAACACCAAACAACTTGACTGTGAGGGCAGCAAGTGAGTAGATGCAAGCGGTGAAGGCTGTTTGTGCTTTTCAGGACATGAACTCTTGTGCTCGCACAAACAGTTCCACACCAGCCTGCCACCTTCTTCAGCGAGACTCATGAGCGACATCCATGATGCCCATTTATTACTTCCCACTCCTATGACTTTTTTATTTCGTCTCTGCTGGGAAATGCCTGCAGGAAACACCCAGTGACGTGACACGTTTTTAGTAACTTTGTGGTGACATCACTGTCTTCTCTGCTTACTGCAGCTTTCTGTTCACCAAATGCCCTTGCTGACCCCTCACACACACAGTCCTTTGACCTTGATTTCACCAGGAAATTCTCAGGCTGGAAAGAACTTTCAGTTGTCTTCACCATCCCCTGACTTCTACCTGT
The DNA here is from genome assembly GCF_000001405.40 of Homo sapiens. Lineage (NCBI taxonomy): Eukaryota > Metazoa > Chordata > Mammalia > Primates > Hominidae > Homo > Homo sapiens. Next base: position 1,401,093 of record NT_167245.2, read on the forward strand.
ACATCTCCAAAATCTCCTCAAAAAAGATTAAAAAAAAAAAATCTGAAGTGGGAAAGATTTAGTGAAACACACACTTTTCAGCTAATAGCACATCCTGATCTTTAGTTCACAAATCTCTTCTCGTTTTGTTTTCTATTTTATCATTCACCCTCCAACTGCCCCCCGAACCATGGGCAGCCATTTAAAGCATTTGTTGTTATTTTTGCTTCTCTTATAGGTCATCAAAAACCTGAAAGCAAAATTTTTTTAGAAACTCAAATCATTCTTTAACTCCATAGCTTCAAGGACACAGCGACACATCCAGATGCTGATTTAAGATTGAGAGAGAAGGCACTGCCTACCTGGGCTATGAGTTTGCACCTAGTAAAGGGCTCTATCTTGTCACTCATCCCAGTGAGGACCAGGCAGCAGAGGTAGCAGAGGGTTGCCATTTCCTCTTTAAGGCAATTCCCTCCAGACTGGCTCCATGTGTTACTGTAAAATAGTAAGAAGTGCTAGAAGACTGTCATATAACTTTTGTATGTTGAGAGAAAGCACCCTGAAGTCAAGTAGAAATGGTTCTGTTGCTATCTATTATTTTTTCTGTACTTCTAAGACTGTAAAAAAATTACCCATTACTATTTCCCCCCATCATTATCCAATAAATAAACTCTCAAGTCCCTTACTCCAACCATGATGCTCTAAAAGCATTTCTTTTTAGGCAGAATTTTACATTAGTTGCATTCTGGGATCAGGCCCCCTACCGTGTTCCATTGACTCCTCCCAGTGGGTGCCCCCCTCACTCCCAGTCTGACAAGCAGGTGTGTCTGTCTCTTTAGGAACGACTCAATCGCCGGAGCAGGAAGCTCAGAAAGGACATTGCAGAACTTCAGCGGCTCAAGGCTCAGCAGGAGAAGAAACTGCAGGCTCTGCAGGTGGGTTTTTCGGGTTCCTGGGAAGGACTCCCTGGAGTGTTCTCAGGAGCCCTTACTTAACTATTCTGGACATCTGTCTGTCCCTGGAACAGCCTGATGTGGGCAGATGGTCGTGGAGGCTGAAAACCCGGGTGTTGGCCTTGGCGTCAAAGTTTGCTGGTTGAGTGACCTACGCAAGTTAAGCCCTCTGATCTTTATGTGACTTACATGTTAAATGAGAACCAGTCCTGCTCTGCCTGGATCACAGTAGGGATCAAAGGAGACCAGTGTCTCGTCAACTGAAAATTACTACACAAGCCATAGGCCTCTGTTTCTTTTTATTTTATTTTATTTTTTTTTTGAGATGGAGCCTTGCTCTGTCGCCCAGGCTGGAGTGCAGTGGCACGAACTCCGCTCACTGCAAGCTCCGCCTCCCGGGTTCATGCCATTCTCCTGCCTCAGCCTCCCGAGTACTGGGACTACAGGCACTTGCCACCACGCCCAGCTAATTTTTTCTATATTTTAGTAGAGATGGGGTTTCACCATGTTAGCCAGGTTGGTCTCGATCTCCTGACCTCGTGATCCGCCCGCCTTGGCCTCCCAAAGTGCTGGGATTACAGGTGTGAGCCACCGTGCCCGGCCGCCATAGGCCTCCATTTCTGTCTCTGACAGTCTACCTTTCTATTCCTCTTGGTCACATGGCATCTGTAGATATTCAGAGAGTGAGGTGGAAAGGTGAGGTGTCCCTGCCTTTATGAGAATCAAAGCTGCTTCTGCTATACCTGTGACACACAGAGGCAACACCATGAGGGCAAGAGGACTGAGGAATCAGCATTCCTGCTCAGACATTCAGAGACTGTGAAGGGCCAGGAGGGAGCCACCTGACACTGAGTCTTAGGGAGCCCCTTTCCTGTAGTTTCAGGTAGACCACGGGAACCACAGGCTGGAGGCTGGGCCGGAGAGCCAGCACCAAACCAGGGAACAGCTGGGTGCCCTCCCTCAGCAGTGGCTGGGCCAGCTGGAGCACATGCCAGCAGAAGCGGCCAGAATCCTTGACATCTCCAGGGCAGTAACACAGCTCAGAAGCCTGGTCATTGATCTGGAAAGGACGGCCAAGGAATTAGACACCAACACACTGAAGGTGCATACCCTGAGGCCTTCCCCAAGGGCTGGGATTCTCCCCGATAGGAGGCAGCCCATCTGCATCACCCTTCTGGGAGGTGTAAGAGGGAGGGGCCTGTGTGATATGTGGTGACTTGTGGTAGATGTGGCTTGTTCCAGGCTACAGAGTGCTGCTGCAGCAGAATGGGCACAGAAGAGGGGTGTTGCTATGTTCCCCCAGTTCTCAAGGTGGCACCCCAGAGTGGCCTCCAAGAGTGAATTGGGAAAGGAATTTGGAGGTGATAGGAACCTGAGAACCAATTATGATTCTCACTTTTTCTCTCTCCTAGAATGCTGGTGACTTACTGAACAGGTACGAGCTGTCCCTTCTTCTTTCCCACATGTGCATATAAACCCACACAACACAGACATGCACAGAGGTCAAGGAGACCCACTGCTCCGTTAGCTTTTGTATCTTGATGCTACATGGCCAATGGAAGAGCCAATGGAATATATGAATACATATTAATCTATGAAAGATTTCTTTGTTTCTAGGAGTGCTCCACAGAAATTAGAGGTTATTTATCCCCAGTTGGAGAAAGGAGTCAGTGAATTGCTTCTTCAGCCCCCTCAGAAGCTCTGACCTGTTCATCCCTGGGACACCTCACTTCAGGCTCACCTCAGCCTCCTCTCTCTCCTTCCTCCAACCTGTCCAGGCCCCCACTGGGTCTACCCAGTGCATCTTCGGGCCTGCCAGCTCCTGAACATGTCACCATTTCTTCATGTCCACAGTCATCACCTGATGCCTGACCCTCTGACTCTTGGACGATAGCCAGCCTCCTTCCAGGACAGGCTCATGCTTGGGGCTGCCACTGTGGAGGTCGGGGCCCATGGTCTCCAGGAGCATTTGTGAAATCTCCATTTTGCCTGTAAACTGATGGTAGTGCCCATCTCTCACAATCTCATTCAAATAGGATCCTCCAGGCCTCTGAATGGCCCAAGCTCATCAGCAGTGACACCACCTCACATGTGGAGCCCAGCTGAGTTCCTGCAGTACTTGTTGTCTGTACCACTCACCTGGCACTTATTTATTATTGTTGTGGAAGACAGACTCAAAGACAGCCTCCCTTCGTGATCCTCACCTCTTGGAATTCATGCCCTTGTTTGGTCCCCTCCCCTTGAGTGTAAGTGGGATCTGTGACTTGCTTCTAATGAATGGAATAAGGCAAAGGTGATAGGGTGTCACTCTGGCAACTGTGTTGCATTGTATAGAACTCCTCCTTGCTGGCCCACCCTTTTAGAGCCCCTCCTAGGAGCCAAGAGCAGCTTCCAGCCAACAACAAGCAGAGGCCCTCAGTCTTGTGGCTGCAAGAACCTGAATTCTGCCAACAACCCGAGTGAGCTTGGAAGCAGATTCTTCCCCAACTGAGCCGGATAAGAACCTAGTCCAGCCAACACCTTGATTATAGTCTTGTGAGTACCTAAGCTGAGGACCCAGTGAAGCTGTGCCAAAATTTCCCACCCACAGAAACAGTGTGACAATAAATGTGTGTGTGTTTTTTTGTTTTCTGTTTTCGTTTTTGAGATGGAGTCTCACTCTGTTGCCCAGGCTGGAGTGCGGTGGTGTGATGTCGGCTCACTGTAACCTCTGTCTCCTAGGTTCAAGCAATTCTCCTGCCTCAGCCTCCCTAATAGCTAGGGATTATAGGCGCCCGCCACCACACCCGGCTAATTTTTTGTGTTTTTAGTAGAGACAGGGTTTAACCATGTTGGCCAGGCTGGCCTTGAACTTCTGACCTCAGGTGATCAGCCCACCTTGGCCTCCCAAAATGCTGGGATTACAGGTGTGAGCCACCGCGCCTGGCCATGTGTTGTTATAAGGCAGTAAATTTGTGGTAATTTTTGTGGAGTAATGGATAATGAATACAATTGTATATTAGTCATTTTTGTATAAGCCTCACTTCTTTGGGTGAGCAGGGATCATATTCTGTCTGTGTCCTCATGTCTAGAACAGTGTCTGGCTCATAGCTGGTGTCCAGTAAAATTTTAAATGTATGTATAAGTGAACTAATAAGAAAGCATAAGGAAGGGCTCTTCTCAATCCTCTGATTAAAAAGAGCCATCAATTACCTTATAATCAGTATTTATTGAGCCTTTGCCAAAGTAGTCAATACCATACTGAGAGGTATAAGGAATAAAACATGGCCACAATTATAAAACAAGCCACGTGGTGGTGCAAAGAGTGAAAACTACAGGGTCAGACTTGAGTTTAGGTCTCGGTCCTGACACCTAATGCCTCTGTAACCTTGGGCAAATTACTTAGCCTCTCTGAACCTCTGTACTCCCCCCTCTAAAATAAGGGTTATGGTACCTGTGGCCTGGGATTGTTGTCAAAATTAAATACATGCTGAGTGTCTGCTAAAGTGTCTAAAACGTAAACATTCAAATATGTTCATTTTATCTTTTTTTTTTTTTTGGTGTATTCTGGCTTTATTGTTATTTTTTTTAAATTATACTTTAAGTTCTAGGGTACATGTGCACAATGTGCAGGTTTGTTACATATGTATACATGTGCCATGTTGGTGTGCTGCACCCATTAACTTGTCATTTACATTGGGTATTTCTCCTAATGCTATCCCTCCCCCCTCCCCCCACCCCAAAACAGGCCCTGGTGTGTGATGTTCCCCACCCTGTGTCCAAGTGATCTCATTGTTCAATTCCCACCAATGAGTGAGAACATGCGGTGTTTGGTTTTCTGTCCTTGCGATAGTTTGCTGAGAATGATGGTTTCCAGCTTCAACCATGTCCCTAAAAAGGACATGAACTCATCCTTTTTCATTTCATCTTTTTTTAAAAAAACCACTTCCCCTTTTGAAATGAAATATGGAATGATAAAAAAATTTTAAATAAATTCCACTTCACCATCCAGAAGTTTATAATTTAGCTGTGGAACTATGACTAAACAGCTACAGAATAAGAAGAGAGCGTGTAACTGCACTGAATTAGGTATCACAGAGGCTAAGTGCCCTGGGAATTCAGAGGAAAGAAACAGCGAGCCTGGGAAAGTCAGGGTAGGTTTTGTGGGGGAGGTGGGGATTGGACAAGTGGGAGAGGAAGGTGAGAACATTCTAGGTCACAATAACCACATGAATGAAAGCATAGAGGTAGGAAAAAGCCACGGTACCTTTGTAGGAGTGTGAGGAAACCAACCTGGTTAGGCTGGAATGTTCAGGAATGGGGAAGACGAGAAGTCAACAGGCTAAATGGATGACACCAAGACATAGTGAGGTTTCTGAGTCAGGAATGAAGGGAGAAGTGGTGTTTAATGAAAGCCAGTCTGGATCGTTTGCACAAGAAGGACTGGGACAGAGAGTTGGGGGCTGGAAGGAGAGGGGAGGAGAAAGAGCCTAGTGCAGATGTTCAGAAAAAAGGTATAGTTATTTGGCAAGAAGCTGCAGATCTCAGAGAAACATAAGATCCCAAATCTAAGAGCAAGACATTAGCCAAGGAAAGAACACCCCTGAAAGTGACAGCTAGCAATTTCTGCATCCCAGATGGAGTTAATGTCACCAAGAGAACTTGTACTAGGAGTAGGAGGAGACTGACAGCCCCCAGGGTCTCTCCTCAGGAGAGAATTCAGTTATACTGAAGATGCCTTCCAGGCCCCCCTTGGTCCCTTCTGACGTCACCACAGATGATCAGGCCAGGGGTAGGAGTCTGAACAGCAGATAATTGGCCAAACAAGTCTATGAGGTCACCTGTCAAGGAAGACCTTATCAAAGAGGGACAATAGTAATTAACTGAAACCATCAGGTCCTCTCGGAGATTCAGAAGGGATCCATGATGAATGTGTCATTAGTTGGCAAGAAGAGCAGACACAGAGAGAATCAGAGATGCATGTGCAGCCACGATGTATTGGAACAGGTGTCCATGACCCATGCTGCTGAGAGGCCGCAGGAATATCCAGTCTTCACGCTTCTTTGGACTTCGAGCCCACTTCTTACCGGTAGGTCCTGGGCATACAACATACCACTGCATAATGGTCATGAGCACAGACTCGGGAGCCAAACCACAAGACTTCAAATGCTGGCTCTGCGACTTACTATCAGCTGATTTGAGACCAGCTGCTCGGCCTCCACATGTCTCAGTTCTCTTATGTACAAGATGGGCACCTACCTCCTGAGGTTGTTGTGAGGATTAAATGAGTTAATATATACAAATATTTATTATGGTGTTTGGCCAAAATAAGTTCTATGTGTGTGATTGTTATCAGCATTTTTGGAATCTCTAGTTCTTCCTACAGGAACGAGTGGTGACCCCACCAACTCGCTCACGCCTGACATAGCTTCTCACGGGGCCTGGCTCATGGTGGAAAATCGCATTTTCCTTATTTCTGCTTTTATAATAAACTTACCTATCATTTGAACTAACTTGAGTGGGTCTCAGTTCTTTGCAATAGAAAGGGTTGCTACCATGTAAGCTTTGAAAAATGAGGTGTAAACTGTGGATGTTACAAATGTGCAACAGTCCTTCAGAGTCGGAAAGGGTAGCTGGGACTCTGGGGCCTCTAGACTTGAGCACTTCCTGGGGAGGGAACCCAGAGTCCCACTTCCGGCCAGCAGAGCAAGGAGGTTCATTAAGCTGCCTTATCTTGAAGTTACCAGGTTTTAGGATCTATCCACTTCCCCTGTGCTGACTCCATACTCCGAAAGCAAGTAAACTTCAAGTAAAATTACCCTAGGGGAGAAGCAGGTACTGACAGACCAACATGAGTGTTTTCACTTATGAGCAGTTTTATTTCTCAGTGTAAGACATATAAATTGTTCTCACTGACATATAACTATTAAAAGAAAAATAAAATAAAACAATTTAAAAAGAAGAAATATAAATTGTATTTCTGAATCCAAGTCACCTGTGGGGGTGTAGCCAGCATTAAAATAATCGCCAGGACCCATGCAGGCATCTATCTCTGAATGAGGCAGTGCAGCATAGCAGTTAAGAGCTCTTGGGTCAGACATGGATGAACTGGTTGCATGATCTTGGCTCGTTACCAAGATAAAGTGACACAAGGTGTGTAAAGCTCCCGAGCTGCAAGCCAGGATCTTCATACACATACATTTTAGAGGATAATAGTCCTTTCAAAAGACACAGCTAAAGCCAATAAAAATAAACAAAAATAGGATCTACTTTTCTGGAATCACAGGTTTGGGTGCTTTGGATATGTTTTATCATTATATAGGCACTTGTGTGTGTCTGTATTTTTTTGAATATACAACATTTTAATGAGATACTGCACACTCCCAGGGAAAGCAATTCAATCTCTAATCCCTGGCTTCTGATCTCCACCTCTTTTCTACCTGCTGAGGTAAGGATGAACAACAGAACTTCTCAATTGAATTCTAAGCTTGGGCCTAAGCACGCTGTGCCCTCTGCCTTTGAGTTTGCACCCTGGATGGCTCCCCTCCTCCCAGGAGACCCAGTAGGGAGATGACAGAGCATTGTAGTTTACACTGAGCAGAGTAAACAGATGATGTTAAGGAGACTGTCAGTGAAGGGCATGATTATGCAAAATAAAATACAATAGTGACAAGAACAAGAAAATAAAACATGGTCACTATTCCATCCCATTTCTCAGATGTCACTACAGTAGTCTCAATTACGGTAGTCTCAATTCTTTAGACTAAAGTTCATAGGTCATCCAACTTATGCCCTGGCCTCCTTCTGGAATTCTTTTACCTAGCAGTTTCTGAGCCCACAGCTGAGCTATTTGTGACCCATTTGCTCCCACTATCTCATTTCTTGACCTCAGATGGTAATCAACTGATCAGGAAGACAATTTCCCTAGGGTTGAGTGTGGTCCCTGGGTTATGATTTATGGCTATACCTTATGTCCTCCTGCCCCCAGGCCCTGCACCTTAATCTCACCCAGAAGTGGCAACACCAGGAGGAAGGAGGCAGTGAGTGGCGTCGGCTGGGGATGGCACACATCTGCCCATAATGACAATGGAGACAACCCAGTGCTCCAGAGTCACAGGTCATCCAGCCAGTTCTCTGCTGTTTCCTCTTCTTAAGATGCTTCTTCCCCTCTTTTCCCTATTGACCATAGGCATCCTTTAGACCACCCTTTTCAGAAAGCCATCCCCCACTCACCCTCTCCTTCCAGGCTGGGCTATGCCCCTTCCCCTGAACTCCCATAATGCTGGGGTTGGACTTCCCGTAACACCCACCACACTGTGCTGTAATTTCCTCTTTATGTTTCTCTGTCTTCCCAAGAGCTCTTTCAGATATAGAGCAGGTTTTTTTTTTCTCTATATTTTCAAGTCACCAGTGGCCACCACACTGCTTGGTTCATAGTTAACACAAACTAAATGGTTCTAGAGAATGTGATTACATGAACTCTAACATTATTGGAAGAAAACAAGATGAAAAGAGGTGAGATGCCTTGTTTAAAGTCATACAACTGGTTGACAGGCTGGTTCAAGAACCCAGGTCTTCTGACTTCAAATCCAGTGCCCTTTCTATGCAGCTACTTCTGTGCCAAGCACGGATGGTGGTGAGCAGAACTGGCAGCAGCCTGAGTCCCCAGGTACCCTGGCCATCCACTGGGCATTGGGGAAAGGACTTGATCAGTAGATTGAGAGTCCTCTCTTCTATCCCTTACCACCCGGCCCCATCCCATCTTCTAAAGCAGTCATTTCTATTCCAAGTCATCCAGGTGATTCAGCCAGGGATCAAGTCCACATGGTACTTGGGTTGATATGAGTCCTGTACTTAGAGGAGAGTAGGTAACTGCTCCTTCTCAGGAGCTCAGGGAGAAACTGGACCCTCGGCCCCAGAGCCCAAAGAAGGGAATGACCTTCCTAGTGAAGGAGGCAGTGAAGGTGTAGATGGGCTCTCGGGTGACAGCGTTGGTGAAGGTCACCCAGCCCACCTCATAGTCAAGAGACACCCTCACCTGCCGGGGCTGCTCCTTCAGGGTCAGCCGTGTGGGGAAGGAGCCCAGAGCCGAGACGAAGCCCCAAGCCAGCCTCACAGCCCACACCCCCTCCTCTGGCCGCAGCCGAAGCTCCCCCTTCCGCTGCACATCCTCGCTCACCACGCCCACGGTGCAGCTGCCCCCATGGGCCAGGTCTATACTCACCACCCACGTGTGTCTCCCCCCTGTGATGCCAGTGTGGGCCAGAACACAGGTGGCCCGGTCAAAACGCTGGGGGTTGTCTGGTGAGTTCTGCCATTTGTAGGAGAACTGAGCTCGCTGGTGGTCCTCGGACAAGAGGAGCTTGGGGTGGGAAGTCTGAGGGTCTAGAGAAATGTGAGCTGTGGGGATAACCAAAAGGGACAGATGTCAGCAGACATGCTATTACCTCCAAGGAAGGCATAGAAACTCCCCCTGGGCCCCTCCTGTTAGTGTTATTATTACCAAAAACATGTATAGTGCCTACGTGGGCCAACAGTGTGGAACCACCTGGGAACTTGTTAGATATACGCTCTCAGAATCTGCATCCTAACAAGATGCCCAGGTGATTTGCACACAGGTAAAGCCTGAAAAGCCTGCCTCAGAGGATGTGAAAGCTCTCGTTTAGTTCAGTGTGGTCCTCGGGAAAGCTCTTCTGCTCACCGCAAGTTGGCTGGTTTCCAAAGCTGTGCGTGCCAGCTTGGATCTCCTGGGGCTGATATACCACATTCTCCCCTCCTCCCATCTCTATCCCACAGTGCAGCGACATTTCTCCCTTCAGTCCAAACTTCATGATTCCTCCCTGTTTTCCTCCCAGGGCACTGGTGACTCATTTACAGTCTTCCCTCCTGGCAGGCTCTCTGGCTCACCCCTGGGTTATTCACTCTGCCTCAGTAATTCTGAAACTGTCAGAGTCTGAGGACCACTTTTTACCACCAAAAACTGCTGCAGAGCCTTGCGTTTTGTTACTTTTAGTATTCATAAATTGAGAAGCTTCCATAAATTTAGGTCCATCTGTGGGTTAGAGAACCCCCTCCAACAACTCCGTGACTCCCAGGGTCTTAGGCTGGTTGATTGAGAAATGACAGCCTTGAAGGGGTCCATTCTGTTCATTTTTTTCCCACCCACAGGCCGCCCTCCTTCTGTCATCTGTGAAATGACATCTGAGAGGAAGCAGGGGTTCCTTACGTTCTAAAGAGGTGATTATAAACCCAGATCAAAGTCCCCTTTATCCAGAAAGCATTCCCAGATGGACTTTATCCCATTCTGCATTAATCTTTCTATCTACTCGACATGCGCAGATCAGGATGTGAGCTTCATACCACGAATGTAGTATGTGTATGTGCTTGTCCTTTCTTCATGTTTCTCCTGAGAGCCTTACAAACAATGTGACACACACACACACACAACCTATATATACACACATGTATTATATACACACACATATGTGTATATATAATATATATGATGTGTATATGTATCCATGGGTGTTTGTTATGACTATTGTCATAGTCATAACATAGTCATAGTGCAAATCCTGCAAAATTTTCTCTCCTTTCCGAGGACTTCTCATTCTCTCCCATCCTGACATAGGCTCCTTACCTGGCTCATAGTCCAACTCAAAGCATAGTTTTTCTGTAAAGAAAATAAACCAGGATGAGATTTTATTAGTCTTACAAAACCATCAGACACTTAATGATGAGAAAACTGAGGCCAAGAAGAGGGAAGGGACAAGAAGAAGAATGTAAGCTGGAATCCTCTAGACCAGTGGTTCCAAGCTTGCATCAGAATCATCTGGAGCTCTTGTTAAAACACATCTGTTTCAGATTCAGGTGCTCTGGGGTGGAGCTGAACATCTGTATTTCTAACAATTTCCTGGGCAATGCAGCTGCTGCTGCTGGTGGGAGCCCCACTGCCCTAGCCCTGATCAAACAGGGACCATGACTGCCTTGCTCACCTCTGTACCCGCAGAGCCCAGGACATAGTAAATGCTCAAGAAATATCTGCTTAGTGAATAGAGAAATGGGTTCATTTATTTATTATTCCACTTGGAAATAATTTTGGGGAGAGTCAAAGGTCAGCCTTTGATTAGAGTGAAATTTCCTTCACTGACAGGTCACTGGAAGTATTTGCAGGAAATGGAATTATGGGAAAAGTCCTTCTAGGGTGACATAACTGTGGGTGGGTCATTTCAAAATTGGTGTCATCATTCATTCTGTCATGGTTAGTGAGGAGGTGGTTGGCAGAGAGCCATGTCCCATTCCTGACTCTCATCCAAACCCTCCCCCACACCCTACCACCACTCCCTGTTCCGGAAAAGGAAGTGGAGCACAGTCCCCGTAGGACCGTCTAACTCTGAGCCAGACTAACAGAAAGAAAGTGAGAAGGAAGGAGGGACGAGCCAGATACCACAGGGTCAAGATAAATACTGTTGTTGGCTATTAATTAACAATGTTCATCATCAAAAACTTATCACATATTACAAATGTTGCTGTGGGATTTTTTAACTTATTAAGAATGATATATTGTTAATCATTATCTTTCATATTGCTTAATGACCACTAATCAGATTTGTTGAATTATTTTAAAATCAGTTTAACTTTTTCACCAGAAATATTCACCTTTATTCTCTTTCTTCATTGTCACAATATCCTAATAGGCAGATTTTATAAAAATCTGCAAATAAGGAAATCAAGGCACAGGAAGGAATAAGGCTTGCCAAAGTCACACCTTTCAGCAGTGGAGCGTGGAGGCCACTCCTAAACCCAGGCTTCATGGCCACCTGCGCTCTGTGGAGGCCTGGGGTTCTCTTACCCAGAAACATCTTCATCTCCCTCTGCAGCGGGAGGGCCTGCTGGGGAAAGTCCCGAATCCTCTGGCCCAGCTCTGGCGACACAGCCACCGGTTTCCGGCACTTTCTGGTTTCACATCTAGGGGCACAGAAATGGCTGGGTCTGGGAATTATCATCCTTAATAATGTCTCCAGACTCAGCTGGTCATCTTCTAATAGGGCATGATGGCGCTAGTTCCTGCAGGCAGACGTACTTCCTCTAGGATGAATCCCACTGCCCATTTTTGGGCATCTATGGATATACCTGAGAAGGCATTTGGGTATATAGAGGTTTATATGTAAATTTGTATCCTTAAGTGAGAATGTTATATACCTGTGTGGCAATAACTAGGCATGCAGTACATGTATGTATATTTATATGGAAAAAGAAAAGAGAGAAACTATATTGCTTACCTTATTAGAGTGCTTCTGATGTCCTAGGAGAAAGAGATACCAGAAATTCAGTTTCCAGCTTCTCCTTTCCATTTTTCTTTCCTTTCTTTTTCTACTTTTATTTTATTTATTTTTTATTTGCTTGTTTGTTTGTTTGAGAAAGGGTCTCACTCTGGTGCCCAGGCTGGAATACAGTGGCGTGATCATGGCTCACTGCATACTCAACCTCCTGGGCTCAAGGGATCCTCCTACCTCAGCATCTTGAGTAGCTGGGACTACAGGTGTTTGTCACCATGCCTGGCTAATTTTCTTTTTTTTTTTTTTTTTTTTTTGTAGAGATGGGGTTTTGTTATGTTGCCCAGGCTCCTCCCACTTTTCTTATGACTGGAAAAGACAAAATATATTTCTAGCTCTGGACAGGAAAAGGATACCAGATGCATAGAGTCACAGAGCATTAGGACTCACCCATCTCTGTGGATCAGAGCCCAAAGCCTTTATTTTTTAGATAAAGATGGTGAAGTGACCTTCCCCTGCTCACTGGAGGCAAAGTAAGTCTCATACCAAGGTCTCCTGTTTCTCAGTCCTAAGAGCATCATTCTAAGTCATGCTGCCTTTCCAATACTTTGTGGGGACCCCAATACCTCTCCTCCAGTGTGAGGAAGTGAAATAGACCAGGACAAACTTCCTGACTGGTGGTTGGTGACATTTAGGTTATAGAGAATGGTTTGCAACTTACTTAATACTTTTTCAAAGTGCTACTTTCACTTCCATCTTACTGTTGGATCCTCACAAAAGCCCTGTGAAATATTTAAGGAAAGTATCTTCCCTATTTGGCAGATGGTGGGACGGAGAGGTGGAGACCAGAGAGCAAAAAGTGACCAGGGAACTCTTGGAAAAGCATGAACTAGAATTGAGACTTTCTGGTCCTCTGACCCACCTCCCATCTGGGATACAGAGATGTGTGAGTCAGGGAGACATGGCTTAGGCAAGACAAAGATGCAAGAGTCACAGGACAGCACAGGTGGGGCAGGGTTCCGGTTCAGGCCTCACCGTCAGGAGCTCCCTTGCTGGCCTCTCATTCTTCTCCTCCAGTTCTTCAATAAGAGCACTAAACCGGCAGATCTCCCCAGCAACCAGCAAATCAAATTCATCCCGTTGCCTCAAGATGTCCCCATCCTGGCTCTCCAATTGTGCTAAGAGGATGCTCTGCTGTTCCTCTAGAAACTTCCTCAGGTGTGCGAACTCAGAAATCACCTGTTGTCTCTTGGTGGACACCTGAGTCTGAGGGGGCAGGAGGCAAGCCCAAGAGAAAGTTTGCTTCCTCCTTCTCCCTCTGCTCCTCTTCCTCCCCTGTCCCCAGGTAGATCTGGAACTGTGTCATGGTTTCCTTTTCACTTGTCATCCCATTTCGAGAAGCAAGACTCACAGTGTTGTCTCAGCACCATCTGCTGCAGCTTCTAAAAGGGGTAGGGCTTACAGGAGGTGTAGGAGGAGGTGGTGGGGACACCCTACCTCCTGTCTTGTATGAAAAGCACATTATGTGCACAGCCCTGAGCTACTTTACAGTCACAATCTCATTTAATGCTTACAGTAATTCAATGAGGTCATGATGATTTTTACTCTCCATTTTACAGATAAGTAAACTGAAGTTGGAGAGTTGCTTGAGGTCATAGAGTTAGTGTCAGAGTCAGGATTTAAACTCATAATAACTTCAAAGCCCTATAATCTATGTTGCCTCAGTTTCAGGAAGACACTGGACCCTGAGGAAGGGGAGGAACCTGGGGAAGGGGTGATGACTTACCAGGAGGACTTGCATCCTTTTATTTTCTCTTGACTGGATTTCTTGAATCTCCTCTCTCTCTTTTCTTAGACATTTAAGACACTTATGGATTTGTTCCTGGGGAGAAGGAACATAAAATACTCAAGATGGAAAATGATTTGTTCAGGTTTGTCTGGTCATCTGACCCTCTGCCTCCAGGAATGAAATGGCCCCAGGAGAGGAGTCCCTTCCTTAGCTGACAATCCCCGAGCCTTCACCACCCTGACAGCTTACTCCCTTTGGGTCTTCTTCCTCTTGATTTGTCTCTAAGACTTTGGATCAGGACTTTCCCCCTTTATCCTGTGCCATTAGAGGCTGTGACTTGGTTTTCCCACTTGAGTCTTTCTTCAGGTTTAACATTCTATTGTGTTTTGCTTCGGGTAAGTGGTATCTGGGGTCTGTACTGAGTTTGATATGCCCCGCACTGAAATCATTCTGAGTTTCCGACTCATCCCAAAGGAACATGTGTAAATAACAACCCTCCCTTGTTACTGAAATCAATTATCTGTGTATGACTCCAGAGGGGAGAAGAAACTTGGGTAATGTAAAAATAATTGATAAATTGTTTTCAAAATTATTTGCTCCAGAATAGAGTTAGGAACAGGTACACACACGATAAATATGTGTGTTCAAAGATATATTAGAATTCTCACTATCAACTGCTAATTAACTAATTAAGACATCCACACACAGACTTGTACTAAAACATAATTCATAAGCACAATGCATAAACAACTAAAACCAGCACACATTCATTTAATGACAGATAAAATGGCATGCCACATACATTTACCCAGCCTGAATATATGTAAACACGAATTTATTCACAAACAGGAGCTCTCAGTTACACTTACACACTCAAATATATACATACTCAGACTCCCATCCAAACACACCAGACACACTTCTAAACATGCAAACATTAACACATATACACACTGTTTGTACAATCATTCCCTCAAATGCAAACTTCAGACACACCTGATCCATGGCACAGACACACACACTCATGTTTGGTCACTCATTCATTCAACAAGTACTTGTTGAACTCCCGTTATCTGTTGGCCACAAGTGAACACAGAACACACTCAAAAAAACATAAAACATAAACACAATTTTCCATGCCTGGGTCTATTGCCTGGGTGATCATGTAAGTAAGGAGAAAGAATTTGGCCTCCGGGTGGCCTAAATAATCCACAACTCTGCTGTTTCTCTTAGTCCAGTCCAGTCCACCCTGGGATCCCCCAGTTCCCCTTTCCTACCCTATAGGGAGCCGCTGCATCCTCCAGGAAGCGCATGGTGTGGGTAGCGTGCTCCCCAGCCTCCCGGCACACCACGCACAACTGCATCTCATCATCCTCACAGAAGAAGTAGATCTTCTCTCCGTGCTCTTGGCAGACATCCTCCTCTCCCAAACCCAGTGTGGACACCAGCTGGAGGCGCTCAATGTTCTCCACCACGTTAGCCAGCTGCCAGTTGGGCCGGAAGCTCCCAGGACGGAAGGGTTCTTTGCAGAGTGGGCAAGTAGGGGACTCCTCCAGGTCTGGGCCTGGTATCTCACAGTAGCGGGTAAGGCAGGCCCGGCAGAAGTTGTGGCCGCAGTCGATAGTGACCGGCTCCCTCAGGGTACCCTGACAGATGGGGCAGTTGACTTCATCTGCCAGGCTGGTCACAGAGGCAGCAGAGGCCATGCTGGTCCTGCTGCTATGGCTTCCTCAAGGCCACTCTCTCTGCTTGGCCACGGGGGAAGGGCTGGGTCACACACTCACACACCCACACATGCACATGGCTGGACACAGGCACATACTAAATATGCACCAGCACCCATATCGTCACACACTTGCATCTCTGGCAGCCAGGGTTCTATTCTCCTGCCAACAGCAGAGATGGGAAATAGCAGAGGAGAGGAAGGAAGAGGGGCTCACAGCATTTCAGAGGTGACCTTAGATGACCATAACCAGGGGCTGGCCATTCCTTTCTGCCCATCCAGAGACACTCACAGTAGAAGGAAAGTGGTGATATGTCAGCTGTCCACTGTCAGAAGAAATATTCTTTTGGGGGCAAGTGGGAGACTGGGTCACAGAGTGGAGATGCCATTCCAGCCTTTCTGCCATATGGCCAGCTGTCTCCAAAGAGATTGGAGGTATCAGCCAGCCCAGGGCTTGCCCATCAGCAAGCAGGAGAGTGTGGGGGCTCAGATAAGGTCCTTGTGCCAGGGTGTACACTGCACCAGCAACTTCAATGGTGATGCCTCAACTGGCCTGCTGCAGGCCTCAAAAGAGGCTGGAATATTCCCTATGATGGGGAGGAGAAAGAAAACTACTAACGGCCAGAATTTATTTACAATGACGGTACAACTTACATTGATACAAGCAATTTGGCCAGAATTTATTTACAATGACGGTACAACTTACATTGATACAAGCAATTTAAAAGTATGATCTTATTTCTGTGTCTGCTCTGCAACATCAGTGCTATTAGGATCTCCATTTCATAAATGAGAAAGCTGAGGCCCAGCCAGGTTATTCAGCTTGCCCTAGGCACACAAGTAAGAAGGTGAGTGACCATAAATAATTTGCTGTCAGATCTGTCTTCCGAGCAATGCTATTCAACATAAACGCAAAGTGAGCCACATATGCAATTTAAAATTTCCTAGTGGCCATATAAAAATAGTCTAAACAGGTGAAAGTAATTTTAATGATGTTATTTTATTTAGTCCTATATTTCCAAACTATTATCATTTCAATATGTGATCCATATAAAAAGTCATTAATAAGATATTTTACATTTTTAAATTTGTGAAAAGCCTTTGAAATCCGGTGTGTTGGCCGGGCGCGGTGGCTCACGCCTGTAATCCCAGCACTTTGGGAGGCCTAGGATCACGAGGTCAGGAAATCTAGACCATCCTGGTTAACACGGTGAAACCCCGTCTCTACTAAAAATACAAAAAAATTAGCCTGGCGTGCTGGCCGGCGCCTGTAGTCCCAGCTACTCGGGAGGCTGAGGCAGGAGAATGGTGTGAACCCGGGAGGAGGAGCTTGCAGTGAGCCAAGATCGCGCTACTGCACTCCATCCCGGGAGACAGAGCGAGACTCCATTTCAAAAAAAAAAAAAAAGAAAAGAAAAAAGAGAAAAAGAAAAAGAAAAAAAAGAAATCCGGTATGTATTTTACATATACAGCATGCCGCCATTCAGACCGGCCACATTTCAGTGCTCAGTAGACACATGTGGCTGGTGGCTCCTGTATTGGACAAACTAGTTCCTGGGCTGCACTCGTGGCAGGAAGAGCAGAGATTGGATGGGAAGGGGAGGTAATAAAGTGATTAGAGTAAAAAGGGAGCAACCACAAGGGGCTAGGCTGATCACCCAGTGGGAGAATGGGGGAAGGCCTGGTTTTATCCACAGATGTGTGCATGGGTGAAGGACCGTGGCTGCAGATCTTGGTCTTGGCATGAGGTGTGGGAGGAGCGTAGGGCTTTAAGCCAGGAGACTGGGATCGTCCTTAACGTGATACTTTCTAGCTTTGTGACCTTTGGAAAGTCACTTTACATTTGGAAAGTCAGTTTACATTTCTTTCTCTGTAAAATGAAGGTAATAATGTTTGCCTAGAGGGTTATTAAAATTGAATGTAGTAATATAAAAATACTAAACCCTAGATAAATGTGGTTGAAACTGATTATCTGACTAATCGTTTTCTAATGTGTATCAACATAAATCATTTGCATTATGGTTTCTTGCCTTCTCCCCGCTACAGTAAAAATAAATAAATAAATAAATAAATAAATAAATAAATAAAATAGTCCAGTGTTACCCGAACCCCAAAGGGGACTGTTGTGCCAGGTGGTGGGGGATTTGGGACCGTAGGAGGGGCCACCATGGGCAGATGTGGTGAGGGAGGAAAGGAGAGCAGAAGAGGGGACCCGATGAGCAATCCTTACACCCTACCTGCAGTGTCGAAACAGCGTCCCGCCCACACACTTCCGGCAGAATCTCCCGAAGTCCACACCTCTCACTCCAGCCTGGACTTTGATGCTGTGGGCACGCCTCAGAGCCAGAAGTTTATGGCTCCCACCTGCTCAATCTGACAGGAAGCTTCTGCTCCCCAGTTCTCCCCAGCCACTGTGGTCTACAGATTCCAGGAAACCCATCCCCCTGTGACCTCATGGTGTGCTCTGTTCTCCACCCTAGGGACCAGAAGGAGCCAGGAGTAAAGAACTGGCTTACTTGGCCGCCACTGGGAAATTCTGGGTAATTCGAGACGCCCTGGAATTTGGACCCACTCCGCTGATAGGTGGTGGCCAGGGTTCTAGGGAACACAAGAGGCGGAGCCAGGTGGCTTCCCTGTGCTGGCATTCTTGCCTCTCTCTCTCTTTCTCTCTCTCTGTCTCTCAGCCTTGCAGCCGTTTCCCTCTGCGATTCATGTAAGTGTGACTCGATTTCAGGGAAAGGGAACTCGCGTGGGCTGAGGAGACCGGAGTGGACGGGCTGGGGAAGGCACCGTGATGCCCGCAACCCCGTCCCTGAAGGTGGTCCATGAGCTGCCTGCCTGTACCCTATGTGCGGGGCCGCTGGAGGATGCGGTGACCATTCCCTGTGGACACACCTTCTGCCGGCTCTGCCTCCCCGCGCTCTCCCAGATGGGGGCCCAATCCTCGGGCAAGATCCTGCTCTGCCCGCTCTGCCAAGAGGAGGAGCAGGCAGAGACTCCCATGGCCCCTGTGCCCCTGGGCCCGCTGGGAGAAACTTACTGCGAGGAGCACGGCGAGAAGATCTACTTCTTCTGCGAGAACGATGCCGAGTTCCTCTGTGTGTTCTGCAGGGAGGGTCCCACGCACCAGGCGCACACCGTGGGGTTCCTGGACGAGGCCATTCAGCCCTACCGGGTAAGAAGTGTAGCTTTACCTAGGGCCTGTTTGGGGCAGGATGATGTCCTGTTATGAGGGGAGGAAATCGGGCGGGGATCTGGATGAAAGGCTTCCACATCAGGGAACCCTAAGGTTACAGGGACTTTCGAGGCATTCCCAGACTGAAGGCAGATAGGGCTCCACTTGGATGTGTGGTAGTTCCTGGTCTGGGGGGAACTTCAGCTCCAGCTCTCAGAGGACCCCACAGAGGTGGAGTGCAAAGAACTGTAGCCTTGGCTTCACTCACTATGGAAAGAAAGCTCCAATGCCGAGTGGGATCTTCTGCAGATTATGGGCAGGGTAAACTTGTTCTCCCAGGATCCAGACTGGAAATGGGGTTTATAGGGCCCTGACTGCCAGGGCGCAGAGGGGAGGGAGGAGCTGGGAAGGGGAACCTGCTAGCACTGCTCTTCTTCTTGAGAAAGGGAGGGTGGCAGTAGTCCAGAATTGTGAGAATTCCCCATCTGGCCTTGGGGCACTTTCCTGTCAGCCTCTCAGATCTCTCTCTTGTCATCCAGTCACCAGGTCTGGAAGTGGTTACCTTAGAAACATCTCCCAAATCTTTAATTCTGCCTTATCCTCACAGCCAGGTTCTCCCTATCTCTTGCGCAGACTTTGCAGTCTCCATGGCATTTCCTGTCTCCATTCTCACCCTTTCCAGTCACCTTCCAATCTGCTGGGAGACAGATCCTCCTAAAACACAAAGTCACTCATCTGCACAAAATCCTCCCATGTATACCTAGTGCCCAAAGAAAGTCCAAGGTCTTTAGCAAGACATTCAAGGCCCTTTGCAGTCGGGATCCTTCCTCCCTGTCCGGCCTCATCGCTCAGCCTCCCTCCTCAAGGCACCACGTGTCTGGCCAGACTGAGCTGCACTTGCTGTTTTTTCCTGAGTTGTCTTATTCATTCCTGCTTCCAATACTTTTTGCACATAGTCTCTTCCTCCTAGAATACTCTTCTCCCTTCCTCCCACCTCTCTCTCTGTTTTTAAGTATACAATTCAGGGGCACTAAGTCCTTTTCTTTTTTTTTTTATTATACATGTTCTGGGATACATATGCAGAACGTGCAGGTTTGTTACATAGGTATATACGTGCCATGGTGGTTTGCTGCACCCATCAATCCATCATCTACATTAGGTATTTCTCCTAATGGTATCCCTCCCCTAGTCCCCCAAGCCCTGACAGGCCCCGATGTGTGATGTTCCCCTCCCTGTGTCCATGTGTTCTCATTGTTCACCTCCCACTTATGAGTAAGAACATGTGGTGTTTGGTTTTCTGTTCCTGTGTTAGTTTGCTGAGAATGATGGTTTCCAGCTTCATCCATATCCCTGCAAAGGACATGAACACATCTTTTTTATGCCTGCATAGTATTCCATGGCATATATGTGCCATATTTTCTTTATCCAGTCTATCATTGATGGACATTTGGGTTGGTTCCAAGTCTTTGCTATTGTGAACAGTGCTGCAATAAACATATGTGTGCATGTGTCTTTACAGTAGGATAATTTATAATCCTCTGGGTATATACCCAGTAATGGGATTGCCAGGTCAAATGGTATTTCTCATTCTAGATTCTTGAGGAGTTGCCACACTGTCTTCCACAACGGTTGAACTAATTTACACTCCCACCAACATTGTAAAAGCATTCTTATTTCTCCACATCATCTCCAGCATCTGTTATTTCCTGACTTTTTAATGATCACCATTCTAACTGGTGTGAGATGGTATCTCATTGTGGTTTTGATTTGCATTTCTCTAATGACCAGTGATGATGAGCTTCTTTTCATAGGTTTGTTGGCCACATAAATGTCTTCTTTTGAGAAGTGTCTGTTCATATCCTTCACCTACTTTTTGATGGGGCTGTTTGTTTTTTTCTTGTAAATTTGTTTAAGTTCTTTGTAGATTTTGGATATTAGCCCTTTGTCAGATGGATAGATTGCAAAATGTTTCTCCCATTCTGTAGGTTGCCTGTTCACTCTGATGATAGTTTCTTTTGCTGTGCAGAAGCTCTTTCATTTAATTAGATACCATTTGTCAATTTAGGCTTTTGTTGCCATTGCTTTTGGTGTTCTAGTCATGAAGTCTTTGCCCATGCCTATGTCCTGAATGGTATTGCCTAGGTTTTCTTCTAGGGTTTTTATGGTTTTAGGTCTTACGTTTAAGTCTTTAATCCATCTTGAGTTAATTTTTATTTCAGGTGTAAGGAAGGGGTCCAGTTTCAGTTTTCTGCATATGGCTAGCCAGTTTTCCCAACACCATTTATTAAATAGGGAATCCTTTCCCCATTGCTTGTTTTTGTCAGGTTTGTCAAAGATCAGATGGTTGTAGATGTGTGGTGTTATTTCTGAGGCCCTTCTTCTGTTCCATTTGTCTATATGTCTGTTTTGATACCAGACATATTTGATATCATATACTACAGCCTTGTAGTATAGTTTGAAGTCAGGTAGCATGATGCCTCCAGCTTCGTTCTTTTTGCTTAAGATTGTATTGGCTATGTGGGCTCTTTATTGGTTCCATATGAAATATAAAGTAGTTTTTTCTAATTCTGTGAAGAAAGTCAATGGTAGCTTGATAGGGATAACACTGAATCTATAAATTACTTTGGGCAGTATGGCCATTTTCACAATATTGATTCTTCCTATCCATGAGCATGGAATGTTTTTCCATTTGTCTGTGTTCTCTCTGATTTCCTTGAGCAGTGGTTTGTAGTTCTCCTTGAAGAGGTCCTTCACATCTGTGGGCACTAAGTCCTTTTCTCTCCCTCTCTATTCAACTGGAAATTTATCTTTCAAGGCACATTGTAAATGTTTTCTGCTTTCCAAACCTTCCCTTAGGCCTACAGGCAGAGCTGACCTCTGTGTTCCCATCTCACTGTGTGTACCCCTGGACTATTGCATTTATCTATCTGTATTTTAATCACTTGACATTGACTTCTTCCTGAGATGGTGGTCTCTTTAGGGCAAGGACTGGGCCTTTTCCACCTTTGAACCCCTCAGCACTCAACAGTGTGCCCAGGATGTGATAGTTAATAATTGTGAGTTGAATTATTAATTCAGTCACCTCTATCCACCCATTCTTCTCCCCACAGGATCGTCTCAGGAGTCGACTGGAAGCTCTGAGCACGGAGAGAGATGAGATTGAGGATGTAAAGTGTCAAGAAGACCAGAAGCTTCAAGTGCTGCTGGTACAGGCCACGTCACTGGCTACCTTTTCCTTTGAAGGTTTTCTTAAGAGACTCTGGGGAAACCCGTTGGCTGGTATCTGTTTCCTGGCTGAAAAGAACTGACAAACTGTTCTCGTTCACCTTCCTGTGGCTGCACAAAGGCATTTGGGATCTCAGACCATGAGCACTAGAAGTGGTTCTGATGTCTTGCAATCCAAGATCCATCTTGTATATCACATTTTACAGAGCAGAAAACTTAGGACCAGAAAAGCAATGCTCCCAAGGCCACATAGCAAAGCTGAAGTTCATGAGGAACCTGGATTTCTTGACCCTTAATTCATTGTTCTTTCCATCCTAGTCTGTTTGCCTGAACACACCACCTTCAGATGGGAAGCTTGGGGTCAAAAACATATGTTAGTGTCGGGATTCTAGTCCTGACTACAGGCTGACCTTGAGGAGAGTAGGCTGATGGTGTGGCTACATCTGGATCCCTCACGCCTCTCTTTTCATGCTATAAAGTTATGGAGGAATCACAGTGTGAGGATTTCTGGTACCTTGACCAAGGAGAGAGTGTGGGGACAAAGCAACCTATCCACCATCCCTCAGCTCTCATCAACGTATGCCCTGTAGTTGGTGATTTCCACGGCTAAAACCAAAATTACACACTCTCCCACTAAGTTGTGTTGACTCCAATCACAACTTCCTTTTGCCTCTAAGAAATTATTACAGTCTTCCCCACCTAACTCTAAGAAGGCATAGTAGGGTTATGATGGTATTGTAGTTGTGGAAATATTTTTGAAAAGTTCAACATCATTCTGAGAGCATAATGTAGCATTATTATTAGAGTATCTAGCTAAGACAGTAGCACAGCCCTCATCATTGGTAAGTTCATCCTGAGACCTAACTACTTCTAGGCATATTAGTAAATGGAATGAGTCTTGGACCAGTTGCTCCCTATCCCTGTTAATCAATAATAAGTATATAGATGATCATCCTGGAAGCTATCTCTGAGCCCCTTCCTAACCATGTCTGCCTTTTATCCCTTGAAGACTCAGATCGAAAGCAAGAAGCATCAGGTGGAAACAGCTTTTGAGAGGCTGCAGCAGGAGCTGGAGCAGCAGCGATGTCTCCTGCTGGCCAGGCTGAGGGAGCTGGAGCAGCAGATTTGGAAGGAGAGGGATGAATATATCACAAAGGTCTCTGAGGAAGTCACCCGGCTTGGAGCCCAGGTCAAGGAGCTGGAGGAGAAGTGTCAGCAGCCAGCAAGTGAGCTTCTACAAGTGAGAGACACTTCACCACTTTGTAGGATAAGAGAGGGACTCCACGGGGAAGGGGGTGGGCACCATGCTTTGGGCTGGAGAGAGGCAGGAAAGGGAAGTGGAGAGAGGTTAACGGGGTGCAGATCCAGAGGGGCTGGAGACTTGCCCAAGTCATACACTGTGGTCATGTTAAGGGGTTTAGGGTCAGACAGTCTTGGATTTGAATGTTGGCTCTTCCAATTGTGTGACTTGAGTGAGTCTCTTAGCCTCTCTAAACATGGGGACAGCAATAGCACCTCCCTCATAAAGTTATTGCAAAATTATAAGAAACAATCCATAAAAAATGCTTGGCATGATTCCTGATATACAGAAAGAACTCAATAACTGGTGTCTGCTATGGTTATGAATATGTGATCCTGGCTCACATCAGGTCCAGCTGATAACTGAAGGCAGGCCCCTGCTCTCTACCACCTCCTAATCATTGCAGACACAACCCACCCCCACGATAAGGCTGAAACAGGGAAACCAGCACAAATGAACTGACTACAGAAACCCAAATTAGTAAGAAAACATGATGTAAAAGAACAATCTAATGAGTAGGTAATTAAACAGGACAACTCTCTGCAGAAGGAGAGTTTTGAGTTCATATTTTAAGGGAAAAGTGATGTACAGAATCCCTGACAGGAAGGACTTATGGAAACTAAATGTATGTTCTTGTCTTTCTTTTGCAGGATGTCAGAGTCAACCAGAGCAGGTAGGGCCCACTCCCCGGTCCTGCCTCCTTTTACTCAACATCAAGACTGAATGGGAAGGGGCAGGGGCACTTACTGCCACCCACTTTGCCAGGAAAGCAAAGGCACTCTGGCAGACACACTGTCTCATTCAACTGTGCACAAACAGTCCAAACTCACTAAAGATTTGCGTTCTAAAGGTTCATTTTTAAATTGATTGGTTGGTATTGGGGACACATTTTTTCCCCTAGAAGTGAAGTTATAAATAATAATCATGTTTTTAGGTTGATCCAGGAACATTTATTTAATCTATGAAATTATTAGTACTTGAGTCAGTATCTAACACCATTTAAAATGTAATTTAAAGGGGGAATACTTTCTGTAGACTATGATAAGCATGGAAACCAGGAATACCAGCCTGTTCTTTCATTCATTCATTTTTTACACACATCTCTGGTTTCCTTCAGAATTTTCTAATGCTACTGTAAAAGGACAGCCACCAGGAGCCAGTGGCATTGTAAATGCATGGCCCTTTCCTTCCCTGTCTGCTATAAGCATTAGCAGTCTGCACTGAGATGAAGAGAGGTGTAGTGACTAGGGAACAATTGTCACGTGCTTTGTGCCTATTCCCGTGCAGGGAGGATAAACCCAGGGTCCATGAATCAGGAAGTGTCTCCAAACATGCTTTTCAAAGAGCATTAGAGGTTTAGATCTAGAAGGGCTTGGAGGTCTTCCAGTCTGAGGAAGAAACTGAGACCCAGGGGGTGAAGAGTCTTCAAGGTAATGCAGCAAGTGTCTAATGAGGACTGAGCTGGGACCAGAATCAGGAGTTTTTTTCATTGCAATATGTATTTTCGTTGATCCTTTTTTTTTCTTCCCTTCTAGCCTCTTTTCCTTTACAAATAGCAGCATACACAAGGGTAGTTTAAGGCTGTTTTCAAATGGTACCCTGTTGCCCTCTAGAGACCAAAAGGGGTAATGATCTCTGTCCCTCAGCCCCTACAGAACCAAACATTCTCCTAAAGGGGCTTACCTCCAATTCTTGAGAAGTGATTATCCTTAGTTCCTCTTAGGTTTAACTGAAATGCCTACTATTTTAGTAACTACACATTTCCAGCAAAAGTAAAGAAATGATACTCAATTTGATTATTCACCACAGACGCCAAGATCATTCTTTAGTCTGATTTTAGCCTCACGTGGTCTCACCCGAACATTTGTTTTTGGAATTTGGACCTAACTGGTTACCAAACCTGTCTGCAGGTGTGAGATGAAGACTTTTGTGAGTCCTGAGGCCATTTCTCCTGACCTTGTCAAGAAGATCCGTGATTTCCACAGGAAAATACTCACCCTCCCAGAGATGATGAGGATGTTCTCAGGTAAAGGGGAAGGCGCCACAGTTTTCCCCAGTCCCATTAGCTGCCCTCCTGTCTTCCACCCATCTCCATCCTTCTCTGCCCTTGAAACCTGGCTCGAGACATCTTCCCTCCCCAGAGCCTTCCCTTAGTGATCTCAATTTATTCAGGGGCACTATTCCCAGAGCATCTCCTCCACTCCCTAAGGACAGGTGCAGGACTGAGAGTCCAGGAGGGTGAGGACCCTTCTCCTCCACTAGACCACAGCAGAAGCCGAGTCTTCTGTCCTCATCTTCACATTGTACTCAAGTCACCTTGCCCCTGGGGGTGCCTATAAGAAGTAATAAGTCACAGATCTCTCTTTCTATTTCTGCTTCCCTCAGAAAACTTGGCGCATCATCTGGAAATAGATTCAGGTAAACAGCTTGGGATTTGGGGAGTCATTCTTCCATTCATCCATTCAATCCATGGCAGCAAACAGAGCAATAAAATGCATGAATTCTGGAGCTTGATTGCTTGAGTTCTCGATTCCAGTTCTTGCTAGCTCTGAGACACTGGGCAAGTTATTAAGCCTCTGTCCCACAATATTTTCTTCATCAGTAAAATGAAAATAAAAGTACTGTACCTGTCCCATAAGTAGCTGTGAGGACAAAATAAATTAATACATGCAAAGAGCTTAGTATATTACCTGACTCATAGTAAGTGCTCAATTAATGTCATCTACTTGTGTAGATATTACTCGTTGAAAAATACTTATCAAGCCCTAGTTTTTTGAGAGCATTGTGCTGGGCTCTCTACTGATTTGAACAAAAAATGTGCAATTTTTTAAAAATCACATTTATTTTTAAATTGGTGCTTAATTTAGAAGTTGTTTCCATAAGCATCACCTCACTCACTCTGGTATAGGTAAGTGCTTTTCAAACTTAATATGCAGAAACGTCTCCTAGGGATCCTGTTAAAATGCAGATTCTGATTTAGTAGGGTGGGATGGGGCCCAATATTCTGCATTTCTAACAAACACCCAGGTGGTGGGGATGCTGCTGGTCCCTCCCGCTGCACTTTGAGAAGCAAATCCTTAACAGCACCACTTGCTGATTAGGTAGAAGGGCGGTTCAGAGAAGTGGCCCAATGGCAGGCTGCCCAAGTCCAGTACTCCTTCTGCCTCCCACGTGCGTTGCCTGCTCTAGGAACATCTGTGGTTGCCGCCCGCTGTTGATGTCTGCGCGCTCCTCCCTCTAGGGGTCATCACTCTGGACCCTCAGACCGCCAGCCGGAGCCTGGTTCTCTCGGAAGACAGGAAGTCAGTGAGGTACACCCGGCAGAAGAAGAGCCTGCCAGACAGCCCCCTGCGCTTCGACGGCCTCCCGGCGGTTCTGGGCTTCCCGGGCTTCTCCTCCGGGCGCCACCGCTGGCAGGTTGACCTGCAGCTGGGCGACGGCGGCGGCTGCACGGTGGGGGTGGCCGGGGAGGGGGTGAGGAGGAAGGGAGAGATGGGACTCAGCGCCGAGGACGGCGTCTGGGCCGTGATCATCTCGCACCAGCAGTGCTGGGCCAGCACCTCCCCGGGCACCGACCTGCCGCTGAGCGAGATCCCGCGCGGCGTGAGAGTCGCCCTGGACTACGAGGCGGGGCAGGTGACCCTCCACAACGCCCAGACCCAGGAGCCCATCTTCACCTTCACTGCCTCTTTCTCCGGCAAAGTCTTCCCTTTCTTTGCCGTCTGGAAAAAAGGTTCCTGCCTTACGCTGAAAGGCTGAAGTGGGGCGCGCGAAGGGCGGCGAAGCGGAGACGGCGGCTCTCCGGGATCCAGCTCCGCCCCTGGCCAGTGTGCGGCCCGGGGGCTCCCTGTGCCCGCGTGAGGCGAGAGAACAGGGGACTTGAGTCTCGAACAGCGGTTGTTTTTACTTTATTTATCTTAGGCCCTCAGCTCCCTGACGTCCTGAGCCTCCCTGTGACGCTCTGGCCTTCTCTGCACCTCAGAGTGCAGAACCACAGACGGCTTCGGCTGTGCCTAGGGCAACAGCCAACCTAGGAGCCAGCGGGCTTTCGGGGAAAAAAAAGAAAAAGACATCTAAAATAAAATGTTTAAACTGTTTCAAAATAATTATCTTGGGAAAAATCAGGGTTTTGCTGGACTTGCACTAATTTGTACAGTCAACTTCGTACTTTGACACACACCTGAAGATGCCTCCACCTTTGTAGGGCTTAGGGCCTTTTTATCAGCCCTGGGTGGACCCCAGGGCCCCTTCCTTTCCCTTCCCTTCTGGTCATTTCTCTGGACTTGTAGAGAATGTCCTAAGAAAGTGTGACTCACAGACCTCTGGATTCCATGTGTCCAATTAGCGCTGATGGGACTGGAGAAAGGCTTAAATCCAATGGGATCTGCCTGTGTTGGCAATTTAGGGCCGAGATGGCTCGAGGGAGTAGATGCAGAGAGGAAGGGTGATGATCCCTCTGTGACCAAGACACAATCCTGTCCCTTCTTTTAGTCAGGATATCCCTGATGACAGACAGTGGGACAATCACCAGGCCCCATTGTTTAATAAAACGAGGCTTTTGCTCAGGTCTAACTAACCTCTCAAATATTTGTTATTACTGCAGTTATTATTTGGACACAGAAACAGACCACAGGTTAAAATAACTTTAAAAAGCAAAGTATTAATCCCTATACAAGTGATGTTTCCTTCCACCCCTACCCTTTCTCCTCTCAAGTTGAACACTCACATTCTCACCCTTCCACCCCAACCTCTGAAAAAAATCTGCCTTCAACTCCAATCCAGGTTCCCTGTAGTGTAAGACAATACCCTGTGTACAAGAACACTTTAGGGTCGGCACGGTGGCTTGCGCCAGTAATCCCAACACTTTGGGAGGCTGAGGCAGGTAGATCACTTAAGGTCAGGAGTTTAAGACCAGCCTGGACAGCATGGTGAAACCCTGTCTCTATTAAAAATATAAAAATTAGCTGGGCGAGATGGCAGGCGCCTGTAATCCCAGCTGCTCAGGAGGCTGAGGCAGGAGAATCACTTAAACCAGGGAGGCGGAGGTTGCAGTGAGCTAAGATCAAGCCACTGCATTCCAGCCCGAGTGACGGAGTGAGACTCCATCTCAAAAAAACAAAAAACAAAAAACAGGCTAGGCGCGGTGGCTCACGGTGGTAGGCCGAGGCAGGTGGGTCACCTGAGGTCAGGAGTTTGAGCCTGGCCAACATGGTGAAACCCCATCTCCACTAAATATACAAAAATTAGCTGGGTGTGGTGGCAGACCAGCTACTTGGGAGGCTGAAGCAGGGGAATCACTTGAACCCAGGAGGCAGAGGTTGCAGTGAGCTGAGATTGTACCACTGCACTCCAGCCTGGGTGACAGAGTGAGACTCTGTCTCCAAGAAACAAACAAACAAATAAAACAAAGAACATCTTCATTATTGCGTAAGCCCTGCTCCTAAAGCATGGGTCAGATGTTTTAAAAGCACTCAAAGAGTTTGGACCATATGTGAATTTTATTTAAAAATTGTAACATGAATCAATGTGATGTGAATAATTAACCCTAACTTGACTGTTGGGGAAATAGAGGTTCTTGATATAAAAGAAGCCAGACAATGTGGGGTTTCTTCTGCCCCCCAGTGTGGTGAGCAGAGCCATCCTTATCTGACCCAAGTGGCTTGGTAGTCCAACCTAGTAGTAGTAGTAGTGGTAGTAGTAGTAGTATTGCCCAATGCTTATTATAAAAGTTGTATATGCTCATGGTTAAGAAAATTCAAACATTTTCAAAGTGTATAAATAAAAACCTCTTTCCCCACCCACTCAACACTTCCCCTTGCCACTCCCCATAGTTAAACATTGATATCAATTTTTTGTATATCCTGCAAGTTTTGAATACAAATATATATTGCTTTCTCTTTTTTTTACATAAATTAGATTATGCCATAAGTATTCTTTGCAACCCCTCCAAAAGAAAAACTATGTGCAACACATGCTAATTGTACCATTGGTCAAATTTGTTTTAATTATATCTTCATTTGAACCTTACAACAAGCCTGTGAAATACATAAGACCTATTTTGTTTTTCTCATGTGGTGGTTGAGAAAACTGGCACACAGTTAAATGAACTTGTCTAACAATTTTCACAGCTGGTCCTTGTGACCTGCTGAAGTAGAATCTACCTGTCCTGGAGCTCAGTGCAGTCACATTTCCACCACACTCAGACTTCTAAAACAGACACATCCCAATGGGGCTATGTTTCATTTGCTACCCATTGAATTCATGTTTTAGACAGGGCATTTTTGGTTTCATATGAAACAGAAAAAAAAAAAAAAGAACCGATGAACCATAAGCACACTGTATTTCCAAGTCTCTGGTACTTCTAATTTTAGAGTGGTCCAGATAATTTAAAAGTGTGGATATGCACATTTGGAGGCTTTGTGCCTATATTAATAAATTGTTCTGCATAAGAAAGGAAAGAGAAATTTAGAAGCCAAAAGAAATTTGGGAGTGGCTAAGACCTCAGGGTGAGGACTGAGAGCTGCCTGAAGGAAAAGCAGAGGAAAATTATTCATTTGGTGGTCCAGCTGGAGCCACAGGATGGCTGTGTTCCTGTGTTTGTGATGTAAAACTGTCCTCTATCTCCCCTACAAGATCCTCTGCACAACCTGCCTTGCCCCTAATGCTTTTTGTAGGTGTTCCTGAATTCCAAGTGCTGAGTTCTGTCCACTACTGGGCAGGAGGCAAAGAGATCCCACAAAATAATTGCTGGGCTGCTGGACTATGTGAGGAGCAGTCACACTGATGTGCCTCGGAGAACCAGAGGGGTTATTGTAAGGACCAAGGTGGGACCTATAAGGGAATCTCTCTGGAGCCCAGGAACCGTGATGACAGTGAGCTGGTTGTAATGGGAACTAGAGCCTAGGCAGATGCATTGTCTCTCTGGTCGGCTTACTTTGCTCTGGATGTGGGGCCCATTCTCCTGTCTATAAGGAAGCTTCCTAGCTCTACTCATGGCCTTTATTTTCTTTTTCATTTTCAGTTCTTTCCTTCTTTCAGACTTCCAGTGTAGAGTGTTGACTCAGTCATACCTCTCAGTTCTTGGAACACTATCATCATCAGTCCATGCAAGGTCTTCTGGTTTTATTTGTATTTTCTCCTCTCTCCCCAATTTTTATTCCCATTCTCCTCACTCCCAAAGGCAGCTACTCCCTAATGTTTTTCTTTTTTAAAAAATTTTTCAACTTTTAAGTTCAGGGGTACATGTGCAAGATGTGCAGGTTTGTTACATAGGTAAATGTGTGCCATAGTAGTCAGCTACACAGATCATCCTATCACCCAGGAATTAAGCCCAGCACCCATTAGCTATTCTTCCTGATCCTCTCCCTCCTCCCACCCCCGCCCTCCAACAGGGCCCAGTGTGTGTTGTTCCCCCCGCCTCCTGCCATGTGTCCATATGTTCTCATTATTTAGATCCTACTTATAAGTGAAAACATGCTGTATTTGGTTTTCTGTTCCTACTTTAGTTTGCTAAGGATAACAACCTCCAGTTCCATTCATGTCCCTGCAAAGGACATGATCTCATTCCTTTTTATGGCTGTAAAATATTCCATGGTATATGTGTACCACATTTTCTTTATCCAGTCTATCATTGATGGGCATTTAGTTTGATTTCATATCTTTGCTATTGTGAATACTACTGCAATGAACATACACATGCATGTATCTTTATAGAGAACGATTTCTATTCCTTTGGGTATATACCCAGTAAATGAGATTGCTGGGTTGAATGGTATTTCTGCCTCTAGGTTTTTGAGGAATTGCCACACAGTCTTCCACAATGGTTGAACTAATTTACACTCACACCAACAGTGTTAAAAGCATTCGTTTTTCTTCACAACCTTGCCAGCATCTGTTGCTTTTTGACTTTTTAGTAATAGCCATTTTGACTGGTGCGAGATAGTATCTCATTGTAGTTTTGATTTGATTTTCACCTATAACCATCTGATATTTGACAAACCTGACAAAAATGTCTCTAGTAGCAAGTATTACTAATCTATTAATTACTAAACTCCCTTTAATCCAAGAGTATTTGTTCTTTGTGCTCAGGATTTCTTTGGCTATTTGGGCTTTTTTTGGGAGGGGGGGGTTGGTCCATATGAATTTTAGGATTTTTTTTTCAAATTCTGTGAAGAATGATGTTGATATTTTGTTAGGGATTGCATTTAATCTGCAGATTACTTTGAACAATATGGTCATTTTAATGATGTTGATATTCCTTCTAATCCATGAGCATAAGGTGTTTTTCCATTTGTGTTGTTTTGAATTTCTCTCAACAGTATTTTGTAGTTTTCCTTGTAAAGATCTTTTGCCTCCTTGGTTAAATTCAATCCTAAATTGTTTTTGGTAGCAAAAATTTCTAAATGAGATTGCCTTCTTGATTTCTTTGTTGGCTAAATCATTACTGATGTAAAGAAATGCTACTGACTTTTGCATATTAATTTTGTAGCCTGAAACTGTACTGAACTCATTTATCATATCTAAGAGTTTTTTGGTGAAATCACACATTGTGTTTCTTTCTTTTGCCTGATCCTTATAGCTAGGATTTTAGTACTATGTTGAATAAGAGTATTGAGAGTAGACATCCTTGCCTTGTTCCAGTGCTTAGAGGAAAAGCTTTCCACTTTTCCTCATTCAGCATGTTAGCTATGGGTTTGTTACATACAGCTCATTTGAGTTTGAGGTTTGTTCCGTCTATGCCTAGTGTGTTGTATGTTTTTATCTTAAAAGAATGTTAAATTTTATCAAATGCTTTTTCTGCATCTATTAAGATGATCATATGGTTTTTGTTCTACATTCTATTGATAATATGTATCATGCTTATTTATTCATATTGAAACATCTTTGCATCTCTACTATAAATCCCACTTGATTTTGATGTAGTATTTTTCGATGTGCTGTTGGGTTTGGTTTGCTAGTATTTTGTTGAGGATTTTTGTATCTATCTATGATTTTGTATCTATGTTCATTAGGGATATTGACCTATAATTTTCTTTTTGTTGGTGTTGTGGTGTATCTGTCTGGTTTTAGTATTAGGGTGATGCTGACCTCATATAATTAGTTAGGGAAAATTCCTTCCTCTTTGACTTGTTTGAACAGTTTCAGGAGGATCGGTATTAGTTCTTTGTATGTTTAGTAGAATTCAGCTGTTAATCCCTCCAGTCCTAGGCTTTTCTTCTTTGAGAGACTTTTAATTACTGATTCAATCTTGCTATTAATTATTGGTCTGCTCAGGTTTTCTATTTTTTTCTGATTCAGTCTTGGTAGGTTGTGTGTTTCCAGGAATTTATCCACTTCCTCTAGATTTTCCAATTTTATCTAGTTGTTTATAACCGTCTCTGATGATCTTTAATATTTCTGTGATGTCAGTTGTAATGTCTCCTTTTTCAATTCTGATTTTGTTCATATGGGTCTTCTGTCTTCTTGGTTAGTCTAGCTAGTAGCTTATCAATTCTGTATATCTTTTCAAAGAACCAATTTTTCATCTCATTGATCCTTTGTATTTCTTTAAGTCTCTACTTTCTGCTCTGATCTTTATTATTTCTTTTCTTCTGCTAATTTGGGGTTTGGTTTGTTCTTGCTTTTCTAGCTCCTTCAGGTACATTGTTGGATTGTTAATTTGTAATCTTTCTACTTTTTTAATGTAAGCATTTATTGCTGTAAACTTTCCTCTTAGCACTGCCTTTGCTGAATCCCACAGGTTTTATGTTTCCATTTTCATTTGTTTTTAGATTTTTTTTTTAATTTTCATCTTAATTTCTTTTTTTTTTTTTTTTTCCAGATGGAGTTTTGCTCTTGTCTCCCAGGCTGGAGTTCAATGGTGTAAACTCGGCTAACTGCAACCTCCACCTCCCGGGTTCAAGCGGTTCTCCTGCCTCAGCCTCCCAAGTAGCTGAGATTACAGGCGCCTGCCACCACGCCCAGCTAATTTTTTTGTATTTTTCACAGAGACAGGGTTTCACCATGCTGGCCAGGCTGGTCTCGAACTTCTGACCTCAGGTGATCCATCCGCCTCAGCCACCCAAAGTGCTGGGATTACAGGTGTGAGCCACCATGCCTGGCCTTCTATCTTAATTTGTTCATTGACCCAATGGTCATTCAGGACCATGTGGTTTAATATCTATGTATTTGTATAGTTTCCAAAGTTCCTCTTGGTATTGATTTCTCATTTTATTCTATTGCAGTCTGAGAAAATATTTGATATGATTTTAATTTTTAAAAATTTATTGAGACTTGTTTTGTCACCTAATATATGGTCTATGTTGGAGAAGGTTCCATGTTCTGATGAAAAGAATATATATTCTGCAGTTGTTGAATAGAATGTTCCGTAAATGTTAGGTTCATTTGGTCTAAAGTCCAGTTTAAATCCAATGTTTCTCTGTTGATTTTCTGTCTAGATAATCTGTCTAATGCTGAGCATGAGGTGCTAAAGTCCCCCACTATTATTGTATTCCAATCTGTCTCTCTCTTTAGAGCTAGTAATATTTGCTTTATGAATGTGGGTGCTCTGGTGTTTGGTGTATATATATTTAGAACTGTTGAATCTTCTTGCTGGATTGATCCCTTTATCATTATATAATGACATTTTTGGCTTTTTTTTTTCACAATTCTTGACTTAAAGTCTGTTGTATCTGATATAAGTATAGCTACTCCTTCTCACTTTTTGTCTCCATTTGTATGGAATATCTTTTTCCATCCCTTTACTTTGTCTATATTTGTCTTTACTGGTAAGAAACTTTACTGAGTTTCTTGAAACAGCTTACAGGTGTATTATCTTTTTAAATAAATCCAGCCATTCTACATCTTTCAAGTAAAGAATTTATTCCATTTACATTCAAGATTATTATTGATATATGAGACTTTGTTCCTGTCATATTGTTGTTTTCTGATTGTTTTATATATTCTTTGTTCCTTTCTTCTTGTTTGTCATTGTGGTTTGGTGGATTTCTGTAGAGGCACCATTTGAGTCCTTTCTCTTCTTCCTTTGTGTGATTGCTTTACTAGCGAGTTTTATACTTTTGTGTGTTTTTATGATGGTAAATATCATCCTATCACTTCCAGGTTTAGGACTCCCTTGAGCATTTCTCGTAGGACTGATCTAGTGGTAACAAATTCCCTCAGTATTTGCCTGTCTGGGAAAGACTTTATTTCTTTTTCCTTTATACTTTAATTTGGCTGGATCTAATATTCTTGGCTGACAGTTATTTTCTTTCATCATTTTGTATATACCATCCCATTATCTTTTGGCCTGTAGGGTTTCTGCAGAGAAATCCACTGTTTGTTAGTCTGATGAGTTTTCCTTTTAGGTGACTAGGCACTATTCTGTTGCTATTTTTAGAATTTGCTCTTTATTTTGACTTTAGACAGTCTAATTATAATGTGCTATGGAGAAGACCCTTTGCATTGCATCTGCCTGGGAAACATTGAGCCTCCTATACCTGCATGTCCAAATCCCTTGCTAGGCTTGGAAAGTTTTCATCTATTATTTCATTATATAGATTTTCTAATCCTTTCATTTCTTCATCATCCTCGGGGATACTAACAATTCATATATTCAGTTGCTTTATGCTGTCCCAAATATCATGAAGGCTTTGCTAATTTTTTTATCTAGGCAAAGTAAATTGAATTTTTTAAAATTATTTTTTCTTTATTTTTGTCTGACTAGGTTATTTCAAAAGAGCTGCCTTCAAGCTCTGAGACTCTTTCTTCTCCCCAATCTAGTTCTATTGTTGAAGCTTTCAAAGGTATTTTGTATTTCCTTTAATAAATTCTTCATATCCAGATTTTCTATTTTTCTTTTAAAAAACAATCTATTGCTTTATTAAATTTCTCATTCATATCCTACATTATTATCTTTTTTCTTTCTATTGTTTTTCAGAATTCTCTTATATATCACTGAGTTTCTTTTTTTTTTTTTTTTTTTTTGAGATGGAGTCTCACTCTGTCACCCAGGCTGCAGTGCAGTGGCACGATCTCAGCTCACTGCAAGCTCCGCCTCCCGGGTTCACGCCATTCTCCTGCCTCAGCCTCCCGAGTAGCTGGGACTACAGGCACCCACCACCACACCCAGCTAATTTTTTCTATTTTTAGTAGAGACGGGGTTTCACCGTGTTAGCCAGGATGGTCTCAATCTCCTGACGTCGTGATCCACCCACCTCGGCCTTCCAAAGTGCTGGGATTACAGGCATGAGCCACCGTGCCCAGCCTACTGAGTTTCTTTAAAATCAGTACTTTGAATTCTTTATCTAGAATTTCATGAATTTCTTTCTGATTGATAACTGTAGCTGGAGAGGTATTGTGTTCCTTTGTTGGTGTCATATTTCTTTGTTCTTTAGTTTTCTGTGTCCTTACATTGATATCTGCACATTTAGTTGCAACAGTCACTTCTTCCATTTTTGAAATTGCTTTCATAGGGGAGGATTTTTTTCCTGAAGATTTTACGTGTTGTTTGTTGAGTAGGGTGCTTTGGCTTTGATTTTGAGTGCCTATAGTAGTGTGATCCCTGTATGATTTATTTGGCAGTATACAACATCAGTGGTATCTGTGACTTCCTCATTGACTTAAGGTGCACTTATTAGTGAAGGCTGTGGTGAAGTTTGGCTGGGAACTAAGATGCTAGGTGGGCCAGTCTTCAGGCCCTAGTGATGGCAGCGGTGGGTTGAATGAGCCTGTGCTAGGGCCCACAGAGTGGCTTAAACTGACAACAGCGTTAGTGGGTCTTGGAGGGCCAATTATTGGGCCTTCAGGTGACTTGCTCAGATGCTAGCAGTGGCAGCAGTGGGCCAGACATGTGGGCAACTTCTCAGGCTCCTGGGCAGCTGGTGTGAAATGGGTAATGGCAGTAGCAGTGGTGGAACAACCTGCTAGGACCCAAGCAGTCTGTGCTGGTGTTGGTGGTGGCTGTGACAAGTTGGGCAGGCTAGTACCCTGACCCACTGGTAGCATGTGTGGGTGGGTGTCAGTTGTGGTGGTATTGGTAGATTGAGTTGGACTGACCTCAGATCCTGACAGGAATGATTCAGATGCCAGTGGTGGTAGATTGGGCTGGGCAATTTCCGGGCCCCTGGATGATGTGCTTGTGTACTGGGGGGATGGGATCAGGCCAGCAGACCTGTCCTCAGGGCCCCCTGCAATGCATTCAGGTGCTAGCTGTGATAGACAAGAGATGGAGAGGTCCCCAGACCACTGGCAGAATGCTCAGGTGTGGGCTGGCTGTGGTGGCTGCACTGTAGTCCTGCAACCAGGGAAGGCAGGGCCACTCTCAGCTGGCGCATCATGAGCAAGTAGCTGTGGGAAGTGTCATCTGCTCACACCTTTGTCCACACCAGCCCATAGCAGCAGTGGTGGGATTTGTCCTAGGAACGTGCGGAAGTGCCCCGTCTCTACTCTCCCTCCTCAACTTAGCCTTGGCTTGGCGGCAGCAGCCCCAGCCAGGCCCAGGGGCAGAATGCAGACCCGGGTGGTTGAGCTCTCAGAATAATGACTACAGGTTTGCCACCGGGAGGGCAGGACCCCTCTCAGGTGGAAGAGCAAGGACAAGTAGCCACAGGGAGTGCAGTCTTCTCAAGCCCTGGTCTCACAGCAGCCTGTAGCAGTGGCGATGGGATTTGTCCAGGGGGGTGCATGGGAGTGCTCAGTCTCCCATCTCTTTTTTGCCAGGTGGCAGCAGTAGCAGCAGCAACAGCAGCGCCACATCAGTCCGGCCTCAGGTCAAGACTTATGTGATAGGCATTATTCTGGGTACTTGGGATGCATCAGTTTTTAAAAAGTTTCTTTTTAAAGCTCATGCCTGTAATCCCAGCACTTTGAGAGGCCAAAATAGGTGGATCACCTGAGGTCAGGAGTTCATGAACAGCCTGGTCAATATGGCAAAACCCCGTCTCTTCTAAAAACACAAAAAAATTAGCCAGACATGGTGGTGTGCGCCTGTAGTCCCAGGTACTTGGGAGGCTGAGGCAAGAGAATCGCTTGAACCTGGGCAGCGGAGGTTGCCAGTAAGCCAAGATCATGCCACCGCACTCCAGCCTGGGCAACAGAGCGAGACTCCGTCTCTATTAAAAAAAAAAGAGAAAATCTATGGCTCTTTCTGTTCTCCCATAACCATACTCTAAATGCACTCTTTCTGTACCCAGTTTGTCCCTGCTTTAGGACTTTGCTGTTCCCTCTAGCTGATGTGATCTTAGACCTTCCCTCTCACCATTCTGATTTCAGCTCTCATGCCATCTTTTCAGGGAACTCCCTTCTGATCACACATTATAAAATAGATACTAGGTCACTATCTATCACAGACTTATTTCACTTCCTTGCATAGTGCTAATTACTTTTTTTTTTTTCAATTTTAACATACTGCCTGTCACCATTTGCTGGAATATAACCTCCAAGAGTGCAGAACTTTGTTAACCTTATCACTGTTGTAACCTAGAAACATCCTGGCACATCACGGGTACTTAATAAATGAATTCAGGAGACATATGAAGCCTGGAGATAACAGATTTGAGAGAATACAGAAAATAGGAGGAAAAGTCAACAAGAAATAATTCAGGCAGGGCACAGTGGCTCACGCCTGTAATTCCAGTACTTTGGGAGGCTGAGGTGGGAGGATCACTTGAGCCCCAGAGCTCAAGGCCACAGTAAGCTACGAGTGCACCATCACTAGAGCCTAGGTGACAGAGTAAGACCATGTCTCTAAAATAATAAAAATTCAGCCAGTTGTGGTGGCTCACACCTGTAATCCCAGCAAGGCAAACACAAAATAGTTTGCTGAAAGGTATGAACTGGGTCTTTGGAGGGAGGTATGGGGCAGGGAAATGTTCCTATTTGTAAGAAGCACTGTAGAAAGTTTACCATATGTGCAAGTAGAGTTATACAAAATGAAAAACTATGAATATAAAAAATAAAAAGGGAAAATTTACATGAGCCCACAACTTAGAGAACAGAGAGGAAATATGCTCTTTGCCACTAGCGTAATTTTACAGGTAGTTTCGTATAATCCTCCCTTTTCCATCTTTAAGATGGCAATTTAAAAAATCAGAAAGGACTGCTGGGCGCGATGGCTCACGCCTGTAATCCCAGCACTTTGGGAGGCCGAGGTGGGTGGATCATGAGGTCAGGAGATCAAGACCAACCTGGCTAACATGGTGAAACCCCGTCTCTACTAAAAATACAAAAAAATTAGCCGGGCGTGATGGCGGGCGCCTGTAGTTCCAGCTACTCGGGAGGCTGAGGCAGGAGAATGGCGTGAACCCGGGAGGCAGAGCTTGCAGTGAGCCGAGATGGCGCCACTGCACTCCAAACTGGGAGACAGAGTGAGACTCCATCTCAAAAAAAAAAAAAAAAAAAAAAAAAAAAAAAAAAAAATCAGAAAGGACAAGAAAAACAGTTGACTGTGTTAGGATGCAAGGCTGAATCTCTGCACATTCTATTTCCTCTGAGGCAGTGCTTATTTTCCAAGGAAGAATTTTTGGGTGTGCTATACTGGAGGTCTCCCTTCTCAGGGAGAGTCATCACTTGCTCCAAAACGCTGGACCTCAGCTCAAGGGCACCACTGCAGGAGGAATAAAAAGGTGGAGCCACGCAACAACTCGTCTGTGTTCCGCAGTAGGCTCTTTTTGAGGGACTTCCAGAAATGACAGCATGTGTGCAGAGAACAGAAAGCAAAGTTACACTGTTACAGAAGGCACAGAAGGAAAACCTTCGGCTACTGCTATCAGTGGAATTTCTCTGTAGCCAGACTGAGGTCTGGTGGCATTTGAGATATAATATAGATATAGACCTACAAATACAGATCTCCAGGCTGTTCATTCAACAAGTCTTTATTGAGCACCTACTCTGTGCCCAGCACTGCACTAGGTGCCATGAGAATACAAGAGTAGTATAAGATGTTATCCGCCCTCCAGGAGCTTACAAAACTAGAGGCAGAAATAAGATGTACATGTGACTCAGGCAGCATGTGACACACACAAAGTGGGCAGCTCTGAGACAATGGTGGTCAAGTGACCACTGAGGCCCAGAGCCGTTGGAACAGTCTCTTAGAACAGGGTGGAGGACTTAAAACTTGGATGAACAGGGGCTGGCAGAGCACTTGGAATGGGTAAGGACAAGACTGGGAGATCAATTTGGCTGGAGCAGGGGAGCTTGTGTTAAACTGTGATGATGAGGGGCACCTGGACAGAGGTTGGGTCCGTGGGCAATGAGAAGACATGTTACTCCCTCTCTTGACATGAAGACCTGGTGGGCTTGTGGCCTCCTGCTGCCTTCCTTTCCCTGTCTTCCCATCTCCACTCTCTCCTAGGAAAGTGGAACCTGGATGCTGGTAGGGCCAGAGACAGAGGCTTAACACCCTGCTGGGGAACCCGGTCAGAACTCCCGAGGCAGGAGAGGTTCTGCTCCACTGGATGTTTGTCTTGGTGTTTTTGGATGTGCTGATCAAGAGCAAGATGTTCTGGATTCTTAAAACTCCCCTCACAAGGACCAATCTAGAGATAATTTATTGATCAGTGATCACAGCTTGTACCCCAAAGCCGTGTATGTCTGGATCCTTCCCTAAGACCACAGATAGCTCCAGGGAGTCCCACCTCCTTGGCTATGGAAATATGCTCAGCCCTGGTTTCAGAGAAGCCTGGACTCCACTCTGGACCCCATGAGATGATATGCGCTGGTACTCCAGGCTTTAAATGGCCTGGGAAGCCTCAGTGGATTTTGTTTATTTTCAGCATTGCCATGTATGCTTAACTCTGAGTTGGGGTGGGGTAGGTCTGTTTAAAATGCCAGGGAAGGTGGGCAGCAGAGTGGATTTGTGCAAGAAGGAACCTGGGGGGTTTAAGGACAGCAAAATGATCTTAGGCGTAATTGACTGGTTTTTCTGAGGTCTTGCCACACTGGGCAAGAAAATGCTGCATCGGGCCCTTATTCCAGAGAGTGCAGAGCTGGGGCCAAGGTCGTGGTCAAAAAGGAAAGGAGCCCTCATGGACTCCAGGGTCAGAAGTTCCCTCGGGAAACCAGCAGGAGGTGGGAAAAGAGCCCCATTAGGGCAGTAGATGGAGCAACAGCACTGAGTGAGATTTCAGGGGGCCACAGCAATGGGGAGGTGGCTACCAGTGGATATGGGGTCCCCTGCTCCAGGTGCTTAGGCCAGGCATCCCGTCCCCCCATTGAGAGTCCTGGAATTCCAAAGAAGTGAAGCATCTGAGGGTTGGGGCTGGGGGCAGATGTCAGGGCTCAGGGTCTTAGCAGGAGGCGTGTTCCTGGCCACTTGAGCCACAGGAAGGGGACCAGGCGCCGGGTGAAGGTGGCAGTGAAGGTGTAGATGAGTTCCTGTGACTCTGCGTTGGTGAAAGTCACGGTGCCCCCTTCATAATCCAGGGCGATGCCCACTCTCCGGGGCCGCAGTGCTGGGAAAAGCTCAGCCTCGGGGCTGGTGTTGGCCCAGATGCCGGAGGAGGAGAGGCGCAGCGCCCACACGCCATCCTCTGGCCGCAGGGAGAGGTCTCCCTTCCTCTTCACAGAGTCTCTAGCCACCCCCACCATGCAGCTTTCCAGAACTTCCTCCTCTTCCTCCTCCTCTTCTTCCTCTTCATCGCCCAACGATTCCTCATCTTCGTCCGTTTCCCAGTCGTCATATCCATCCCCATAGCCGGCCTCCTCTTCCTCCTCCTCCTCTTCTCCCTCTTCCTCCTCATCCCCCTCTTCTTCATCCTCAGACCAGCCCTCCCTCTCCACTTCCACTTCCCAGTAGACCTTGCCCCAGGTGAAGCCCTTGCTGCCTAGCACCCCAGGCTCACAGTCAAACTGCTGGGGGTGCAGGTAGGCACTCTTGTACAGGCTGGTGTAGGTCACGCACTTCCAGTCCTCTGACAGCTGCAGGTACCCACTGGCCGACTGTGGGTCCAGGGTGACGCTCACTGTGGGGACAAGGGAAAAAAAAAAAAACAGCATCACTGTTTTGTTTTGTTTTTTAAGTCAGAGGGAATAAAATTTATTTTGGCAGATAGCGTTAAACAAAATTAAAGTTGCATACATTAGTAATATAACTCAACATCCTTAATTTGGTATAAGTGTGACACATTTTCTGGCTTTGTATTCTGCTAAATCACCATAACTAAACTGCTTTATAAACATGATATACTGAAATTTAACTTGACTGTTTTCGCTTACGCTCTGATTCCAAACAAAACTTTTCATAAGCTTCCTCTATCTCTGGATCTCTGGGTCCAACTCATCATTAATATCATCCAAGTGTGGATCACCAGTCCCTGAAAAATCTGTTCCATTTTCTTCATAATCCAGAAAAAAAGTCCTCTTTTTCAAGTAACTCTTGATATGCTTCTTGGTAATCCGGATCAGCTGCAGTGAAAGGAACACTATGAAACACAATAACTATGTGAATGACCACTATAAAATGTTGGTTCATTCACATAGTAATTGGGATCTTTTTTGGCTGTTGTATTTCTGTATGATGAAGTTGCATGGACTCTACCCCAATTACTGCACTGGAGTTCTACAAGCTTCAAGAGCATCTGTTTCATGTCTCTGCCACAGCTTGCATCTATAACAACATTTTCAATTTCCTGAATAATTTCTTCCATATCAGTCCTTCCTTTTCCTTCCAAGCATCTTCCAAAACTGACCCTGTCAACTTCAGCAATTTTATTGCACAAATTAAGCTGTCATCCACGGGATTAGAAAAGAGGGCATTCAGGCATTCGGCAACTCCTGAAGACCAACCTGAAGAATATCTGCCCTTGTAACCTGTCCATTTGTTCCTCTGATCTCCAGGTTATGATAAAGCTCTCCCAGAAAGGGTACAAATGCATGAAATTGTTTTGGAGTAACTTCATCCCCTTTTGCAGCTTGATCTTTAATGTCATATTCAGTCCGACATCTTTGAAGTAGAAATTGGCGGAAGGTGCTACTCTCTGTGCTAACTGTCAGATGATGTCAGGTAATTACACAGGTGAGCTCCCATGTAAGAGAAATTTGGGGCTGGGCACGGTGGCTCACGCCTATAATCCCAGCACTTTGGAAGGCCGAGGCGGGTGGATCACAAGGTCAGGAGATCGAGACCATCCTGGCTAACATGGTGAAACCCCATCTCTACTAAAAATACAAAAATTAGCCGGGCATGGTGGTGGGCACCTGTAGTCCCAGCTACTTAGGAGGCTGAGGCAGGAGAATGGCGTGAACCTGGGAGGCGGGGCTCGCAGTGAGCTGAGATCACACCACTACACTCCAGCCTGGAAGACAAAGCAAGACTCCATCTCAAAAAAAAAAAAAAAAAAAAGGCCGGGCGCGGTGGCTCACGCCTGTAATCCCAGCACTTTGGGAGGCCGAGGCGGGTGGATCACGAGGTCAGGAGATCGAGACCATCCTGGCTAACACGGTGAAACCCCGTCTCTACTAAAAATACAAAAAATTAGCCGGGCGAGGTGGCGGGCGCCTGTAGTCCTAGCTACTCGGGAGGCTGAGGCAGGAGAATGGCGTGAACCCCAGGAGGCGGAGCCTGCAGTGAGCCGAGATTGCGCCACTGCACTCCAGCCTGGGCGACAGCGAGACTCCGTCTCAAAAAAAAAAAAAAAAAAAAAAAAAAAAAAAAGAAATTTGGGACAGATGTGGCCTCTGAGTTCCACAAGTTCTTGCAAAGCATCATCTGTTGTAACACAAGCATTCAGGGTCTCTGTAAACTGTTCAATTTCAGTTTCAAAACTACCAGCCTGCTCTGTAAGATGGTTCAAGAAACCCTGAACAGGTACTGACAGAGTGGGATAATCCTCACCATCATCCTCATAGGATTCTCTATAATTAGAATAACCTGATAGGTAAAATTTGACGGTATTCACAGACAGCTCAGACATTAATAAAGAAGCTACAACCACCTAAGGTTTAACCA
This sequence comes from Homo sapiens, assembly GCF_000001405.40. NCBI lineage: Eukaryota > Metazoa > Chordata > Mammalia > Primates > Hominidae > Homo > Homo sapiens. The sequence continues at coordinate 1,444,416 of NT_167245.2, forward strand.
CTGCTAACTCAGTTCTGCTATGGGATTTTATCCTGTGAACTAGATGAAGCTCTCAGGGCCTCGTTTGCTCCCAGACAGGCCGACCTCCTCAATGGTTCTCACGAAAGCAAGTGTGAAAGTGAGCCAGGAGGAGACCACCAGTCTTCACAATCCAAGGGGCACCATTCACATCTTGGTCTATGTGGATGGCGCTCCTTGGTGGTTGGTATGCAGTGTACAACCTAACTGCAGGGCTGAGAGGGGGCACAATAGTGGGGCCTGTGGTGGATATGGCCTCTGGTCTTAGGTTGCCCCTGCTGTTTGCTCTGAATATAGGAGCCATGCAGCCAGGAAGATGAGAGAAAGCTCGGCCACAGGAAAAGGACTGGTGGTAGGACCTGTGAGGATAGGAAAAAGAAAAGCAAACACAGGGCAGAGAAGGATCAGACTAGCAAGCAGAGGCCTCTACTGCAGACTAAAGAGTAGGCTGATTAGAAAGTGCAAAGAGGGAGGGGGGCTTCTATTGTGCAGCTGGGAAATTCTTCCTGTTGCAAAAGGGGCTACCTGGGGGAAAAGTGAGCAGTCAGAATCTCTGCAGGCGGAGTTTTCTATATTTGATGTACATCTGGGAAACACCCTCTAGACACTCACCTGTCTTATATTCCAAGTCTCTCAGCAGCTTCCCTGGGGAGAAAAAAGGACAGCAATGACTCAAGTCCCGAAAATTTATGAGCCCATTTCTTGCTCGGGCAGTATCAATTTCCTGATAGGGATCCATGTCTAAGACAAGAGGCCCTCAGAAGAGTGAGGATCGACAAGGTGATGGAAAGGAGCTGGGTGCGCTCTTTCTACGAGGTAGCCCTGCTCTGACTCCCACCCTTTGTGCGCTCCCCAACCCTTACCCTGGAATTCCCTCAGGCCTCGTTGCAGAGAGAGGAGTTTATCTGAGAATTCTCCGGTCTTTTTTTTAACCACTCGAGCAATGGGTTTCCCAACCCAGAACTTCTTCCGTGGATACCTAAGAAGATGACATACATAACAAGCTGTTACTCAGCTCTTCTTACTTTCCTTCATACTTATCTCTCAATCCTCATGGCAATTATGAAGGGGAGAGGAAAGGTATGATTATCCCCAAACAAGTGACAGAAAAACAGTGGCCCAAAGACACCAGCTGAACCAGGGCTTCAGAACATCAGTAGACTCCACATCCAGGGCGCTCTGTCTACTAAGCCATGTTTCTAACCTCTCTGCTCTGTCCCACCTCAAATAAGGCCAGTGGGCCAAGGAGCTGGGGCTACACAGAGAACCATAAGGAGGAGAGCAAGTCTCCAGTTCTCAATGATGTGTCCTGCTCCTCAGAAGGGCATCAGGATGAACCATGGGATGTGAGTACCTCTGGCACCATACCACTCCCCATGAATTCAAATGCACCTGGTCAGAAGCGGGGGAACATAAACAAGGGGGATGAGGTACGCCATGGAGAGGAGACTCTTTTACCTGTTTAGGAAGTCTCTCGTGTCCTAGAAGGGAAAGAAAAAAGCACAAGTATCAATATGAATCAAATAAGACTTCAATGCATCTGCACCCAACACTGTAGCAGAGATGGGACATATCAGTGAACAAAACAAATGTGGTCCCTTTTTTATGGAGCTGACATTCCAGTGGGGTCACTGCATAAAACAACAAGAAAACAAACAAAATCGGCACAATGACAGAAGCCACAATGGCTGGGAGATGACATGGGCAACCTCTCTGGGAGATACCTGCGCAGAGAATTGACGGATAAGAAGTACTGGCCGGATGAAGAGAGGTAAGGTAAAACAGGAAAGGGCTTGGTGAGAACGGCAGAGGCCAGACTGCGCAGGGCTGGATATGCATGGTAAGGAGTTTCACTTTTGCTCCACGTACAGTGGAAACCCACCAAGGGTTTCAAGTAGGGGCATGATATGTGTGATCCGCTCTACATGTGGCTGAGACTGCTGTGTAACCTCCAGAGTCCACTCTCCCCTTCCTCCTTTTAATAATAGAACCCCCGGAGTTATTGCTGGTCAGGCGGCCACCTGGGAAGACTACATTTTCCAGATCCCCTACGACAAGGTCTGGTCATGAGACTAAGTTCCAGCCAATGGAATGTGATAGAAAGCAATGACCATAATTCTGGGCATTGTCCTTTAAAAAAAGAAAATTGCTTTCTACTTCCTTTTTACCCCAACTGAATTTTGGACATGGTGGTGGTGAGCCCAACTTTGACCACGCAGCAGAGGACAACATCCCTAGAAGCTGGTGGAAGAACCACATGGAAGTAACCCAGTCCCTTGGATAAGCTTATGTACAGCTACTGTGATAGCTCTAGACCCTGCACCTCTGAACTGTTAACTGAGGCAGAAATAAACTTCTATTCTGTTTGCGTCACTGTACAGCAGTGAGCCAAAACCCTAAGTGACCACTCACTTGGCTGCCCCACAGAGAAGGGACTAAGGAGGCAAGAGGAACATGGGGAGGTTGGTCCGGAGGCTTTTGCCGTGGACCAGGGGAGAGCTAAAGATGGCCTGAACTAAGGTGGTGGCAGTAGGGAGAAAAAGAGAGAAGCAATACATTCCAGGTATTTTAGAGACAGATTCAACTGGACATACTGGTCAAGGATAAACAAGAACAGAGCATGGTTTGTACAGGGGGGAGAATGGTGGTGCTATCTCTGTGACAGACAGGTGGTAGGGCAGGGTGAGTGGGAAGAGGGCTATTCTGACATGCTCAGATTCCCTTTTGTGAGTCAAAAGCCTCCTTAATACCCTGTATTAATTGATTTTTGCCTTCCTTTCACTCATTCCACAAATATTTATTAAGTGCTTCCTAGGTACCAGGCACTCATCTAGAAGCCTCAGAACAGTTAAAAAAAAAAAAAAAAAAAGAGAGAGAGAGACAAATCCCTACTTCTGTAGAGCTGACATTCTAGCAGGGGGAAGCAGACAATAATCAATGTAGCAAATACATCATACTACGTGAGTGATACGCACCACGGGAAAAGAGAGCAGAGTGAAGGGGGATGGGAGCAGGGGCCGGTGGGGTGCAGGCTGGCTTCCTGGAGAGGGTGAGATTTGGGAAACAAATGGAATTAACAAATTGTGGCTGCTGATGACTGCTTCCAAAAGTTTGGGAAGAGTTGTGAGCTTTACTCCAGAGGAATAAGACAAGAAGTCAGAGGCACATCCCAACCCCCCGCTATGAAGCAAGTGCCCAGAGACTGGTAGCACATTTCTGGCCAAGTCCTCTAACATGCCCCTCAAAACATGTAAGTCCAAGGCGGCTTCAGAGGACAGGCAACAAAACAGACAGTGTGTCCTGACAGCTCTGCTGACAAAGGTGGCATAAAAGAGCAAATGAATGGAGCAGTAGCTGGAGTGTGGGCCAGAGGCCCATTTGGGCATATTTCCTGACATGGAAGTTCCTAGAACAGTAGAAAGGGAGAGAATCATACAGGAGAAAGAAGAGTCCTCTAAAGGTTAAAGGTTGTGAGCAGCCCAGAGAGGGTGGGTCCCGAGAGCCAGGGCAGGGCTGGCCCTGAGGAGAAGAGGCTGAAAGACTCAGGAGCCCCCATCCACAGCCACATACAGGGCCTCTGGAGGGAAGTGATCCGCCCAAGTCTCCTGGAGGACTCTTCTCACCCAAGACATCTGAAGCTGTCATGAAACAGGCAGAGCCGAGCAGTGGGGCTGCGGCAATGAGTCATGGCAAGCTCCCGGAGGGGATGTGCCCGGTTACTAACAGAGAGCATCAAGAAAGTTCTTCACGGGGGTGTACAGCAGGAGAAGCAGGGTACAAGCATGCCACCTGATCCTGCAGGGCCTGCCCGGGTTACCAGGGCAGGATGCAGTGTCTCTCTGGGCCTCTCCTGTCACCCCAATCCCTTTAATGTCTTCTTGATGCTCCCAGCCCATAGGTTTGTCTTTCCTTTCCTATCACCTCTATCAAAAGGTCTCTTCTATTTTACACATTTTGTCCTGCTGCTTCTCCCTCTCACCTGTATTTCTATTTTATTTTAATTTTTTTGAGACAGGATCTCACTATGTTGCCCAGGCTGGTCTCAAACTCCTGGGTTCAAGCAATCTGCCTGCCTCAGCCTCCCAAAGTGCTGGAATTATAGGTGTGAATCACCACACCAGCCTCACCTGTATTTCTCTATCAGACTTCTGGACCCTATTTTAGGTCTTTTTCTTACTATACTTTGACAGCCAAATAATCTCTGGGAAAATATTAATGCTAATTAGGGAGGTAGCTGTCCAGTTCCCACGCAGTACAATCAAACTCAAATAAGCACACAGACAAAATCTACCAATACCATTTTTCTGCGTATGGTTGGTTACCCAGTTTTCCTAGCACCATTTATTAAAGAGACTGTCCCTTCCCCATTGTATGTTCTTGGTTCCTTTGTTGAAAATCAGTTGGCTGTAAATATGTGAATTTATTTCTGAGTTCTCTACTCTGTTCCATTGGTCTATGTGTCTGCTTTTATATCAATACATGCTGTTTTGGTTACTACAGCTTTGTAGTATATATATATATGTATATATACATATATATGTATCTATATACATATATATGTGTATATATATATACATATATGTGTGTGTGTGTGTGTGTGTGTATATATATATATATATATATATATATTTTTTTTTTTTTTTTTTTTTTAATGGAGTCTCACTCTATTGCCCAGGCTGGAATGCAGTGGCACAATCTCGGCTCACTGCAACCTCTGCCTCCTGGATTCAAGTGATTCTCCTGCCTCAGCCTCCCGAGTAGCTGGGATTATAGGTGCGCACCATCACGCCCAGCTAATTTTTGTATTTTTAGTAGAGATGGGGTTTCACCATGTTGGTCAGGCTGGTCTCAAACTCCTGACCTCGTGATCCGCCTGTCTCGGCCTCACAAAGTGCTGGGATTACAGGTGTGAGCCACCACAACTGGCTGTAGTATATTTTGAAGTAAGATAGTGTGAGGCCTCCAGTTTTGTTCTTTTTGCTTAGGATTGCTTTGGCCATTTGGGGTTTTTTGTGACTCCATATGAATTTTAGTTTTTTTTCTATTTTTCTGAAGAATGTCATTCGTATTTTGATAACAGGGATTGTATTAAATCTGTAGACTGCTTTGGGTAGGACAGTCATTTTAACAATATTAATTCTAATCCACAAGCATGGAATATTTTTCCATTTGTTTGTGTCCTCTTCAATTTCTTTCATCAGTGTTTTGTAGTTTTCATTAAAGAGGTCTTTCACCTCCTTGGTTAACTTCATTCCCAGGTATTTTATTTTACTTTTGTAGCTATTGTAAATGGGGTTGCTTTCTTGATGTCTTTTTTAGCTAGTTTGTTATTGGTGTATTAAAAATGCAGTAGACTTTTTATGTTGATTTTGTATCCTGCAACTTTACTGAATTTGTTTATTAGTTCTAAGGGTTTTTTGGTGGGGCCTTTAGGTTTTTCTACATATAAGTATAGCCGTTACGGAAAACAGTATGAGAGTTTCTCAAAAAACTAAAAATAGAACTACCATATGATCCAGCAATCTCATTACTAGGTATTTATCCAAAGAAAAGAAAATCAGTATATCAAAGGGATACCTGCACACTCATGTTTATTGTGGCACTATTCACAATAGTTGAGATGTGGACTCAATCTAAGCATCCATCAACAGATAGATAAAGAAAATGTAGCATATATACACAATGGAGTACTATTCATCCATAATAAATTTGAGTTCATGGAAGTAAGACAGTAGAATAGTAATGATTAGAGGTTGGGAAGGGGGCTGGGGAGAGGAGGGTGGGGAGAAGTTGGTTAACAGATACAAAGTTATAGCTACATGGGAAGAATAAATTCTAGTGTTGTGCAGCATTGCAGGGAGAATATAATTAACTATAATTTACTATACATTTTCAAAAAGCTAGAAGAGAGGATTTTGAATGTTCCAACACAAAGAAATGATAAGTGTTTGAGGTGACAGATATACTAATTACTCTGAGTTGATTATTATATATTATATACTTGTATCAAAGTATCACTCTAGGCCAGGCACAGTGGCTCACGCCTGTAATCCCAGCACTGTGGGAGGCTGAGGCAGGCGATCACCTGAGGTCAGGAGTTCAAGACCAGCCTGGCCAACATGGTGAAACCCTGACTCTACCAAAAATACAGAAAATAGCCAGGTGTGGTGATGTGCGCCTGTAATCCCAGCTATTTGGGAGGCTGAGGCAGGAGAATCGCTTGAACCCAGGAGACAGAGGTTGCAGAGGCAGGAGAATTGCTTCAACCCAGGAGGCGGAGATTACAGTGAGCTGAGATCACGCCACTGCACTCCAGCCTGGGAGACAGAGCGAGACTCTGTCTCAAAAATAAACAAACAAAAACCTCTACATCCCATAAATATATACATTATATAGCACTAAAATTAAAAGAGAAAACACAAAACAAAAAAAGAAACCTACCAGTACCAATAACATTTCCTATACTAGTTTCAAGCTGACACCATTTTCTCTCCCTTCCCTTGACCTTATCCCACCCCAGGGAGAGCTGCAATCTGAGTGCTCTGAGTCATTGAGGGCCAGGCTTCTGCTCTGAGGGCCACTTCTCTGGGTGCATTAGGAAAAGGCACCCCTCCGGGCAAACACAATGGATTTCAGCCCCACCACATCCTCAGCTGTGTGCCTCTGTTCCACACAGTAGGCATTCACACATGGCAGGGGCGTGAGGAGAGGAAGGAGAAGAGAAACGGGCAAAAGGAGATGCAGAAAATGACCCAGTCAAAGAGTATGACGAGAGAAATCTGAGAGAACAGAATGACATCTGGAGGAAAAGAGGGGGCCAGAGAGACATTCTGGACAAAATAAGAACAAGAGCTCAGAGCCCAGGAGTCAGGACATCTGGGCTCAAGCTGTGACCTGACACCCACCCCATGGCCTGGGACAAACTCCTCCCACTCTCTGGACCTCAGTGACTTCATCAGTAGGGGCTGAACTGGAAGGTCTAAAATCCCTGCCAGTCCTCATTCTGTACATCTGAATTCACAACAATGAGGAGCAGGTGGCCGCCTCCTTCTGCAGTCTGTCCCAGTGCACATACTGCAGAGTCTGCCTTGCTATCTCTCCCTCCTAGCTATTGCCCTGCCATTAGCCTGGGACTCCACCTTCCTAGAGATCCTGGGTGGCTCTGCTGCTGACAGACAGACCCAGCCACCCTAAACAGTGCAAGTGGGGGAATACCATCAGAGAGCCCCTCCCCTCCCAGCCTATGAGAGCAGGAAGGTTGAGCCCTCTACCCCTCCAAAGGGGACTGGGCCCTCTTCAGGGTAAGTGTGATCCCCAGAGGCTCCCGGGGGGGAGGAGATGTGGTGCCATTTCAGCTTCACAGCCAGTTCTTCAGCCCCAAACCCTCCCTTTCTCACTATCAAAGCCCCCTCCTCTAGGAGGTGCCCCGAGGCCCCCTTGTCTGCTTTCCATCTTGTTCTCTGTGTGGTAATCCCATGGGCCAAAGAAAACCTGGCCATCTCTGTCTCCCTTCCCCAGTTACCCTATCTCTTCCAGATCCTCTGGGTCTTTGAGAGGAGCTGCTGGTCAGCCCTCCCTCAGCCACCCCCAACCACAACACCATAAAAAGCTTCCACCAGCTGCTAAGTGTCTGCCAATGACTTGTTAAGAGGGCTTGTGATGGCAGTGATGAGGATGGAGGATGGTAAATGATATTAATAATCTTCCCTTCCATTTTCTACTATACCATTTAGTTTTTTGAACAGTTTTGTGTAAAAAGTTTATTTTTTGAAGTGACAGCATGCCAGTTATTTCATTTTATGCTCATGCAATCTACAGACTAATTGGCAGCAGTAAGGATTATCATCTCCATGTTTCAGATGACAAAACTGAGCCCCCAAGTCTTCTAAGGTCCTGCAAGTGAATGGCAGGGCTGGGACCCACCGTCCTGGTCCCTGGCGCCCTGCCCAGGGACGGCCTCTCACCTGCATGAGCTCTGCAGCTGGCTGCTGCGCCTTGCCCTCCAGTTCGGAGATGACCAGGGCCAGCCGGGCAAGCTCCCCGACGCCCCGGCTCTTGAACTTCTCCCTGCCCTCCGTGAGCTCCTGCTCCAGCTTCGCCAGCTGTTCCAGCAGGTGTTCCTCCCGCTCCCTCAGGAACTGATGACCCTGCTCAAACTCAGCCACAATGTACTGCCTCTGGTCCTGGAGCTTCTTCTGCAGGGGGCAGGAAGGGGAGAAGGGCTGACACCTCTGCTCAGGGTGGAGGGCCCAGTGCTGGAGGTGTGCAAGGCTGGCTCGTTCACCTCGCTACCCCCGTTCAGGAATTCTACAGGATCTGGAGTGGGAGGAGCTACAGAGGGTTCCTGGTCCACACTCCGCTTCTCAAAGAAGACTCCAGTAATGAATTAGTTCAGTTCACCCCACCACTATATGGTCAAAACCCTGTCTCCACCTGACTGGTCAGCCACAATCTGTTCTAGCTAAACCAGTACGCTCTGGGGCCCCTAGAGAAACTCTGTGGGTCTCACTCATGAGCCGACGCACTTTTCCCTCCTGGACAAAATCTGTCACCTCTTCCAGGAAGTTTTGCTTGATTAATGTCATCTAAGCCTGACCAGCCCTCTCTTCAGCACCCCACTGTTCAGTCTAAAATATCTATATGTACCCCACCCCTGCCATGTAAGACTGCATCCTGTTTCCTCAGCAAAATTGTGTGACGTCTGTGCTTAGGGACTATGTCCTTTCCTGCCTCCAAATCTCCTCCCCAGCTGGGGTTGGGGGAGTCCTCAGTGGCCCTGTTGACTGGTGCTGAGCTGGGGGCAGCCATGCACACTGAGGGCCTGGAGGGGTCCTTGGACTTGGCTGTCTCTAGCTTACTGTTTCCCTCTCCCTAGGCCTAATGACTCACCACTGGCCCTGACCCCACTACTCCTCCACTGCCCACTTCCTCAACATACACAGTTCCCCAGAAAATCAGAACCATTTGATCAGTTCCCCCCAACCCCATCTCTAATCAAGTACATAATGTGCTGCCTGTTTTCTAACTACAGTTGTCCCTTGGTATCAGTGGGTGATGGGTTCCAGGATCTCCCTCCCCAAGGATACCAAAATCCAAGGATGCTCAAGTTCTTATGTAAAATGGAATAATAGTTACATAAAATCTACTATATACTTTAAATTATCACTAGATTACTTATAATGCCTAATATAATGTAAATGCTATATAAATAGCTGTTACACTGAATTGTTTAGAGAATAATGACAAGAAAAAAAATCTGTACATGTTCAGTAGAGACGCTTTTTCTTTTTTCTGAATATTTCTGATCCATGGTTGGGTAAATTCGCCGCTACGGAACCCACAGATATGGAGGAGGTCCCACTGTACTGGCAACCATGATCCTGGGCCTGGACCTCACTACATACAGTGCCATCAGAATTGGCAGACCTGCCTTAGCTGTTTTCTAGCCCTTCCCTCTCAGTTCTTACCCTGGAGCCAGCTCCCTCCTTCTAAACCCTCTCCACTCTCAGGCAACCTTGTCTCTCTCTCTCTCTTTGAAAGGAAGAATGAAGCCACACCTTCTTCAGTCCCCTGGCAGAAGAGAACCAGCAGCTGGACATGGGCCCTGCCTTCAAGGTGACAGTCACAGAAAACGGAAGGGACTCTAGCTGACATCCAGGCAGCCCACTTGTCTCTCAGACAAGAAACAGGCCCAAGACTACACGGCTCAGAAAGACAGCACTTGGGCTAAAACCCAGGTCTGCTACTGCCAGGCTGACACCCATCCTCCCTGTGAGCAGCGCCTAGAAACACCTCCCAGCTGCCGCCTACTTGCCCAGGCTCACCCTGCCCTACACGGGCGCACCGCCTCAGGGCTTCCTGAAACAGCCTCACTTACCAGCGCGGCCAGGATATCAGCTTCTCCCTTTGCCTGGAAGCCCTGAATTTTGTCTCTGTCCCTCCTTAGGGTACTCAGGTGGTTCAGGATTTTTTCCTGTGGAAAAACAAGCAGTGGCAACAGGTGGATGCTCTGGGCTGGGGCAGGAAGGGAGACTCAGGCTGAGTCCTCTGAGGACTGCAAGGTGGAGCATCCAGAGAAGGTGGCAAGGCACCCTCGGGGGTGAAGAGGGCTTACCCTGTGGGGCTGGGCGGCCTTCTCCATGAGGACGGCCGTGTGGGGCCTGTGCTCCCGGGACTCCCGGCACATCACGCACAGCAGCTTCCCGTCGTCCTCACAGTAGTAGTGCAGCTTCTCTCGGTGTCGCTCGCACAACTTTGCATCCTGCTGCTCCCGGGTCACCTCTCCCGGCTGCCTGCCCTTGTCCACCTTCAGCCGCTCAATGTTCTCCACCAGGCTGGCCAGTTGCCACACGGGTCGGATGTTCTCCTTCTTAAAAGGCTTCTTGCAGAGTGGGCAGACGGGGCGGCTCCCTGAGATGGGGCGGACGTCTGTGGTGCAGCTGCGGCAGAAGACGTGGCCACAGTCAATGGTCACAGGGTCCCGCAGGTAATCAAGACAGATGGAGCAGGTCACCTCCTCTTCCAGGCTCCGTAGTGGGGCTGACGTGGCCATGGTATCCTTAGTTCAGAGAGGTCTCCGTTCACTGGTGAGGACTTCTTCTCCTTGAAGACGCGACATAGAGTCAGGAGCAAGCACAGTAAAGGGGCAAAGGTGGCAGCCTGCACAGGGCTGCCAGCTCCAGCACTCAGTCAATCGACAGACACCACCAGCTCCTACAAGGTTCACACAATGTCAACGAGAAGAGGACCTTATAGATCTAGTCCAACTTCCTCATTGTACAGATAAGGATATGGAAACCCAGAAAGATTAGCTTGGTAGAGTGAAGAGCAGGACAGCCACTAGCCTATACCTTGCTGTTGGGAGAGCCTCAACACCCTTTCCTTCTATCTGTTGGAAAATCGCTGTAATGCACCAACTGTAATAAAAAATCTCTCACTACCTGCTGGGAAACTCATAATGATACATATATAAATCTACAATGTCTACTGTGGACACAGTGCTCCTTCACTCAACTGTGCAAAGCACAAGACACACGAGCAGTCATGGGGGTCCTGACAGAGTCAAGAGACCGCCCGTTTTTTTTTTTTGGTTTTTTTTTTTTTGAGATGGAGTCTTACTCTGTCGCCCAGGCTGGAGTGCAGTGGCGTGATCTCAGCTCACTGCAACCTCCGCCTCCCAGGTTCACACCATTCTCCTGCCTCAGCCTCCCGAGTAGCTGGGACTACAGGCACCCACCACCACACCTGGCTAATTTTTTGTATTTTTAGTAGAGACGGGGTTTCACCGTGTTAGCCAGGATGGTCTTGATCTCCCGACCTCGTGATCCACCTGCCTCGGCCTCCCAAAGTGCTGGGATTACAGGCGTGAGCCACTGCACCTGGCCAAGAGACCCCTTTTGTTTGCTCCTCAAGGTTTCAGGTTTCAAGAACTAAGAGAGGGCAATGTGACATGGCTCACCCTGTAAATCCAACACTTTGGGTGGCTGAGGCAGGAGGATCACTTGAACCGAGGAGTTTGAAACCAGCCTCAGCAACATAGTGAGACCCTGTCTCAACTAAAAAAATTTAAAAATTTTTTAAAATACCCCAGTGTAGTAGCATGCATCTGTAGTCTCAGCTACTGAGGAGGCTGTGGCAGAAGGATTACTTGAATCTGGGAGGTGGAGGCTACAGTGAGCCATGATTGTACTACTACACTCCAGACTGGGCAACAGAATAAGAGACTGTCTCAAAACAAACAAAAAACCAGAAAACATTAAAAAACAAACAAACAAACAGCACTGAGGTTCTTTACCAAAACTCGAGAAGCATCAGGAAGCTTCAGGAGTCTGACTGTCAGCATTTCCCTTTGTGAGTATTTCCCTGGGCTGTTCTATAGTTTGGGTTTAATTTGCTTCCCCTAGAAGGCTGGACTCTAAACACAGCCCTCCAGAGGAGCACAGCTTAGCCTCAGTGGACTTGTTCTTGGCTGTAACTGCCTCGTCTAGATGGCAGGAATCCTCAGGTGGCTGTGGCTGCTATGTGCTGTGAGGCCTTGGCTTGTACAGGGAGCGGGGACACACAGAAAGGACTCTGCTTCTGTTTACCTTTGTAGTCCTGACCCAGTTCCAGGCTGAGGTTATGAGCCTCAGCACATCTAACCCAAGAGCAGCCTCCTGCCCCTGACTCTGTGTGACAATACAGAAGTCACTTAAGTACTGAGCCTCAGTGTATCCATCTGTAAAATGGGAAGAGTGATACTTACCTTTAAGGGTTTCTAAGCAGGTCATGTGAAAGAATTATGGGAAAAGTGCTAAGCACAAGCCTGGTACACAGACGGAAATCTAGGAGAGAACCCACAACCCCTGGTTTCCAAATCCAGTGAGTGTCCAAACCACAAACAAAGAGTTAAATTCAAAAGTGGCAGCAAAAGAGGAAGTGAGCAGAACCAGCCACAGTGACACACGTGCTACAGAGTTCAACAACATCGTCACAGGGCAGTACCTGGAGGACTTGCTCTCCTATAGATCCATGGAAGGCAACTACAGCAGCGCTGGGAAGACAACCAGCAGGGCACAGAGGTGACTGCGAGGCTGGAATGAAGCAACCTGAATTACAGGCAAATCAATACTATTAATGATTATGTATGGTGAAAGTCCATCACAACAGAGTTCAGTGGCCTCTGTCAGTAGTGACATTAATGGGACAGAAATAAAACCCCCAGTCTATAAGACCCAAGAGTAAACAAAACAGGGATATAACGTCCACTCATTGAGGGTCTAGTACAATAATACATAAAAAGTGTTTTATAACGTAAAAGGACTACATAAATATAAGAGATTCTTATAGTGCTGATAATAAATTCCAACTGGAAGCACTAATGGATCTAGGTATGTGTGACTTTAAGAGACATAATGAGGGGAAAATCAAGCACCTTCAAAGCTCAAATGAAGGATTCAAGGAATTTAACTGTCAAGTGAAAGTAATATCAAGTTCCTACATGTTAGTAATGCTGGTAGAAATGCTAGGAATTGGCCGGGCACGGTGGCTCACACCTGTAATCCCAACACTTTGGGAGGCCGAGGCAGGTGAATCACAATGTCAGGAGATTGAGACCATCCTGGCTAACACGGTGAAACCCCATCTCTACTAAAAATACAAAAATTATCCAGGTGTGGTAGCATGCACCTGTAGTCCCAGCTACTCAGGAGGCTGAGGCAGGAGAATCAATCACCTCAACCCGGGAGGCAGAGGTTGCAGTGAGCCGAGATCGTGCCATTGCACTCCAGCCTGGGTGACAGAGTGAGACTCCATCTCAAAAAAAAAAAAAGAAAGAAATGCTAGGAATTGCCTGGTCCAACTCCTTGGCTTTACTGTTGAGGAAATAAGCCTGGCTCAGCAGTTTTTCAGTTGTAACATACTGCAAGTGTTTGGAAAGAGGAAAAAGGAGTGGTACTGGGCGTGTCTGTGGGCTTTCAAGCCCTTTATCATGCCTCTTTGCCAAATGGCCTAGAAGTTTAAAAGCTGAGGTTTTTCTTTGTTGAAGGATAGCCTGTGTTATCTTTGGGTTGGGAACTTATTTTGCAATTTACTTGCAAAATAAGAACAATAAAAGGACTATGAAGAGCTCAGCTACAGCTCTTCTTCCATGCAAAACAGGACACCTCATCACCCAGGCTCCATGCTGGGGTTTGATGGTCTCTAAACCTCCTGAAACTGTCTAAAAATTATTGCATATGTACTAGATACCTAAAATTGTCTGGGGATTACAGAAGAATAACCTTCTGTAAGATTAATCAGCAAATAAGTAGAAGAGGGATAACAGAATTAGAAAATCATTTTGCGACTGCCATTATAATAGCACAAGGATCATCAATAGATGCTAAAACTATTAGGTGAAAAGTTTTGGGGGATGAGATAGTACCCATGGTGCCAAAGCACCAATGAATGGATTACTTCCTGACATACCTTCATAAGGAAGAGATCCAGTGGTTATCTTAACTAAGTGACCAAATCCAGCGTCATCAGCAGACGGGGCAAAGTGGCATGTGCTTTCTGGCATGGCACTATATGAATCACACAACATTACCTATGAAGTGTTTGTGCCAAAAATGTTTGACTTGAATGAATCTAGTCAAGACTTTAGATCTAACTTCCAGTTTATAAAAAATATAAAGGAAAGGAATACTCTGAAGTATGTTATAACTGAAAAAGTACCGATGGAGGAATTAAACCACACCATAAGGAAAGAACCAGATAAATCCAGAATGCTGGACATTGCACATGGCAACTGGCCTAGTCTTTTAAAAAGTCAATGTCATAAAAAAAAACCTTCGAAAGAACTGCTTTTGATTTTTACAGACTAAAGAGAAATAATAACCAAATGCAATACGTGAACCTTGATTGGATCCTGTAAAAAGAAAAAAAAGGTTATAAAAATAGTCTTGGAACTATTGTGGGAAATTTGTAAGTAGGCTGGGTGTTAGATCATATTAAAAAATTATTTCCTCTCTTTCTTTTTTTTTTTTTTTTTTTTGAGACAGGGTCTTACTCTGTCCCCCAGAGTGCAGTGGAACTATCTGGGCTCACTGCAACCTCGGCCTCCCTGGCTCAAGCAATCTTCTCATCTCAGGCTCCCGAGTTGCTGCAACAACAGGTGCATACTACCACACTTGGCTAATTTTTAAAGGTTTTTGTAGAGAAGAGTTGCCACTATATTGCCCAGGCTGGTCTCAAACTCCTAGGCTCAAGCCATCCTCCCACCTCAGCCTCCCAAAGTGCTGGGATTATAGGCATGAGCAACTGCACCATGTCTAAAATTATTTTCTTAATGGTATTTACTGAGGTTATGTATGAGAATGCCTATACTTCTTATTTATTTATTAATATATTTATTTATTTTTGAGATGGAGTTTTTCTCTTGTTGCCCAGGCTGGAGTGCAATGGCGCAATCTGGCTCACTACAACCTTCGCTTGCCAGGTTCAAGCGATTCTCCTGCCTCAGCCTCCCTAGTAGCTGGGATTACAGGTGCCCACCACCACATCCGGCTAATTTTTTGTAGTTTTAGTAGAGACGGGGTTTCACCAGGTTGGCCAGGCTGGTCTCAAACTCCTGACCTCAGGTGATCCACCTGCCTTGGCTTCCCAAAGTGCTGGGATTACAGGTGTGAGCCACCGCGCCCGGCTGAGAATACCTGTATTTCTAGGCAATGGATGCTGTAGTATTTAGAGCTCCATGTCTCCCACCTAATTTGAAATGGTTCCTTTCTTTTTTTTTTTTTTGAGACAGGGTCTTACTCTGTCCCCCGAGTGCAGTGGAACTATCTTGGCTCACTGCAAAGCAAAATAAAAAGCTAGAAAAGTTTTCTGGGGAGGGAGCTACAGTTTTCTATCACATTCTTAAAGAGGTCTGTAGTAACCATCAAAAATGGTTAAATCACTGATACAGAGATCATGGTGCTTGACACCTTGTAGAAGCTCAATACACATTTACTGAACAAGTGAATGGATTCAGGGGAATTGCAGACAATGTTAGTTGTATAGAACCATTTGTTTTTGAGAGTCTGCCATAACTAGATAAATGAAACACAGTACCACTTCTATGACCAATCCCTCCCCTTGCTTATACAGACTCCTTCTGAGGAAACTGAGGCTCAGCAGGGTTAAGCAACTTGCCCAAGAGCACATGGCTAGGAAGCAGTGTCTGGTGCCAAGGCCTCTGCTCAATCCACTACACTCTCTTCCCTACCCAGGCACACTGTAAAATGGGGTCTAATACCAGCTCCTTTGTTAGGAAGCTCAGATGAGGTCATCTACATGGAAGGGCTTTGTAAGCGGAGTAATGCTGACAAAAGAAAGGGGGCATATATTCTGCTGATACTGACCAAAAGCACCCTAGCCTTAGCTATGACAAACTTTCACATATGGGGTGAGCAATAAAGTGTCCCTGTTGGACAGTAGTTTTCCTTCTTAGTGATAGAGGATCTCAAGATTTCAGAATTAGGAGAAATGAGGTTGAGTATGAGAGATGTGAGCAGACCAGAATAACCGCTCCCCTTCCCCATACACAATTCTGTCCGGTCCAATGCAAAATTCACCCTCTCCAAAAACTCTTCCCCAACTTACCGCACCCTGCTATGGTTCTGCCCTTTTATGCCGTCAGTATATTCTCTGTGATCTCAACAGGTTTCCACAATAAGAGGTAAAACCATTACCCTTCTCTCCATTCCTGACTCCTGGGCAGACAGAAACCAAAATCAGAGCCAAAAAAAAAAAACCTCAGAGATGACCCACTCCACCCCCACTCCCTTTACTCAGATGAGAATTCTGAACCTGAAGAAGTCACTTCATGAACTCCCTTGCACCAGAGGTCACACATCCCTGCTGGGGGTGAGGGGGTATTTTTCTGTCTCTTCAATAAACCAGAAGCGGCCGGGCGCGGTGGCTTCTGCCTGTAATCCTAGCACTCTGGGAGGCAGAGGCGGGTGGATCACCTGAGATCGGGAGTTTGAGACCAGCCTGACCAACAAGGAGAAACCCCATCTCTACTAACAATACAAAATTAGCCAGGTGTGGTGGCGCATGCCTATAATCCCAGCTACTGGGCAGGCTGAGGCAGGAGAATCGCTTGAACCCAGGAGGCGGAGGTTGCAGTGAGCTGAGATCACGCCAATTGCACTCCAGCCTGGGCAACAAGAGCAAAACTCCATCTCAAAAAATAAAAATGAAAAAATAAACCAGAAGCTAGCTGCAATTCTATAGAACCAGGAAGATGCAACAAACAAGCCCTGCAATGTCCTGGTACCCTCCTCACAGGCAGAACTGCAGACACTCCCTACCTTTCTCTAAGAGGTTCCCTTTTCCCTGAAATCCACCCCTCCCCTATAAGTCTCTGGATCTCATAAATACCTAATCTGCATATGTCAACAGACTGGTCAAGGTGACACCATGTAATTTCAAGATGTGGATGCATGCACGATTATTGGCTCCAAGAATAATCACTATGAGCTACAAAAACTAGCTGAAAGCCGGGCACGGGGGCTTGTGCCTGTAATTCCAGCACTGTGGGAGGCTAAGGCAGGAGGACTGCCTGAGCCCAGGAGTTTGAGACCAGCCTGGGTAATATAGTGAGACATTGTCTCCAAAAAAAGAAATTAGCTGAATTAGCTGGGTGCGATGGCACATGCCTATAGTTCCAGCTACTTAGGAAGTTGAGGCAGGAGGATCTCCCGAGCCCGGGAAGTTGAGGCTGCAGACAGCCATGACTGCGCCACTGCACTCCAGCCTGGGTGAAACTCTGGCCTGCCTCCGGCTCCTAGATGCCACCCAGAGAGGTGCCCTGGTAGACAGTGAATCCCAAATGTGGACTCTGGGGCCCAAGAAAGTAAATGGAGAGGCCTGGGTTTTCATCCTGGCCTCCAGGGTACCAGTTCAGGCCTCTCTTGAGTATCCCAAGCTGCTTCTCAAGCATATGTCTGGACCTCCAAACAAGAGCAAAGCACCTGTAATCCCAAAGCACTTAGCCTAGAGCTCCATTCCCTGTGGGTACTCCATTTAAGGGCTCCTGGGTCCCAGATTAATCCCCATATTTTAATCTGAGATAAGCAAACTCTCCATGGGGTAAACTTCCGTGAGACACCTCTAACAAACCTGGAGAGGCCAGAATTCGGGGCAAAAAGCAAGTGATCTGGATGTGCATACTAGGAGTGACTGCACCCCTACTGGCCAGGCCAAAGGCCTGGATCCCAGGCTGTCCCAGGAGATCCCAGTGACTGTGGATGATGCGTTCTTGTGGTCACACTTGGCTTACTTTCCCCACGGAGCCGAGCATCAGTGGTGCTCTGAAGCACAGTGCAGGCCACAAAAACTACCAGGGCTCTGAACGCTAGAAATCCCCACAGGGCTCAAAGAGGGGCAGGAGGTAGCAGCCAGCTGGGAGGTGGATGAGACAAGGCGTTAAATTGCCCTGGTCTTGTGGCTGACCCACAGGGGAAAATTGAGGGTTCTTCATATTTGTGCCAGAATATCTGTCTAATGTTGAATCATGAACCAAGCTCTCTTGTCTAAAATATTCCTAAGTGTCACTTGGTGCTTTGCACCAAATATAGGAAGGAATCCTTTATCATCTTGTGGAATGGTTCAAACCTTGACTACACATCAGATTTGTAGTCTTCAAACTGGTGAGTCTTCAAAACATACCTAGACCAACTGACTTAGGATCTCCAGAGGTGGCCCAGGCTCTGGTATTAAAAAACAAACTTCCCAGGAGATTCTAAAGTCTATCCAGGACTGTGAATCACTAGAACCCCTTATTTACAGAGGAGGACAGTGAGTGCCAGAGCCTCGGACTCATTTGCCCAGCAGCAGAGCTGGCTGGCAGCAAGGCCAGCACTAGCACGAGGTGGGGTGAGGTGCACCTCCCAGCTCTGGGCTCCTTCCATTCCACCATACACTGCACTTTGGTGCCTGGAAAATGAACTCTTCCCTGCCCATATGGAGTGCTGTGGAGGGTTAGCCTCACAGGCAGAGGAAATCATCCGCCGGAGAAAGGGTAGCGGTGAATTTGAGGAGCTGACAATTGGCCACAGGTGGAGTGCAGTGAGGCGAGCAGAGGAAGGGTGGAGAAACAGGAGGGAACAGATTATGCAAGACTGTGACCCAGGTTAAGAATTTTGGACTTTATCCTAACAGCCCTGGGAAGCCATTGAGGGTTTAAGCAGCAGGATGTTGAAAGTTATTCAACAGCTAGCAGATGTTTATTAGGTGCCGACTATGTGTCAGGCACCGAGGTTACAGCAGAGAACAAAAGTGGCAAACTCCCTGTCCTACCAGAACTTACATCCAGTGACCTGAGGAATCCTTTAGAAGCTGAAATCAGATCCAACTGTGGGATCATCAAACCCTCAAGGGTTTCCTGATTTACATAAACCTCCTCTCCCCTTTGCTGCCCCAGTGCTGCAGCCACTCTGGCCTTTTGATCCTCAAACACACTCGGTCACGTGTTAAACTGCCAATCTGCCCGGGTGACCAACCAGGTTAAACCCCTCAATGGCTTTCTGGTGCTCCAGGAATAAAGTCAAAACTCCTGTCCTTCCTTTCTTCTGTGAGGAGGCTGTCCCAGGAGATCCTAGCTGGATTCCCAGATAATCATGGCCCAGCCTGTGTCTCCAGGCTCATTTCCTGCCACTCCCCACCTCAAACTCACAGCCAAACCAAACCGCTCTCCATGCCTCAAAGTGCTATGCTCTTTCCTGGCTAAGCCCTTCGACAATGTAATTCCTTCTGCCTAGAACACCATCCCTTTCCCACTTAGCAAATGCCTTTTCTAGCTTGAAGTCTCAGCTGAAAGCCACCTCCTCTGGCAATTCTTTCCTGACCTGTCAGATTGGGTCCACATGTAGTCTAGTTATACAGCCCCAAAACACCCCATGCTGCACCCTGTACTTCTCTGCAGTTTTAAGTCCTGACTTATTAGTGTAATTACTCGCTTAACACCAGCTTTTTCCATGAAACAAGGAGAGAGATTGTGTCTGTCTTATCACCAGAATCTACATATTACTTGGCACAGAGTAGACAATAAAAACTGACTGAGAAAACAAAGCACAAGCACAGAGTATCTGACACAAAGAAGATGCTTCCTACACATCTGCTGAAGGAATGCGAACAATCTTAGCCACCTGCCCTTTCTCTCCAGCAAGATGGTAGTAAATTGGTAGAGAGAGAAGCAATTTCTTCATATTCCCTGTAGCAGCAAGAACAGTGGGCTGCACGTCACCAGCAAATCATCGTATCCAAGGTTTCGCTCCAGCAACTTACAGAAACCAGGAGAAGAAAAAGCTGTGTCTGAGAAAATGGTTGTTGTGGAGTAAATTGTAATAGTGAGAATCACTCCTTCCCTTTTCTTTAGTTTTAGACCTAGGTATACACCCCATAAACAGAGTTTATTTTCTCAGGTTTTGAGCCTCAAATGAATGGAATTTTTTTCCTTTTTTTTTTTTTTTTTTCCATGTATTTGGGTGGGGGGCTGTCAACATGTTTGTGAGGCTCATCCATGTGATTATGAGCTGATTTTACTTAATTGCTGCTCTCTAACTATACAATTTTTAATGCAGTCTACTGATAGCCATATGAGTTGTTTCCAGTTTGGGACAATTACAAACACTGCTTCAGTGAATATTTCTGCATACATGTTCTAGCACACACAGGCAAGATGTACCCTCAATTTGACTAAGCAGGCCAAACTGTTTCCAAAGTGACTATAGTGCTATGTAGTCTGCTCAGCAGGCTATGAGCACTCATGATGCCCCACAGCCTCACCAACACCTGATAATATCAGCTTTAATTTTTGCCACTCTGGAGGATGGGATATAGAATATGTGTGTGTGTGTGTGTGTGTGTGTGTGTGTGTGTGTGTGTATTTAACTCCCCAAAAGGAAACAGCATGAGACAGGCCCAATAACAGGCCAAGGAATCCTATAGCAGCAGACCAGATATTGTGCTCCTCGACCCAACCAGTAAATGTTGTAAATGTTTATCTTTGGGGAGAGAAGGGGAAGGGCCCACCCAGCTTCTGTTCTTCTTTCCCTTGGTAACTTACCATCTATGAGTTAGTGAGATGGAGACATCCTAACCATTAATCCAGGGAAAGGGAGGAATCTAAGCCATCAGCAAGGGAGTTAGTGCTTTTCATCAAATTTGAGACACCTGTGACATCACATTTTAGCATCTCTGAAATGTGATCAATTGCATGTCATAATTTAACTGGCAAAATATTTTTTTGATGTGGAGCATAAAATAAGGGCACATAAAAGATTTGGTGGTGCTGTGGTTTGAACATGTCCCCCAAAAGTTCACGTGTTGGAAACGTAATTGCCAATGTAACGGTATTAAGAGGTGGGGTCTTTAAGACGTGACTGGGTCATGAGGGTGTAACTCTCATGAATGGATTAATGCCTTTCTTGCAAGAGTCCATTGGCCAGAACCGTGAGCTGAATAAACATCTGTTGTTTACAATTTACCCAGTCTGTGGTATTCTGTTACAGCAACAGAAAATGGATTAAGACAAATAGCATCTTAGATTTGGTGAGATGTGGCATATTTCCTAAAAAGTGCTGCCAGGATCATCCTTCTAGCACACAGGATCTCATCCTTGTTATTCTCCTGCTTCAAATCTCCTAGCTGAGGCTGGGTTTGGTGCCTCATGCCTATAATCCTAGCACTGTGGGAGGCTGAGGCAGGAGGATCCCTTGAATCCAGGGGTTCAAGACTAGCCTGGCCAACATAGGGAGAGACTGTCTCTAAAATAAAATAAATAAATAAAAATAAAAATAAAAATAAAAACAAACACACCAAAAAAACTCCTACTAGCTGAGGTCAAAACTGCACAGGTGGCCGGGCACGGTGCCTCACGCCTGTAATCCCAGCACTTTGGGAGGCCGAGGTGGGCAGATCATGAGGTCAAGAGATCGAGACCATCCTGGCCAACATGGTGAAACCCAGCCTCTACTAAAAATACAAAAATTAGCCGGGCATGGTGGCACGCGCCTGTAGTCCTAGCTACTCGGGAGGCTGAGGCAGGAGAATCGCTTGAACCCAGGAGGCGGAGGTTGCAGTGAGCTGAGATCACGCCACTGCACTCCAGCCTGGGTGACAGAGCGAGACTCTGACTCAAAACAAAAAAAAAAAACTGCACAGACATCCTCCCCTGCCCTGCATCCGGCTAGCCCCAACTTACCCATCCAGCCCCAAATCCCTCCTCGTCCTACCTAATTCTCTGGCCATTAGATACACTGAACCAGGAAGACAGCCCCTTCTTCACTCCCCACTCTCCACCCATTCCCTTGTACATGCTCTTCTCTCCAGTCCAGCGCATCCTTGAAGGCTTGAATACAATTTGTCCCCTTATCTGTGAGGTGTTTCCTGTACCCATCCCACCTCTGAGTTGAATGTATCCCTCCTCCTGCAGCTTTGCATACACTGTATTTCTACAATAGCACTATCACAGTGCTTCATACAGTAGCACCCCCCATCCGCTAAAGATACATTCATACAGGAGTCCCCTCAATCCTCAGGAGATGCATTCCAAAACCCCCAGTGGATGTCTGAAACCTGTTTCTCCTACACATACACACTTGTAATAAAGTTTATAAAGTAGGCACAGAAATAGATTAACAATAATAACACAACAGAATAACAATATACCGTAATAAAAGTTATATGCATGTGGTCTCTCTCTCTCTCAAACTATCTTGTACTGTACTTACCCTTCTTGTGATGAAGGAACAGTGGGAGGGCAAGAGATTTCATCATGCTACTCAGAACAATGCACATCTAAAACTTATGAATTGTTTACTTCTGGAATTTTCTGTTTACTGTCTTTGGGCTGAGGTTGACCATGGGTAACGGAAACCACGGAAAACTAAGCTATGGATAAGTGGCTGTAATTGATATTTTTATCTGTCTTCTCTCCCACCAGAATGTGAACCCAAAGGTCATGCCTCACTGACCTTTTTATCTCCAATATCTGGCACAAAGTAGGGGGTCTGCAAATGTTTGTGAAATGAATGACCTCCTCTAATTCCAGAGCCCTGCCATCTCCATTCTTCCCCCTTTCACTACACACCCCCCTTTCCCACATTAAAATTCTGCTTCAGCAGCAGGCTTCCAGGGCTCTCTTTAGATTAGACATTCTTGCCCACACACATTACCTAGATATCTCTTGGCCTCCCTCCACACACACACAATTTTGGGGGGAAGAACAAAATTCCATTTCTATAAAGCTGGCAAAATCTAATTCATCCTGATGCCAGCCAATTTATGTTTTTGTCTTCTCAAACCAATTTCCCATTCTCCGTGTCTTTTCTATTCTGATCCTGGGGGGGTCCAAGTCTGAAGTCATTCCAAGAAGCCTCAATACAGACCATGGACTCTCTTCGGGGGTTTGCAGTGTCTTCTGTGGTGGTCACACACAATCTGAGTCCAACCTGTTACTCCCCTGCAGGAAGTGATATCTAAGAAGTCACCCACTGCCTTAGGCCTTCAGTCTCCTTACCTCTTAACAAGGGGAAAATATTTTGCCAAGTTTACCAGGCTATTTGAGGTTGAGGCAAGGTCACATAAGTACGAGTGTCTCATTAGCAAAAAGCTCTATAAAAATACTATGAAAGAGCACAGGAGCCAATGTGAAAAGAGCTCCCAACAGCCAAAGCCACAGTAATTTGAGCAACAAAATTAAGTAGTATTGGATTATAAACCAAAGTATAAAATAAATGTCCCTGAGTCTACACTGAAATTAATGATTGAATAAATTAATAAATTGGGGGAAGAGAGAAACAAATCTTCCATGCAGAATAACTGCAAACAATAATATGTAGATACTTGCCCTCAAGAAGGGGGAATATAACTCTTGGCTCCCTAGGTATGGGCTGCACTTAGTGACTTCCTTCTAAAGAGGACAATACACGCAAAGAGTGGAAAAGAGACTAACTGTACAGTGGAGAAACCTGAAAAACACTATCTCACCCAAATCAATATTAAGTCATAAATCATGTTAGTACATGCCCTTGATACGATGGGATGATAATGGCAATCTACCTCTGTGGTCTTCCTCCCAGTTACCCATAAGCCCAGTCTTAGGAGAAAAACATCAAATTCCAATAGAGGGGCATCCTACAACATACACGACCAGTATTCTTCAATGCTGTCAAGGTCATCAAAACAAGTCTGAGAAACTCCCACAGCCAAGAGGAGCATAAGGAGACATGACAACTAAATGTAATGTGGTAACCTCCATGGGATCATGAAACAGAAAAAGTACTGAGGTAAAAACTAAGGAAATCTGAACACACTATGGACTTTGGTCAATAATAATGTATTGATATTGGTTAACTGCAACAAATGTACCACACTGAGGTAAGATGTTAATAACAGGGGATCCGGTTTGGAGCATGTGGGAAGTTTGTACTATCTTCTCAATTCTTCTGTAAATCTAAAAGTGTTGTAAGAAATAAAGTCTACTTAAACAATAAAATTGCAATTTTTGAAACATAAAAAGCCTATTTTTTTTAAAGGTGATTTTTTTGAACTTGGGGAAAAACATGTTAGGGATTATGATTTCAGCTAAGAGTTAAAAACAGGAGGTTAAGGCATGCATAAACGAATGTCATTCTCCCCTCTTTTGAAGTACACACAAATCGTGGGTCAAAATTTGAAATCTACTGGAGATTTGGAAGTGTGTCCCTCCCATTTACTCCACAGAGTTAAATTTACACTTTTTTTCTAAGGCCAAATAGGGAGAAAATCAGTAAGAAAAATGCTAATGAGCTGGAAGGAGTGAAAGCACAGCTCCAAGTATTTGTGGCTAAACCGGTTTACTCCGAACAAAAAAAAAAAAAAAAAAAAGAAAGAGAAAGAAAGCATGACACTTTGGTCAGGGAGCTGGATTAGTCGCCTATCTACCAGGCTCCAAGCAACCGGACGGTCATCCAGGCCCCGCTTACTTCTGGTTCCGCAGACTAGAATGGATGGGAGTCTGAGTAGGATACCAGAAAGCGAGAAAGACCCAAGAGGAGGGGGAGAATGTAAGGACAAGCAAACAGGAGGGATCTGGCTGGCAGGGAGGACGCAGCGAACTTGACCCCCTCCTGAGCCCGCCCGGGGGCCTGGCCCCGTTTTGAACCCGGGCCCGGCGGCTGCGTTGGGTCGCCCCAAACCCGGTGAGCGTACGAGACTGTTGCTTCGCTGTATGTCTCATGTGCACCCCCTACTCACCGGTCCCGAGCTCCGGGCCGCGAATCCCGGCCGGCACCCCTCCTCTCTCACGGCGGTCTGTTCCGGGTCCCGCTCCTGCACGAGCAACCAGCGCGACAGCTCGTCCCCGCCCCGTAATCTCCCGGCTATTCGGGGCCCTTCGCCGAGATTTCTCCCGGACCAGCCCCGGGATTGGCTCCTGCCGAACTTCGCCATCCAATGGGAACCTTAGTCTCTTTTACGTCACTGATCACCGGGCAAATCCCCAGACAGCCGCGGGCGGTGGGGCACCAGGGGCAGCGAAATGGAAACTGAAATCAGGCGGGACCGAGGCTGCGCCAAGAGCCGCAGCCTGAGTTTGGCGCGTAATTGGGGTGGCCTGTTACACGGTCTAAGGGAGTAAATGCTAAGGCTTAGGAGTCACCTACGTAGGACTCTTGAGAGGGCAATAATCCCCTTTCCACCTCTCGAGACCCCTCACTGCCCAACTCTGGCCTTATGCTGGATCAGGGTCCGAGGGCGCTTTGAGGCGAAGGTGGCGCTCGCCAGGTGCTCAACATTAAATACGAAGTCCCCGCCCCTAACGTGGCCTAAATTTGCTTCCAGGACAAAGCAGGATTTTAGCAAGCAAATACTCTCAGAGACCTATTTACGAAAATTATTACTTCCTAGGTAAAATAACGTTCAACCAGACAGCCATTGTCGCCATTCGACGGAAGGAAAAACTGAGGTTCCAGGAGCTTAAGGGTCTGGGCCCAGTTCAGGGGGGTTGTTTTCGCTCCTCGACGCTGAATTTAGAAACCAGAGGCTACAAAGCGGGCCGAGACTTGGGTTCCCCAGGTCCTTGGTGGGGAGGTTTCCAGGAGGCTCGGGCGCGCCCCCGTCCACGGCCCCGGAAGCTGACGTCGCCGAAGCGTACGCCGCTGCCCAGCCTGCGCTCTCTTCCTGCTCTGCCTGCAGCCGCCGCGTCCGGTCCAGCCGCAGGGCCATGCCCTGTGCTGCGGTTGCCGTGTCCCAGGCGCCGCCGCGTCAAGATCCCCGTCTTTCCCGGCCAGCCAGGCGGCAGCGGCATTCAGCTCGTGCACTGGGCTGGCAGCAGGCTGAGAAGAGGCGGCGCAGGTTCTCCGGGTCAGCCAGTGCCCTGCTCCTAAGGGTAGAGATCTAGCTGGGGACACTGGTCGTCCGCCTAGGCAGTGGTGAGAGGGTGGGCTACAGTTGTTTGGGTATTCATGAATGGAGGAGCTCAGGGTCCTAGACCCTAAAACCTGCTGAATCTTCACCCCTCCTCCGCTGGGGGTAGGGAAATTTGCACTGCATTTAAGCAATGTATAGTGGAGTGGGTGGGACATTCAGAAGAAACCACGCCCACATTTAACACCCGCGTCCTTCCCTTCTACCCCAGCCCAGCATTTTGTCTTTTTCCCCTTTGTCCAGCAGTATAACTCACGCTGCCCCTCCGGGCTGAGAGGAGTGTAGACCTCACCTGCTGAGCACAACTCTGGCGGGCCTGTGCTCTGGAGGTGGTCTCAGCACCTACCTAGACCCTCTTGATACCTGCTTTTTTAGTTGGTGGTGTGGGAAGAAAGTGTGTTTAACATGCTCCTTAAATAATGCTCTGCCGCCGAGCGCGGTGGCTCACGCCTGTAATCTCAGCACTTTGGGAGGCCGAGGTGGGCGGATCACGAGGTCAAGAGATCGAGACCATCCTGGCCAACATGGTGAAACCCCGTCTCTACTAAAAATACAAAAATTAGCCGGGCGTGGTGGCGCGCACCTGTAGTCCCAGCTACTCAGGAGGCTGAGGCAAGAGAATCGCTTGAACCCGGGAGGCGGAGGTTGCAGTGAGCCGAGATCGCCCCACTGCACTCCAGCCTGGGGACGGAGCGAGACTCCGTCTCAAAAAATAATAATAAAATAAAAAATAATGCTGTGCCACTAAGCGTTTTCTCCCTGTCCTGAGGTCTTTGGCCTATTCACAGACCATTCTGGGCAGACTCCAGCCACAAATCCACCACCCCACTTAAAATTCTCTATCCTCTCAGCACACTTAGAGGGGCATGGAAGACTCTTGCAGGGGCTGGGGCTCCTGACATGACAGCTCTGCTTAACTCTCTGACCTCCCTCATGCCACTTCTCCCTCGGTCCCTGTGCTTTCACCTTACACCTGGTCTTGAAACTCCCTGCCCCAGCCCCTTGCATGGCTGCCCGCTTCTTGTCAGTCATGTCTACATCTCAGAAAGGTCTTCCTCCCTCACCCAGTTGAAACCAGTTCCCCATCATGCATTATTCTGTTTCCCTTTCTTCATGCATTTGTTGCCATTTGAAAGCACCTTGTTCATTTCTTTGTCAATGTGTTTATTTTCGATCTTCCTCCCCCTCAGTGTACGCCCCAAGAGAGTTGAGACAACACCTGTCTTCCATGCACATGGCTTCCATGTAAATAAATGTTTGTTAAATGAAATGAGCTCAGTGTGGGCATTTCTTTTTCTTTTTGTAAAAAAATTTTATTATTATTACACTTTAAGTTTTAGGGTACATGTTCACAACGTGCAGGTTTGTTATCATTTAGCATTAGGTATATCTCTCCTAAAGCTATCCCTCCCCCCTCCCCCCACCCCACAACAGCCCCTGGTGTGTGATGTTCCCCTTCTTGTGTCCATGTGTTCTCATTGTTCAATTCCCCAGTGTGGGCATTTCTAAAGCTGCCTGGCCCTGCTTGGCTGGGTATCAGTCATGCACTGAGTCCCTCTCCCACCACACTACATCTTGATTGATACAGCTTCTCAAGTCCAAGTAAGGGTAACAGAAATGGATGCTGGGAACACAATTTCTGCTTTGTGTTGGAGGAGACAGCTTTGGAGCAGCTTTGTAGCTTTGTGCCCCTCTACAGCTTCCTGCTTCATTTAAGGTTCTGAAGCAGAGTTGAAATTCCTTCCTCCAGCTCTCCATTTCTGTGGTCATACCAGATGGAGGCCAAGGCAGCATATGGGGCTGGGTAAGAGTTCTGCGTTGAATTCTCCAGTCTGCCACATTCTGTGAGGCTTTGGGGCAGCTGCTCAACCTCTGTGTGCCACAGGTTCTTCTTCTGTAACATGGAAGTAGCTAGATCTGCTTCGTACGGTTATTATGAGGCTTAAATGTAAAGCTTTGAAATAGTGAATCAGTGCTGACTAGGCCAAAGGGTATGGTATAATTATTTGCATTTGAAATAAATATCTTAAATGGAGCAAGAAGATTTAGTAGGTATATTCCTTGAGCAGCTCTGGTTTAACCTCAGGAGGAACTAAAGGCCGCTGTCTAAAAATGAGTTTGTATATGACAGG
Organism: Homo sapiens; assembly: GCF_000001405.40. Lineage (NCBI taxonomy): Eukaryota > Metazoa > Chordata > Mammalia > Primates > Hominidae > Homo > Homo sapiens. The sequence goes on from NT_167245.2 coordinate 1,472,483, forward strand.
GTACAGGAAATGCCACCCCAAAATATGGCACCTTGGAAATTGAGAAAATAGCAGAAACAGGAAGGTTTCTCTGACCTCTTGCTCCTTTCTGCCCTGAAGCAGGCCATAGAAACTAGAGTTCCCCTCGCCCCTTCTTCCCTGAAGCAGGCCACAAAATCTAGGAAGGTCACTCTCTGACCTGCTCCCTCCTTCTCCCTCCTTCATCTGAGGCCCCTTATATAACAGGCATCCTCTCCTATGCCCTGAGGGAGGGACTGCCACACAGGTATGCCAAGAAGAAACTGAATAGACAGGCCTTTCCAACTTCTCAGTTTATCACCGTTAGCTCATACACTTTTGTCCTTGCAATCATACATCTGCCTGACTGTCTATACAACTACACAAATGTCCCCATTTCTTTGGGTTTTCGTTTCTGAAAGTTCCCATGTCATGTAAAACTTGGATAAAATAAATGTGCATGCTTTTCTCTTGTTAGTCTGTTTTTTGTTATTGAAGTCTCAGCATAAACCTTGTGATGGGTAAGGAAAATATATTAGTTTTTTTCCCCTAAGTTTAGTATAAACATATTGAGCTAAATCATACCATTCAGAATCTCAGGATTTTAAGAATACTAGAGTGCTTGGAAAGAGGCCTCCAAACAAAAAACAAACAAACAAACAAACAAAAACTTGAAAACATGAAACTCCCATTGGTAAAGATGCAAAGAATCTGTTTGAATCTTTTGTGTGAAGGATACCTTGGTATTAGGGCCAGAATGAATAAATGAATATCTGTAAAGGAAAAGGTAAAAGTTACATCAATGAAACAATTTTAAGCCAACATTTCTGTTTTCTGGTAGAGGCATAAGCTAATAAATAATTCTGTGCTACTAAAATCTGCCTGCTTTTGTGCTAAGAACTGGCTGCAGGATAAAAAATAACAGGTTTAACTGTCCTTTTTAAAAGGAAAAAAAGGCATTTTGAATGCTAATAGCATTAACTACTGGGTTTTGAACAGAAAGCGTAGGCTGAACCAATCTCTTATATGACTTGGGATGTCATTTAAAATACTTTGTATTCCAAATTTGGTGACTTTTAAATGTCTATTAGCTCAAAAGTTAGTGAAAATATATTGTATAATATATAATGACAAATTCAACTTAAAAAAAATTTTTTTTTTTTTTTTGAAACAGGGTCTCACTCTGTCACCCAGGCTAGAGTGCAATGGTGCAATCATGGCTCACTACAGCCTCGACCTCCTGAGCTAATGCAATTCTCCCACCTCAGCCTCCTGAGTAGCTGGGACAGATGTGTGCCACCATGCCCGGCTAATTTTTGTATTTTTTGTACAGACAAGGTCTGGCCATGTTGCCCAGGCTGGTCTCAAACTTCTGGACCCAAGCAATCCTCCTGCCTTGGCCTCCCAAAGTGCTGGGATTACAGGCTTGATACAACGCGCCCGGCCGACACTGTAGCATTTTCTAATAGGCCTACGTAAAAATTATCTAATTCTCTAGGGTAGTTTAACTTTGATTTAGTATTTTAGGGTATTTAGAGTACTCCTTAGGGGTAGACATTAACTTGTAGAAAAGTGATATCAATGGAAATGATTCTTGGTCAATAGCAATGTCAATGAATTTTGTTCAGTGGAGGTATAGAAGATGTATGTCCAGTGTATGTATATTCAATCTTCCAAATTCTCTTTGAACTAGTTCTTTTTTTACTAGTCTCTTGTTAGTACATCTTTGATACATGCTCACTTTTTCTTTGTATAGGATACTGTCATTGACTTTTAAAAATTATATTTTGGCAATACATTGCATTTTATTATTATGTCTCTTAATCTTATTATAACAATCTACCCTTCCCTTATTTTCATTCCATTAATTTGCTGGAGAAGCCAGTTCATTTATCCCATAGAATGTTCCCAGTACTGGATTTGGTTGATTGCTTCCTCATGGTATCAATTAACTTGTTCCTCTATTTCCTGTGTATCTTAGATAAGATTCATAAGATAATAAAGGATGCTATGTAGTCATCTCTCATTCTAAGCAATCAAACATTTTCAATATCTTTCACCATATGTCCCTAACCCAGATACTACTAGTCCGTCTCTCTCTGCTATAGAGGTAAGCATCACTCTGCATTTCTGTGATAATCATTCCTTAGCTTTTATTTTTATTTACTTAAAAGGCTTTATCAGATTTGGGGTTTTTGTTTGTTTGTTTTTGAGATGGAGTCTCGCTGTCATCCAGGCTGGAGTGCAGTGGTGCAATCTCGGGTCACTGCAACCTCTGCCTCCTGGGTTCAAGTGATTCTCCTGCCTCAGTCTCCTGAGTAGCTAAGATTACAGGTGCCCGCCGCTATGCCAGGCTAATTTTTGTATTTTTAGTAGAAACGGGGTTTCACAATGTTGGACCAGGCTGGTCTCAAACTCCTGACCTCAGGTGACTCGCCTGTTTCGGCCTCCCAAAGTGCTGGGATTGCAGGCGTAAGCCACCACTCCCGGCTGGGTTCAATTTTTTAAGGAGAATACTTCAAAAGCAGTGCTGTGTACCTATGGTATCACATTTAGAGGTATATGATCTCATCCCACTATTAGTGATGGTAGATTTGATGGAAGATTCAGGTATTGTCAGCCTGATCCCTCCATTCCCCAGTTTGTGAGTTATGGATTTACTGCCTCTCAGCTCCAAAAATGATCCTGAATCTTTTAATTATGTTTTCTTTGCCATCTGGCCCTGAAGCTTTGTCAGTAGAGGGCACTGGAGAGTCATTGCAGGGAAAAACGATTTTGCTTCCTGGTTCTGGTGTGCTGTTTGCCAGGTTCCTGCAGTGAGTGCATGGTTTAGCAGCACCTGCTCCTGCAGCACCCAAAACTTACCTAGTGTCCAGTTACTTCAGTCACAGTCAGCAACACCCAGCAGTAAGCAGCTTCCTTAGGCACCCCTCCTGAAGGGGTTTTATACTGGAGTGTCTCTGGTATGAACAGCTTTTGCCTGCACCCTAGAGAGTGGGTTTCCAGCAAGTTCTGCCATAGCAGAACCACCTTGATGTCTCTACTCTCCCTGAGAAGGCTAGATCCCATCCTCTCTTGTTTTCTCAAAAATGGACTAACCATCTATAAATATCTACTCTCCTGCTTCAGCAAATTTTTTTTACCGTTTCACTGAATTATTCTCATGAGCATACAAACATGTTATAATATATCGCTTTAAAAACCAAAACAAGACAAACTCCTTGATACCATAAGTTTTTTTGTTTTTGTTTTTGTTTTGTAGAGTTTTGCTCTTGTTACCCAGGCTGGAAAGCAATGGCACGATCTCAGCTCACTGCAACCTCCGCCTCTGGGTTTCAAGTGATTCTCCTGCTTCAGCCTCCCCAGTAGCTGGGATTGCAGGCGCCCCCCACCACCACTCCCGGCTAATTTTGTATTTTTAGTAGAGACGGGGTTTCACCATGTTGGCCAGGCTGGTCTTGAACTCCTGTCCTCAGGTGATCCACCACCCCCCTCCCCGCCCCACCCCGGCCTCCCAAAGTGCTGGGATTACAGGCGTGAGCCACTGCGCCTGGCCAGTAACATAAGTTTTTAAAAGGTTTTTGCTTCAGGTACTCTCCTATTTTCCTGCTCCACATTTACAGCAAAATTAGAAAATATTGTCTGTACCTGCCCTCTGTTTCCTTTTCTCTCCTTCTTTAATCAAAAACTGTGAAATATATATTCAAAAGTGTACATATAATCCATATACACATTTTAAAGTATTGATGAGATAATAAAGGATGTTATGTAATCATCGGTCACTCTAAGCAATCGAATATTTCCAATATCTTTTATTACGTGCTCCTAACCAATAGATCACTCTCCCTCTCTCTTTGCTAGAGCTGCATTTTTTTGTGATAATCATTCCCTAGCTTTTATTTTTATTTTTATTTTTTGAGACAGAATCTCGCTCTGTCACCCAGGCTGGAGTGCAGTGGCGCAATCTCGGCTCACTGCAACCTCCGCCTCCTGGGTTCAAGCGATTCTCCTGCCTCAGCCTCCTGAGTAGCTGGGACTACAGGCACGTGCCACCACTCCCAGCAAATTTTTTTGTATTTTTAGTAGAGACAGGGTTTCACCGTGTTAGCCAGGATGGTCTCAATCTCCTGACTTCGTGATCCGCCCCATCAGCCTCCCAAAGTGCTGGGATTACAGGCGTGAGCCACCGCACCCAGCTTTTATTTTTATTTTTAAGAGATTAGGTTTCAGTCAGTCATCCAGGCTGGAGTGCAGTGGCACAATTATAGCTCACTGCAGCATGTGAACTCCCGAGCCCAAGGGATCTTCCCACCTCAGCTACAGGCTCATACCACCACACCTAGTGAGCTTTTCTTTTCGTTTGGTTTCACTTCTTTTTCTTTCCTTTTTTCTTTTTTTTTTTTTTTTTGAGACAGAATTCCGCTCTTGTCACCCAGGCTGGAGTGCAATGGCGTGATCTCTGCTCACTGTAGCCTCCGTCTTCCAGGTTCAAACAATTCTCCTGCCTCAGCCTCCCAAGGTAGCTGGGATTACAGGTGCCCGCCACCACGCCCAGCTAATATTTTTGTATTTTTAGTTGAGACGGGGTTTCACCATGTTGGCCAGGCTAGTCTTGAACTCCTGACCTCAGGTGATCCACTTACCTCAGCCTCCCAAAGTGCTGGTATTACAGGTGTGAGCCACCGCGCCCGGTCCCAGTGAACTTTTCTTCTTATTATTATTTTTGTAGAGATGGTGTCTAGCTATGTCGCCCAGGCTTGTCTCAAACTCCTGGCCTCAAGCAATCCTACTGCCTCAACCTCCCATAGTTCTAGGATTAAAGACAAGCCACCACACCGGCCATCCTAGCTTTTCTTTTTATTTATTTATTTATTTATTTATTTTTTATTTTTTAGTGTTTATTGATCATTCTTGGGTGTTTCTCGGAAAGGGGGATGTGGCAGGGTCATAGGATAATAGTGGAGAGAAGGTCAGCAGATAAACACGTGAACAAAGGTCTCTGGCTTTCCTAGGCAGAGGTCCCTGCAGCCTTCCACAGTGTTTGTGTCCCTGGGTACTTGAGATTAGGGAGTGGTGATGACTCTTAACGAGCATGCTGCCTTCAAGCATCTGTTTAACAGCACATCTTGCACCGACCTTAATCCATTTAACCCTGAGTGGACACAGCACATGTTTCAGAGAGCGCGGGGCCGGGGGTAAGGTTATAGATTAACAGCATCCCAAGGCAGAAGAATTTTTCTCAGTACAGAACAAAATGGAGTCTCCTGTGTCTACTTCTTTCTACACAGACATAGTAACAATCTGATCTCTCTTTCTTTTCCCCACATTTCCCCCTTTTCTTTTCCACAAAACTGCCATTGTCATCATGGCCCATTCTCGATGGTCGCTGTCTCTTCGGAGCTGTTGGGTACACCTCCCAGACGGGGCAGCCGGGCAGAGGCGCTCCTCACTTCCCAGACGGGGCGGGTGGGCAGAGGTGCTCCTCACATCCCAGACGATGGGCGGCCAGGCAGAGATGCTCCTCACTTCCCAGACGGGGCAGCTGCCAGGCAGAGGCGCTCCTCACTTCTCAGATGGGGCGGCTGGGCAGAGGCGCTCCTCAGTTCCCAGACGGAGTGGCGGCCGGGCAGAGGCGCTCCTCACATCCCAGACGGGGCGGCCGGGCAGAGGAGCTCCCCACTTCCTAGATGGGGTGGCAGCCAGGCAGAGGCTGTAATCTTAGCACTTTCGGAGGCCAAGGCAGGCGGCTGGGAGGTGGAGGTTGTAGCGAGCTGAGATCATGCCACTGCACTCCAGCCTGGGCAACATTGAGCACTGAGTGAGCGAGACTCCGTCTGCAATCCCAGCACCTCGGGAGGCCAAGGCGGGCAGATCACTCGAGGTCAAGAGCTGGAGACCAGCCCGGTCAACACGGTGAAACTCCGTCTCCACCAAAAATACAAAAACCAGTCAGGCATTGCAGCGCATGCCTGCAATCCCAGGCACTCGGCAGGTCAAGGCAGGAGAATCACGGGAGCCCAAGGCAGGGAGGTTGCAGCAAGCTGAGATCATGGCAGTACAGTCCAGCCTCTGCAACAGAGGGAGATCCAAGGGAAAGGGGGAGAGGGAGAGGGAGAGGCCAAGGCCTAGCTTTTCTTTATACTTCCTTGATACATGTATGTATCCCTAAACAGGATATTGTCTAGTTTTGCCTATTTTTAAACTTTGTATACGTGGAATTGTAATGTATGTGTTCTTCTGTGACTTGTCTTTATTTCTGAGATTCACCATCTTGATGCATATAGCTTTGGCTTGTTCATTTTCACTGCTGTGTGGTATTCCAAATTTGAAAGTCCCATGTTTTTTTCTTCTCCATTTTACTATTCTTAGAACTTGGTTTGTCTTCATAGTTTTGCTGTTATGACCAATGATGCTATGAACATTCTCATACATGTACCCTGGCACATACCTGCAAGACTTTTTAGAATATGTAACTAGTAATGAAATTTCTGAGTCTTAGAATGTGGTTGCAGTATATATAGTGTTACTTTGTGAGGGGAGACTATTTCCCAGGGGTTGTATAATCTACATTCCCTTTAGTGGCAGATGAAATTCCCATTAAACCACATCTGCAACTTCACTTGGAATTGTCAGACTTTTGACTTTTTGCCATTTTGATGTGTGTGAAATGTTATCGCATTTGGTTTTAATGTGCATTTTCCTAATTATTAATGAAGCTGAGCATTTTTCTTTTCTTTCTTTTTTCCTTTTTTTTTTTTTGGCCAGTTGTATTTCTCTTTCTGTATAGTGTCTTTTATGTTTTTTATACTTTCTTCTATTGGCTATTTTTAGTTTTCTTTTGGATTTGTTACCAAAATGCCAAGGGTTTGGTCTAGGTTGCTCACTGCACAGTAAGCCAATCACTGAGACAACAAGTATTGTGAGGGAAGAAGGCTTTATTCAGGTGTTGCAACCGAGGAGATTGGAGATCAGTCTTAACTCTGTCTCCTCTTTTCAACAGATTAAAATTAAGGGTTTATAGAGCAGGGAAGAAAGGTAACTACATATGGGAAAACAGGAATTAGGGAGGGGTAAGGAAGAGGAGTTGGTCAACAGGCAGCCTGGGGTCAGTTAGGCAGTCATGAAGGGTGAGGGGTCTGGTGTCTTAGCAGATGCAGTGAAAGGTAAGTTTCAGTTTCCTGATACTACCAGGGAGCCCTGATCATCAATTTCCTGAGAAAGGAACTCAGATAAGACAAATGTAAGTTTCTCAAGTTTTAAGACTTGTAGGGTAAATTTCTATGTTTATTAAAAGAAAAAAAACATAATCAGTCCTATGGGACAAATGGGTTGGTTTCAGATTTATGGGAAATATTTGTTTTTTGTATATTCTGGACACTAATTCCTTGTTGGTTATATGTGTTACAAACATCTTCTTGGAGTTTCTGGCTTGTTGTTTCTCTCTATGTCATCTTTTGAGAAGAGAGAAGCATTTGTTTTTTCATTCTAAAGTAGCTAAACGTATCAATCTTTATGTTTTGGACTCTTGGTCTAGTTTAATAAGTCCTACCTTGTCTTGAGATTACAAAGATAATCTATATTATTGACTAAATATTTTTCAGTTTAGCTGCTATAGACTGAATGCTTGTGTCCCTCCTAAAATTCACATGTTAAAACCTAATCCTCAGTGTGATGGTATTTGGAGGTGGGGCCTTTGGGAGGTGATTAGGTCATGAGATCAGAGCACTACTGAATGGGATTTGTGCCCTTATGACAGAGACCCCAAAGAGCTCCCTTGTCTCTTCCACCATGTGAAGACACAATGAGAAGTTAGCAGTCTGCAACCCAGAAGAGAACATTCATCTGAAACTGACTGTGCACCCTGAGCTCAGACTTCCCCTACCTCTAGAACTATGAGAAATAAGTGGTTGTTATTTAAGCCACCCAGTCTATGGTATTTTTGTCATAGAGGCCTGAACAACTGAGACATTTGCCTTTCATATGTAAATCTTTATATATCTGGAATTAATTTTTGTGTTTAGAGCAAAATATATATTTGTTTCCCCTTTTTTCCATATGGTTAACTAATTATCTCAGTGTGATCTAATGCACAGCCTCTAATTTTCCCCACTGTTTTACACTGCAAGCTCTGTCATATGTTATATATCCATCCATGCCTTCACCAATACTCATTGAGCATCTACTTTATGCTAAGTGCTCTTCTGGGTCCTGGGAATAAAGCAGTGACAAAACAGACAAAAATCCCAGTGGAGCTTGTGTTCTGTTGGAGGAAGGCAAACCACGAACAAAGTAATAAAAAATTTGTAATACTCCGGATGCAGTGGCTCACACTTGTAATCCCAGCACTTTGGGAGGCCGAGGCGGGTGGATCACGAGGTCAGGAGATCAAGACCATCCTGGCTAACATGGTGAAACCCTGTCTCTACTAAAAATACAAAAAATTGGCTGAGCGTGGTGGCACACACTTGTAGTCCCAGGTACTTGGGAGGCTGAGGCAGGAGAATCGCTTGAACCTGGGAGGCAGAGGTTGCAGTGAGCCAAGATCCTGCCACTGCACTCCAGCCTGGGCGACAGAGCAAGATTCAGTCTCAAAAAAAAAAAAAATTTGTAATATTAGATGGTGGTAGGTACTATGAATTAACACAAACCAAGAAGGGGAACAGGGAGTGGGGAGAAAATATTACAATTTTAAATAGGGAGGTTAGAGAAGTCCTTACAGAGAAAGTGATATTTCAGCAAATGCCTGAAAGAGGTTAGAGAGCCAGCTTTGAGAATATCTGAGAGAAATGTGTTCTAGGCAACGGGAAGAGTCTGCACAAAGGCCTTGAGGCAGAAGCATGCCTAGCAAGTATAAGGAGCAGTAGGGATGCCAGTGTGTCTGGACCAGAGTGAAGGAGGGGTGAAGTGCAGGACATGAGGTCATCAGGTGAAGTGCAGGACATTAGCTCAACAGAAGTGAGCGGGTCCAGGCTGGGTAGGACCATGTGGCCCATTCTAAGGACTTTGATTCTACTTTGAGTGAGATGGATGGCACTAAAAGGACAAAGGACTGATAGGCTCTGACTATAGGCTTTAACTCATGTTTTAATTTCTCTGGCTCCTCTGTTGAAAATAGAACCAAGGAAACAAGAATGGAGGTAGCAACATCTGTCAGAAGGCCATTGAAATAAACTAGGCAAGTGATGATGGGGGTTGTGGGAAATAGTCAAGTTCAGAATACATTTGAAGATAGAATTAACACAATTAGGTATGGTGTGATAGGAACAATAGAGACAAGGATTATGCCCAGGTGTTTGGCTTAAGCAACTGGAAGGATGCTGAGATGGGAAAGACTTGATAGAGGGTAGGGGCGTGGGCAGGGACAGACCAGGGGAGAGGATTTGGATCTGATTTTGGATATGCTAATTTTGAGATGTCTATTAGACATGCAAAATGTAGACCAGACTCTCGACTCATTTAAACTACTATTAGTGGCTAGCCTTTTCTCTTACCTTCCAGATTTCTGGGCAACACTCCACTCTTCCTGATGCACACTCTTGCGTTGCAGCCTGGGACTCTACATTTCAAGCAAGATATTCTTACACATAACAAAGCTTGAAAAGCATTGCTTTAAGCTTTCCTTTGTCTCTCCAAGTACCTCCAAATGTGTATTTAATGCTTTTATAATCAGAAAAGTGTTACAAAATCAAATACCCAAAAAAAATTCCCTATTTTCACAGCATACCATACAACTACTTTCTACAGAGTTTCCAACATTTTGCAGTAAAATCATTGTTCACAATTTTTTTGGGTCACAGTTTTTGGCAAATGAAGCATGGTATAGGATGCCTGGGACTGTGGAGTTTCCCAGGACACAGGACTTTCCACGCAAAACCAGAAAGGTTCCGGACAAACCAAGAAGAGTTCTTCACCCCAGACGTGTGAAACCAGTGGCAAAGTGCCTGCTTTAGGGAAGGCAGCATGGGACAGTGAATCAGAGTGGACACTGAACCTGGGTCCATTTGTGGAAGGTGGTCCTGTTACAGGAAAGAGGTCCCAATCCAGACCCCAAGAGAGGGTTCTTGGATCTCGTGCAAGAAAGAATTCAGGGCAAGTCTGCTGGAGTGCACAGCAAAAGCAAGTTCAGTGGTGAAAGAAGAGCTAACCCATAGACAGAGTAGGGCATTCCAGAAAGTAAGAGGAGGAACGCGTCCACCCTAGGTACAATGCTTATATATATATCTTTATATATATATCATATATATATATGATAAAAGAAGATCATGGGAAGATGTGCTCTGCTACAAGAGTTTGTGATAAAGGATTAATTTCCTTAATTACTATGTTTTGCAAGAATCAATATTATTATCTTTAAAGCAAAATTAGAAGTGCCTTTGTTCTCCAGGTGTCAGGATTATCTGGACATTGCTAAATCTGGGTCAGTTTAGTAAACTTTTTTTTTTTTTGAGACAGAGTCTCCCTCTGTTGCCCAGGCCAGAGTGCAATGGCACAATCTTGGCTCACTGCAACCTCCGCCTCCTGGGTTCAAGCGATTCTTCTGCCTCCATTTCCCGAGTAGTCGGGACAGGCACATGTCACCACACCCAGCTAATTTTTGTATTTTTAGTAGAGACGGGTTTCACAATATTGGCCAGGCAGGTCTCGAACTCCTGACCTTGTGATCCACCCACCTCGGCCTCCTGAAGTGCTGGGATTACAGGTGTGAGCCACCTTTCCTGGCCTAGTAAATATTATTAATCTATTCCCTTAACCATAAATGTCTAGAGGCTAGGAATACCTATATTTCTGGAAATGCACCCCGCCAAGTTGCAGCCTCATTTTCCTAGCTCTCACTCAAAATGGCGTCGCTCTGGTTGGAATGCCTCTGACAGTCTTTATGAATGATAAAAGAGTGTAGTCAATCATAAAGCTCTGACTCACTCCCAGTTTGCCCTTTCCTTCCTAGAGAATGTCTTTCAGGCTCTTCCTCCCCTCAGAAGCTTTCAACATCCACTCCATTCCCCTAAACTGGGGACCGAGGACATTGCAGCTTCTTTGGTGCTTCTAGGGACCAGAACATAGCTTCTTTTAGTTATGGATTAGGTTTTTATTGCTGCTGTAACAAATTACCACAAACTTAGCTGTTTAAACAACACGAATGTATTCTCTTACACTTCTGCAATGTCGTTGGTGGGCCAGATTCAGATTCTGGGCCACACAAAAGAATTTGAGAGTGAGTCCAAAATAAGACTAGGCAAAGGAGTTTATTGCAAAGTGAAAGTACACTCTGAGAGGCAGAGTGGGCTGCTCAAAGCTAGCTCAAAGCTAGAGGCAGTAGTTAGTGCCTTAAGGGGAATTTCCTTTGTGGAAACTGTACATACATATTAATAAAATACTGGTGAGATCAAGTAAGCAAAGGCAGACCTGTGGTTAGCACATGAGCTACTTGGTCTAACACGCATCCCATGTATCATTAGCGTATAAAATCCCCACGTGGTGGTGTGTTTTTTGCTATTACAATGAGGAAAAGGTCACCATAAGCTAAACCTTGAGCCTAGCTGTGTATGCAAGACCCTGGAGAATTTCCCAGTCACACCTCCACCCACCCCAACCAAGGCAGGAATTTGTAGCTAATAGCTTCTTGGGCTTTTGGTGCTGATTGGCTGGAGATGGGTAGCTACATCATGAACAAAGGGCTTTCGTTCTCTTTCCCAGGCTGTATAGGGTATCAAGAACTTGTAACCACCTGGCAGAATCCTGCAGGACTGCTTGTCTTGCAAAAGACTTCAGTGCTGATGCAGGAGGGTGCAAGTGAAAAGAATTCACTGTAAAAGGAGCCGTGGGGCTTCACACATGGGACAAGTTAGTATGGCCTCCTAACCTTACTTATCTTGCCTCAGTAGGTCAGAGGTCTGAAACAAGTCTCAATGGGCTAAAATCAAGTTGTCAGTGTGGTTGCATCTCTTTTTGAAGGCTTTAGGGGAAAATTTGTTTCTGTTCATTCTGGTTGCTTGCAGAACTCAATTCCTTGTAGTTGGAGGACTAGGTTCCTGTCTTTTTACTGGCTTTAAACAGAGCTGTTAACAGCTCAAAGGGCTGTAGAATTCCTTGGCTCATAGCCTCTTTTCTCTGTATTCAAATCCAACAACAGTTGGTTATGTCCATCTCATGTCCTATCTCTCTGAGCTACATTCTGCTTCTTCTTCTTTCCACTTTTATTAAAGATTGGTGTGATTAGATTGGACCTCATACGGCCTAATAACCTCCCTTTTTACAAAGTCAACTGATTAGCAACCTTAATTCTCTTTTGCCATATAACATAATATAGTCAGGTTCTAGGGATTAGGACATGGACATCTTGGGGATAGGGACATTCTTCTGCCTTCTACAAGTTATATGGGATATATTGAACCTCTAATATGTGCCAGGTGCTATCATAGGTTCTGGTGATACAGTAATGAACCAAACAAAGGCCCCAACCTTCATGAGTTTATGTCTCAGTGAAATCCCATATGCAATACTATGAATGTATCTCTTTATTTTTTAGTACACCTTAAAAATAGCTTTATTGAGTCCAACTGATATTCAATAAACTGCACATATTTATGTTTTTCGTGCTCTCTCAAGATGTGGAACAAAAAAATAGCACACATATTTTTGTACCTGCCTGGTAAAAATTCCCAAAGCTTTGCTTAATTCTATTCAGGTTGTTGAACAAAATTTACATTAGCAACAAATACCAGGGAATGAAAATAATGCACTTTTGTTGATAAAGTAACAGATTTTGCCTGGTTGTCTTTGGAGCCGTCATGCTCTGTGTGTGTTTCTGCTTCCAGATTTCTTTTTTTTTCTCTCCAACTTTTATTTTAGGTTCAGGGGTACATATGCAGGTTTGTTACATGAATAAATTGTGTGTCACAGGGGTTTGTTGTACAGATTATTTCATCACCCAGGTAATAAGCGTAGTACCTGATGGGTAGTTTTTTGATCCTCACCCTCCTTCCACCCTCCATCCTCAAATAGACCTCAATGTCTATTGTTCCCTTCTTGGTGTCCTTGTATACTCAATGTTTAGCTCCCACTTATAAGTGAGAACATGTGATGTTTGGTTTTCTGTTCCTACATTAATTTACTTAGGATAATGGCCCTCCAGTTCCATCCATATTGCTGCAAAGGACACTATCTCATTCTTTTTTATGGCTGCATAGTATTCCATGGTGTATATGTACTACATTTTCTTTATTCAGTCTACAGTTGATGGGCAGTTAAGTTGGTTCCACGTCTTCACTATCGTAACTAGTAAACTGCATGTATTTAAAGTATATAATCTGATGAGTTTTGACATAGGAATCCACCTGTGAAATCATCACCACAATTAAAATAATGAATATATCTGTCACCCCCCATAGCTTTTCCCTGCTCCTTTGAATTCAACCCATCCTATAATCCATCCCCAGGCAAATACTGGTCTGCTTTCTGTCACTATAGGTTGGCTTCCTTTTTTAGAATTTTACATAAATGAACTCATAATATGTACTCTATTTTTGTCTAGATTCTTTCATCCAGCATAATTATTTTGTGATTAATCTATGTTGTTGAGTGTATAAATAGTCCATTCCTTTTTATTGCCATATAGTAGTTTATTGTATGGATGTACTACAATGTGTCTATTCATTCAAATGTTGATGGAAATTTAGATTGTTTCCAGTGTTGCCTGCTTCTTGTTGCATTTAGCAAAATATTATAAGAAAGTGCAAACTCAGGCAAGAAATGACCAGATTGCAAGCAGAGATTGAAGGAAATAGAGTCCAGAGATGTGAGTCTTTACAAGATTGAGAAATGCTTTTATATTTCAGATAACAGGAAATATGGCTTTAGTTGCTTGTGTTAGGCCAAATAATGACTGTCCCCCCACCAAAATGTCCACATTCTAGTCCCCAGAATCTGTGAATATGTTACCGTACATGGCAAAAGGGACTTTGCAAATGCAATTAAGGACCTTGAGATGAGGAGATCATCCTGAATTATTCCAGTGGGCCCAATTTAATCACATGAGTCATTAAAAGCAGAAGATCTTTCCCAGCTGCAGTAAGAGAGAGACATGTGATGATGGGACAAAGGGTCAGAGAGATGTGTTATATTGCTGATTTTGAAGGTGGAGAAACAGGGCCATAAGCCAAAGAATGCCAGCAACCTCTAGAAGCTGAAAAAGGCAAGAACACAGATTCTCCCTGTGAGCCTCTAGAAGTAATGTGGTCCTACTGATACCTTGATTTTAGCTTAGCGAAACTAGTGTTGGTTTTCTGACTTACAGAACTGTAAGATCATAAATTTCTATTATAAATATATAATATATATTATATTATCATAAATTTATATTTATAGATTATACATTTATATTTAAGCAACTAAGTTTGTGGTAATTTGTTAAATCAGTGATAAAAAACTAATACCTTCCTCTAAGCTTTTCCCAAAGGCCTTGTATTAAGGCAAACAGAAGGACAGACGCCTAAGGAAACAATTAGATTAAAGGAGTTTTCTTCCCACTCAAAGTTGTTACCATTAAATTAAGAGTGACATGAGTCATTCAACAGAGCTTAGAACAAAAGATTTCAGAATCAGACCTAGAAAAGAACTTTGGTTGTGGTCATTGATGCATGAAACAAATAAACAAGAAGCCCTTTTAGTTTTTGAAGAAATTGTATTCCCAAGGAAGCCATAAAGCCTAACATAAAAAAGCCTGTGGTTAAGCTTAAAATAACTCATAGGCCCTCAAATTGCAACCACAGAAGTCAGGCTGCAAAATCTGTACGGGGCAATCCTAAGAAATGAGTACTCCTCACTTCTTCTTATATTGGCTATGGTAGATAATGGAGAAGAAAGAATCTTCCAGAAAGCAAAGCCAGTGGTCAGGATGACAAACAAAGGAGTTCCTCCCACAGAGAGGACCAGTGATAGTCAGATGGACTAAGCTTGGAACTTACTCCATTGAGAGGGCAAGGATAATTTAGGATTCCTACCCAGTAAGATTTAATCATTGCTGTGGGCCAATGATTGTGTGTTTCTGTTTTTTAAATAAGAGTTTCTTTTGCCATTATCCTGTTCTCACTTCACCATTGTATATTATCTGTGTTTACGTGGTAGAGGGTGATAATTTAGATTTTATTACTTTATGGGTCACTGGGCCATGAGGACTCAAGTGTATATCCAATAGAAAACTGCATGTCACCTAAAGATCCTGGATTTTGAGCTGGATGTCATAACTGGATGAGATATTTCCCTAGGGGGTGAGGTGAGTTTTTTCTAAATGTGAAAAGTAGAGTATATGTGGATTATTGGTGACCATTGCTGGTCTGTGTAATGACTTCTAACTGACCACAAAATCCATTTTCCTTCTCTCAAACAAATAAAGTATAGCTGAGACCTGGCCGGACCACATTTCCTAGCCCTCTTTGCAGTTAGATGTAGCCATGTGACTAGGGTCTTGACAAAGGAATATAAGTTGTGATAAATGAAACAGTCACCTCACAGATTAAAGAGACCTTGAACTTCAGCCCTTCTTGAAACCCTTCATCATTGGTTGAAGCAAATTGATCTTGTAATCACATGTTGAAGATAGAAGAACTTCTAATAGCATGCATCCCTAAGTGACTTCATAGAGTACAACCACTCACCATCTTGATAAACCTACCCAGGACTGTTGAGATGGAAATAAACTATTTTGTTTGAGTCATCTCATTTACAGTTTTCTCCATTATTACAGTTTTGTTTTCTACCCTAACATGCAGAATAAAATAGCTATAGGAAGAAGTAAATAGTTTTCATGTATCCAAATCAACATTTAGGTAGAAGATATAACAGAAGAAAAGATACTATTTATAATATCAACAAAAAGATAAAATACTCTGGAATGAACTTACTTTGAAATGTGTGATACCTATATGTAACAAACACTTAAATACTTTAAAAACCTGAAATATTTCTCGAATACATACATTGATCATCATAAAGTTATCATCCCTCCGGGCTAATCTTAATTTAACTTGTAAAAAATAAAAATACCAGAGGTGTTCTTTTTTTTTTTTTGAGACAGAGTTTCACTCTTGTTGCCCAGGCTGGAGAGCAACGGCACAATCTCAGCTCACTGCAACCTCTGTCTCCCGGGCTCAAGCGATTCTCCTGCCTCAGCCTCCTGAGTAGCTGCGATTACAGGCACACACCACCACCCCAGCTATTTTTTGTATTTTAGTAGAGATGGGGTTTCACCATGTTGACCAAGCTGGTCTCGAATTCATGACCTCAGGTGTTCCTCCCTCCTCAGCCTCCCAAAGTGTTGGGATTACAGGCGTGAGCCACCGTGCCCAGCCAGGTGTTCTTTTTAACTAGATAAACTGATTCAAAGATTCATATGAAAAATAAAGAAAGAATACCAACTAAACCTCAGACAAGGGGAGCTTGAGAAAAACTGGCTTTGCCAAATATGAAAACATTCTAAAGCCTCAATAACGAAAAGAATGTGATGTTGGTACATAAACAGACAGATCAATGAAAAATAAAAGGAAATCTAGAAATAGACCCAAGCATACAGTAATTTAGTGGATGATAAAAATGGGATCTCAGATCAGTGGAAAAGATAGATGACCATTCAATAAATGCTTTTGAGATAACTGGATAACTACATGGGAAATAATATTTAAAGTTGGGCACAATTCCAACTGTATAGCATGATAAACTCCAAATGGGTCAAAGTTTTCAATGAAAAAAAGGAAATATTCCTTTCTAACTTTGGAGGAGGGCTATCTAACTGTAACTCCAAATCGTAAAAGCCATAGGACAGAAAATTAATAAACTGAACTACATAAAATAAAAAGCAGTTCCGAGTAGCAGAAAATATCATAAAAAATCAAAAGACAAATGAAAAACTTATAGAAATATTTTCATGCATATCACATCCAAAGAAATGACCTCTTTAGCAATTAAAATGCACCTTAAAATTGAGAAGAAAGAGACTAGCAATCTCTGAAAGAAAAAGTAAAAAGAATTTTAACAGACAATTGTTGTTGAAATTCTGTCTGCTGAAATCCTTTTTCCTTTTTTCTGTCTCGGGAACTGTGAAGAAACTCAGAAAAGGAAACAAAAATAGTTATTAAACACATGAAAAAACACTTAACCTTGCTTTTACCAGAGGAAGAAGAAAAACTACAGGAGATATCATGTCTTTCCTGTCAGATTGGCAAAAAGTTAAAAGTTTGGCAACACCCTCTGTTGACAAGGCTATGGAGAAACAAGCACTTTGATTTATTGGTTATAGGAGTCCAGTTTGGGACAAACCTTTTGGAGGACAATTAGGCAATCAATACCTTTCAAAATTGTTTGTGAATACAGCCTTAAACCTTTCAATTTCATTTTTTGAAACTCATTCTACAGATATAATTATACACATGCAAAAATATTATGTACAAGTTTATTCAATACTGCTTGCCTTAACAAAAGATTGGAAAAATTCATGCACCTATCAATTTGAGACTAACTAAACACTCACACACACACGAACAATGGAATATTATGCAATGAAAATCTAATCACAACGCAGGAGGTCTCTGTGTGCTTTTGGTAAGATCTCCAAGATATATTGTGAAGTGAGAGAATGAGGTGAAGAACGTTGTATAACAGGCTACCTCTGTGTCAAAAAAAGAGGGAATGAAGAGTCATTATTATATTATCATGAAAAAATTGGAAGATACACAGGTAATTAACAAAAGAGATTACCTCTTTGGGGTAAGGTGTAAACTGGACAGATTGTGGACAGGATTCTGAGTGAGATCCTTCACTGTTCAGTCTCCTTTGCATCAGTAAGTGTCTCTTAAAGTAAATGGACAAGTAGAGGAATGGTGTCAGCATAATGTGGAAGCTGCATTGTGTAATATACAATTTCCCCCATATGTTAATGTTCTGCACTGAGTAATAGCAGCTGTACCAAAATAGCAGCCAAGTCCCAAACACGATTTAAGGGAGCAAGCTATGAATACAATGCTGTGCACAATGCCGTTGACTCCTTCTCCACTTTACTCATTTTAGCTACATTCTCTATCCTGAAGTGCTTACTAAGTAGTTCCCCCAATTTTCATGCACTTTTTCTGAACTATTTTGAGAATGGGAATATTAAGATGTTGCCACAGTTCCATAACAACTTGTTGCTGAGATGCCCCTTAAGAGTGGGGAAGAAAAATCCATTAGACTTTAGAATAATTCCACAAGAGCTTTCTTTTTCTACTTTAGGTGTGATTGACATGCATTTGTAGATGTGTTAGTGCAGATTGCACTTCATGGCACAAGGTCCTATTTGGAGCCATAACAGCAGCTTCTTAATGAAAGAAGGAAGGTGGCAATACAGAAAAAAAAAAATCAGGTGTTTTTTTTTAAGCAGGTGCAAAACAAACAAGCAGAAAATAACCATCCAGAGCTACCCATCTTTGTCATCTACATTTTGTGCAAAGCTTCAACTGCTTATCCTCTATAGCTTCTCATGGTGATGTCCCTCCACCTTGTCTCCATAAAGCAGCAGCTTCCATCTTTCCTTATCCCCTTGTATCTTTAGTTCCCCCTTTATTTATTTTATTTTATTTTTTCATTCTTTTAATTGTTATTTTTTTTGAGATGGAGGCTCGCTCTGTCGCCCAGGCTGGAGTGCAGTCGTGCAATCTCGGCTCACTCCAACCTCCGCCTCCCGGGTTCAAGCCATCCTCCTGCCTCAGCCTCCTGGGTAGCTGGGACTACAGGCACGTGCCACCATGCCTGGCTAATTTTTTGTATTTTTAGTAGAGACGGGGTTTTGCCGTCTTAGGCAGGATGGTCTTGATCTCCTGATATCGTGATCCACCCACCTCGGCCTCCCAAAGTGCTGGGATTACAGGCATGAGACACTGCACCTGGCCTCCTTTTTTAAATTTTTTTTGAGATGGAGTCTTGCTCTGTCACCAGGCTGGAGTGCAGTGGTGAGATCTCGGCTCACTGCAACCTCTGCCTCCCAGGTTCAAGCGATTCTCTTGCCTCAGTCTCCCGAGCAGCTGGGACTACCGGCGCGCACCACCATGCCCAGCTAATTTTTGTATTTTTAGTAGAGATGGGGGTTTCACCATCTTGGCCAGGATGGTCTCGATCTCTGGACATAGTGATCTGCCCACCTCGGCCTCCCAAAGTGCTGGGATTACAGGCATGAGCCACCCCTCAGCCTAGCTCCCCCTTTAAAAAGTCTTTCATCTATTTAGAGTTTAACAAGTCTTTTTTTTTTCTCTTTAAAAACTATGCTAGTATTTTTATTCGAATTGTTATTGCTTTGTTAGTGTTATGAGTATGAAGATGAATAGATTTTGAGTTGCCTATCAAAACTCTGTTTTTCCTACAAACACTTGTTTTTTTGTGAACATTTCCATATGAATTCAAGGACCTGCTTTTCCATATCTGTTTAAAAGGCTGTTGAAATTTTGATAGAGATTAATTGAGTCTGTAGATCACTTTGGATATTATTGACAACTTAACAATTTTAAGTCTTTCTACCCATCAACACAAGATGTCTTTCCATTTATTTAGATCTTCAATTTCAGCAATTTTTTATAGTTTTCAGTGTACATTCTCACTTGAGTGTACATCCTCACTTCTCCCTCTCCTTCTCGGTCTCTGGTAACCGCTATTCTCCTCTTCCCTTCTATGAGATCAGCTTTTGCAGTTCCACATATGAGTGAAATCATGTGCCATTTGTTCTTCATTGCTTGGCTTACTTAATATAATGTCCTCTTGGTTCATTCATGTTGTTACAAATGACAGAATTTCATTCTTTTTATGGCTGAAAAGTATTCCATTGTGTACATACGCCACATTTTTAAAAATCTATTCATTCTTTGATGGCCACTTTGGTTAATTTCATATCTTGGCTATTGTGAATAGCGCTGCAGTGAACATGGGAGTGCATGTATCTCTTTGACGTACCAATTTCATTTCCTTTGGATATATATCCATTAGTGAGATTGATGGATCATATAGTAGTTCTACTTTTAATTTTTTGAGAAGCCTCCTTACTGTTGTCTGTAATGGCTTGGATAATGGGGTGGCTATTGGTACGTGTTCCTGAGGAATAGGAAGAATGAGAGAGATAGTGGATTTGGATGTGTGAGTTTAAGGTGCAAGATTCAAGTGGTGGTTCAGTAGGCCTTGGTAGCTCCCCAGAGTTTGCATCTGTAGGTAGAGGTCACTGTTAGTGATAAAGTTGTGGTTTGATTTGTTTTTCAAAATGTAGGTGATACCTACTGTCATGAAACCAATTTTGCAGGTTATAACCAGCATTTTTAAAACGGACTGTAATTTAAAAATCAGAATATATTACAAATAATAAAGAAAAATGGTACCCAACAAAATGTGTGTGTGTGTGTGTCTGTGTGTGCATATGCATGTATATTAGACTGGGACATGAGTGACTTTTTTACTGTGATGTTTCAAAACATGTTTGAAAAAAATTAGTTTAAACCATGATGAAGAGATTTCTCAGGCAGTGTATGAATAACAGACCTGTGGATGAACCTAGTGCATTCTTTTCTTTTCTCTTCTTTTGTGACGGAGTCTGGCTCTGTCGCCCAGGCTGGAGTGCAGTGGCACAATCTCGGCTCACTGCAAGCTCCGCCCCCCGGGTTCACGCCATTCTCCTGCCTCAGCCTCCCGACTACCTGGGACTACAGGCGCCCGCCATCACGCCCGGCTAATTTTTGTATTTTTAGTAGAGACGGGGTTTCACCGTGTTAGCCAGGATGGTCTCGACCTCCTGACTTTGTGATCCGCCCGCCTTGGCCTCCCAAAGTGCTGGGATTACAGGCGTGAGCCACCGCGCCCGGCCAAAACCTAGTGGTTTCTAATATGTAGCTCTCATGTTTTCAGATGAGTTTTAAGATACAGGCCCAAATTTTGTTAGTTCTTATTCTCTACTTTTGAATTATTTACAGGAAATATATTTTACTGAGCTGATCTACTGAGAGGTGGGCACAAATCCTTTAGACTTTATTGAAAAATTAGTTGTCCAAAATCTTCTAGGATACTCCCACTTAATTACATATATGAGGCCGGGCGCGGTGGCTCACACCGGTAATCCCAGCACTTTGGGAGGCCAAGGCGGGCAGATCACGAGATCAGGAGATCGAAACCATCCTGGCTAACACGGTGAAACCCCGTCTCTACTCAAAACACAACAAATTAGCCGGACAAGGTGGCCGGCGCCTGTAGTCCCACCTACCTGGGAGGCTGAGGAAGGAGAATGGCGTGAACCCGGGAGGTGGAGCTTGCAGTGAGCCGAGATAGTGCCACTGCACTCCAGCCTGGGCGACAGAACGAGACTCCGTCTCGGGGAAAAAAAAATTACATATATGAGCACCCTTTGAAATGCTTACAGCAGAGCTAGCTGCCTAAAATTAACATTCATCTAACACTGCAAGCCAGAACGTGTTCTGAGTAGTGCTCTGGAAGGGACTTTGGATTTTGAGAAAAAAGGTTGGGAGCAGTTTGAACATAAAAACTATTTTCTCATGGGTTCCATTTTGATGTTCATTAAACTCACAACTTCTTTGTTTTCTTCATGTCTTCTTAGAAAGTGATTTCTCACTTTGAGAGTGAACTCTTTGCAGGACTTGAGCATAGTGATCACAACTGCTGCCTCCCCTCTGAGAAATCTGGAGGATGAGGTTCTCCATCTGTCTTGACTACTTGAGAGACCCAGTGACCATTGACTGTGGTCATGTCTTTTGCTACCACTGCATCATTCAGGTCTGTGAATCTACTAGGCAACCATTACATTGTTCTCTGTGCAAGCCAGCTTTTAAGAAAAAATATCTGCCATGTGTGGCAGATGGCCAACCTGATGGAGAACATTTGGAGAATGAAGGTAGATGAGGAGAGACAACCCAGAGAGGAAAGACCACCTGAGCAAAAAGCAGAGAAGCTGTGTAGGCGACACCTGGAGAAGCTCCATTAATGCTTCAAAGGATGACCAGCAGATGGTGTATGTGATGCGTTGGAGTCCCGAGAACACAAGCACCATGCTGCTGTTCTCCTAGAAAAGGCTGCACAGCCTCGTCGGGTAAGAATCGTGTTGGACCCCAGCTCTGTTCTTTTAGCCAGAAAGTTCTATGGTACCTTCAGGATAAGGTGCAGGTTTTTTGCATTACTTTATTGAGGTATGATTGACATGTAAAAGCTATACATATTTAATGTATACCAATTAATGAGTTTGTAGATGAGTATACACCTCTGAAACCATCATCACAGCAAAAACACGTCTATCACTTTCCAAACTTTCCACACACCCTCTTTATTGTTATTATTTTGTGTGTGTGATAAGAACACTTAGTCAAAGATCTATTCTTTTAGTAAATTTGAAGTATACAATACAGTGTTTTTAGCTATAGGCATTATGCTATATAGTAGGTCTCTAGAACTTCTTTATCTTGCATAACTGAAACTTTGTAACTTTGACCATCAACCCTCCATTCCCCGTCCCCACCAGTCCCTGGCAACCACCATTCTACTCTGTTTATGTAAGTTTGACTGTTTTAGATTCCACATATAAGTGAGGTCGCACAGTATGTGTCTGGCATATTCACTTAGCATAATGTTCTCAAGGTCCATCCATGTTGTTACCAATGGCAGAATTTCCTTCTCTTTAAGGCTGAATAATATTGCATTGTATGTATATACCACATTTTCTTTATTCATCCATCAGTGAACATTTAGGGTTTTTTAAATCTTGGTTATTGTGAATAGTGCTGCAAAGAACATGGGAAGTATATGGGCTATAAATACCCAGAAGTGAAATTGCTGGATCATATGGTAGTTCTGTTTTTAATTATTTGAGGAGCTTCTTACTGTTTTTATAATGGCTGTACCAGTTTGCATTTCCACCAACAGCGTATCAGGGTTCCCCTTTCTCCACATCCTCACCAACGCTTCTTATCTTTTAAAAAATATAATAGCATTTCTAAGAGGTGTAAGACAGTTCAAATTCTTTAGCATGAAAGATTCTTGGTAAAGTACTACCCTTTGCATTTGGATAATAAAGCTGGTTTGGTTTTATATCTTTTATGGAAGTAAGTCTATCACATTGCCTTGATGGTTTCATCTCTGAGGTTCAGATCAAGTCTTATCAGCTATACAGAATACCAGCACTCCTGATAGCTCTCGTAGTATATAGCTTCAAGTGGTATGTACACAGTTGTTATAAAAATATTTTTGAGGTCTGGTGCGGTGGCTCACGCCTGTAATCCCAGCACTTTTGGAGGCCGAGGCGGGCGGATCACAGGGTCAGGAGATCGAGACCATCCTGGCACACACAGTGAAATCCTGTCTCTACTAAAAATACAAAAAATTAGCCGGGCGTGGTGGCGGGCGCCTGTAGTCCCAGCTACTCGGGAGGCTGAGGCAGGAGAATGGCGTGAACCCGGGAGGCGGAGCTTGCAGTGAGCCGAGATCGCGCCACTGCACTCCAGCCTGGGCGACAGAGCGAGACTCCATTTCAAAAAAAAAAAAAATTTTTTTTCACAATATTTCAGCCTGTATAAAATCTATGTAATTTTTCTTTCAGAATTTAACAAGGAAAATATTATTTCCTCTGGGGTCCTAGTATGTTTCTTCTTGCCTGCTAAAGAAACATCAGGCCAGGCTTGGTGGCTCACATCTGTAATCCTAGCGCTTTGGGAGGCTAAGGCAGGTGAATCACTTGATGTCAGGGACTCAAGACCAGCCTGGCCAACATGGCAAAACCTCATCTCTACCAAAATTCAAAAATTAGCCAGGCATGGTGGCATGCACCTGTAATCCCAGCTACTTGGGAGGCTGAGGCAAGAGAATCGCTTGAACCCAGGAAGCGGAGCTTGCAGTGAGCCAAGATTGTGCCATTGCACTCCAGCCTGGGCAGCAGTGTGAGACTTTGTCTCAAAAAAAAGAAAAAAAAAAAGAAAAGAAAAAAGAAACATCAGGCAGTTCATTGTTTCCCTTTTCTCTTTGCCTGCCAATTTAGTCATCCTCTTAATAATCTGGAGTTGCTGCCAGGTGTGGTGGCTCATGCCTGTAATCCCAACACTTTGGGAAGCCAAGGCAGGAGGATAGCTTGAGAACAGGAGACCAGCCTGGGCTATAGCAAGACCCCATCTCTACAATAATAATAATAATAGTTATTATTATTATTATTTGGAGTTGGCATATATACTTTCCTTGACTTTTTGTGTTAATTTTTTGTTTCTATTTTTTTTTCTTTTTACAAGACAGGGTCTCACTATGTTGCCAAGGTATGCCCTCAAAGACTTGGGCTCAAGAGATACTTCACCCTTATTTTCCCAAATAGCTGGGACTACAGGCACATACCACTGCACCCACCTTCTATTTTTGTTTTATTAATTAATTTTAATTTTAATTGTCTGTATTTTTGGTAGAAAAGGATAGTGTAAATATAAATTAGAAACTATACCATAAGTCTTGTTAGTTATAATGATAATACGATATTATTTTGTCTTACTTCTAAGAAATTGCTCTAGGCCATTGTATCACTCAATGGATCTTCCTTATTAACTAGAATGGAAATTGTTCCACACAACCATTATTAAACTACACATGGTCAAATGCAGTTGGATTTCACTCTGGAATCACTTTGCATCTCCCTTTTTTCATTGAGGTCATTTTCATCTTGATCTTGAGACTATTCAAGTTTATTTTCTTTTTCTTTTTCTTTTTTTTTCTTTTCTTGAGACAGAGTTTTGCTCTTGTTGCCCAGGCTGGAGTGCAGTGGCGCGATCCCGACTCACTGCAACCTCCGCCTCCAAGGTTCAACTGATTCTCCTGCCTCAGCCTCCCAAGTAGTTGGAATTACAGGTGCTCACCACCATGCCCAGCTAATTTTTGTATTTTTTAGTAGAGACAGGGTTTCACCATGTTGGCCAGGCTGGTCTTTAACTCCTGACCTCAGGTAATCCACCTGCCTCGACCTCCCAAAGTACTGGGATTACAGGCATGAGCCACCACGCCCAGCCCGAGACTATCCTTGTTTATTTTCATAGGGCAAAATTCTAAACCATCGGAAGATTCTGAAGGGATACAAGGATAGCATTCAGAATTCTCAATCTATGGGAGAAGATGAGATTCAGGCCCTGGTGGTAAGAGAGGTCTCTAGTAAATGTTCTGTATGAATGTGTGTATGTGTGTAGGGCAGGGGTGTGTGTGTAGGTAGTAGCGGGGCATAGGTTAAGGAGAGGAAGGGGTATGTGTGTGGGGGAAGTATTGAGGAATGGGGAGGGGGAGAGTGATCAAAGAGATTTCTGTTCTGAACTCATCCTCAGAAGATCTCACACATGTTCTGGTGTTCCCTAGCCTCTCAAAAAGGTCACTTTTCTCTTTCTGCATTTACTGTAGACAACATTTCAGAACCACAGGCAAGACATTGTATCAGTGTTTGAATAGGGCCATCGGTTTTTGAGAGAAAGGGAACAGTACCTGTTGGAGCAGCTGGTAGGGCTAGAGCAAGAACTCACCAAAAGGAGGAACAGCCGTGTCATCAAGGGTTCTGAGGAGGTGGTCCAGCTTGGGACCCTGATCACTGAGTTGGAGAAGTCTCGGCAGCCAGCACTTGAACTTTTGAAGGTAAAGGACCAACCAAACTGTATCTGAGTCCTCTTGCTCTATGACTACGGTGTGGCCTATTTGCAAGAGATTTGGACCAAGAGTCAAGAGAGACAAGGTGTTATTCTCATTTACTGAATTCTTTAATAACTGAATTAGCCAACCAATAGGTTTTAAGCCCCAAAGTGCAGTGGGCAGGGGTCTATAATATGCACAGACCATATAATGGAATATTAAGATCTGTACATTTATAATTACAACAAATAATCTGATGTTAAATCTTCCAGTCAGATTGGATGCCACAAGAATTCTGGAAACAGCTAGTGTTTAGTCAGAGAAGCCTTCAAAGAAGAGGCTTTTGATGTTGGCCTTGAAGGAAACGTAAAGATTTATTTTATTTTATATTTATTTATTTATTTGAGATGGCATCTCCCTCTGTCACCCAGGCTGGAGTGCAGTGGCGCGATCTCAACTCACTGCAACCTTCACCTCCTGGGTTCAAGTGATTCTCCTGCCTCAGCCTCCTGAGTAGCTGGGACTACAGGCACCCATCACCACGCCCAGCTAAGTAAGATTTAGATTGTCAGAAAGGAGCTAAACATTCCACTTGGTAGGGGGTGGGGACACACTAGTTACAATTAGATAAATGAATGTAATAATAAACTTGGTATATGTGTTGGCAGGTGGGCATAGGTGCTGGGGAAGATAGGAGTAGGAAGACTGATAAGAAGGGGACATAGAATGAAGGTAGCTACCTTTCTGGAAGAGTCAGATTAAGTGAGGGAGAAGTGAAAAGTATGATGGGGCCAACTGAGTTGAGGCCTTCCAAAGCAGGCTGAAATTTGAGCCTTAACTGAATAGACAATGGGATTCTTAACAGATTTTTATCTGTCTATAAATCAAGAAAGGTTTCTGAAGAGGATAGTCTAGAACTCGAATGAAAGACATGAAGGGGAAGCATTTGTCCTTATAAATTGAAACTGCAGGCCAGGCACAGTGGTTCACACCTGTAATCCCAGCACTTTGGGAGGCCAAGGCAGGCAGATCATGAGGTCAGGAGATCGAGACCATCCTGGCTAACACAGTGAAACCGCGTCTCTACTAAAAAATACAAAAATGAAGCCGGGTGTGGTGGTGGGTGCCTGTAGTCCCAGCTACTCCGGAGGCTGAGTCAGGAGAATGGCGTGAACCCGGGAGGCGGAGTTTGCAGTGAGCCGAGATTGTGCCACTGCACTCCAGCCTGGGCGACAGAGCCAGACTCCATCTCAAAAAAAAAAAGAAAGAAACTGCAGGCTGGGAGTAGTGGCTCATGCCTATAATCCCAGCACTGTGGGAGGCTGAGGCAGGCAGATAACGAGGTCAGGAGTTCGAGACCATCCTGGCCAACATAGTGAAATCCCATCTCTACTAAAAATACAAAAATTAGCCGGACATGGTGGCAGGTGCCTGTAATCTCAGCTACTCTGGAGGCTGAGGCAGGAGAATCGCTTGAACCCGGGAGACAGAGGTTGCAGTGAGCCAAGATCACACCACTGCACTCCAGCCTGGGTGACAGAGTGAGACTCCATCTCAAATGAAAAAAAAAATAAAAAAATAATAAAAAAATAAAAAAAAAAAACAAGAAAAGAAAAGAAAAAAAGAAACTGCAACAGAGGGAGGACAGGTCCGGGTCCATCAGAATAATTCTCTGTTCAGTCCTGGTGTATACCCATTTCTCAATGATCCCACAGTAGAGAATGATGACGGCTCCTGAGAACTATTTTTATGACAATGTCTGTGTTCTGTTTTTTTCCGGGACCCAAGTGACATAATATGCAGGTAAGTGCTGCTTGCTTTTTTTCTTTTAAATTTTAACCACTTATGTCTCCTTATTGTTTTCTCTTTCTATCATCTTACTGAAATTTGACAAGTGCTGGAAAGGGATTGTTTAGAAGGGAGAGAGGTTATTCTGGTTAGTGTATGTTGAAAGGTATTCTATGGAATAGAGGAGGGAGTTCTAGAAAAAAATATTGTCATGGAACTTACGATGGTAATGGGCTGAGAAAAATAAAATGAGAGGAGATTATAGAAAAGTATTGGAGAAAATTTAGAATCCATGTTCATTTCTAAAACTAGTTTCCTTTCATTCTTCCCCTTCCTACATGGTTCCCAGCCTCCACTCCTGGCCACAGTTTCTCCCATATTCTGTAGAGCACATTTCATTATCAGATTGTCCTCTGCCTGATAGTGAGGTTTCCTGCATTCTGGTTGTCCATAGAAAGCAAACACTTCTATGGCTCACAGGGATAATGATTTCTTCCTCATGTCTTTCATTTGAGTTCTAGACTGTCCTCCGCAGGACATTCCTCAGCAGTGGGTCTGAGGAATATGTTAAACATTTAACATTGACAGTTTTCAAAATCATACCCACATGATACAGAGAAGCTTTGAACAGAGAATAAAGTCAGGCATTTTGATAATACACAACTTATCTGCAGAGACACCCAGGACTACTGGCATATACTGAGCATTTCCTGTGGGCAAAACACTGGGTAGAAAGGCGTGTGATGAGATAGGTTACCAGATTATGGCTGGGGATACCAGATAGACACATATGAGAGATGAATAATGATATAAAAAATGAGGTTGACACAGAATGGGTAATACTTCTTGCCTTGAAGTGTTTTGTCCGCTTTAGCAAAATTATTCCAGCTTTATATTGATTAGTGTTCACATGGCATTTCTTTTTCTGTCCTTTAATTCTCAAACTTTCTGTGTTTTTTAAAAATGTCTCTTATAAGCAACATAAATTTTGTTCTGTTTTTAAATAAATCCATTCTGACAATATGCAATGGAATATTTAGTATTTATCCATGGAAAATTACTATTTCATTCACATTTTCAAAATAATTTGCATAGTTGATCAAGATAATGTGCTTAGATTTACTAATTTTTCTTTTTATATCTGAATGTTTTCATTTCTTATTTTGTGTATTTCTACCTTTTTCTTTTTCTTTTGAGCTGGAGTCTCGCACTGTTGCCCTGGCTAGAGTGCAATGGTACAATCTTGGCTCACTGCAACCTCCGCCTCCTGGGTTCAAGAGATTCTCCTGCCTCAGCCTCCCAAGTAGCTGGGATTACAGGTGCCCGCCGCCATGCCCAGCTAATTATTTTTTGTATTTTTAGTAGAAATGGGGTTTCACTATGTTGGCCAGGCTGGTCTCGAACTCCTGACCTTGTGATCTGCTCGCCTCAGCCTCCCAAAGTGCTGGGATTACAGGCATGAGCCACCACGCCCGCCCCCCTCTTTCTTTTCTTTTCTTTTCTTTTTTTTTTTTTAAGAGACAAGGGTCTCCTTATGTTGCCCAGGCCGGACTCCTGGGCTCCTGGGCTCAAGCGATCCTCTCACTTCAGACTCCCAAGTACCTGGGAATACAGGCACATACTGCCACACTCAGCTGTGTAGTTCTATTTTATCTCTTCTATTTGCCTGTCCCTTTTTTCCCTCCTACTTTTATGGATTGTTGAGCCCTGCTTTTACAAAGTACCATAATTTCTAGCATATGGTATTTTTATTACTGTTTTCTAGATATTTTGAAATTTTGAATTTGATTTTCTATTTAACATAAGATTTGTTTAAGAAAGAAGCTATTTGTCAGTGATATGCTGAGTTTTTTTCTAATAGGTCTTTTTGTTTCATAGTTTTCAAGTCTTGTGATAAGAAAAGTTTGCTATGTCTACTTTTTGGACTTTTTTTGAGGCTTTCTAGGTTATATGTTGTAAATTTTTGGACAGTTTCAGACACTTGAAAAGAAGGTGCACTTTTTCTTGGAATAGAATAGGATTTTGTATATCTCTGTAAGGTTGGCCTTAGTAATTCTGTTATCTAGGTATTTTGTACTAATACTTATTTTCTGACTTCTTGATATGTCACGGACTAAAAGAAGTCAGTCACAGATTCCTACTAACAGTGAGTTTTTGCCTATTTTTTCTTTTTTTTCTGAGATGGAGTCTTGCTCTGTTGTCCAGGCTGGAGTGCAGCGGCACGATCTTGGCTCACTGCAACATCCACCTCCCGGGTTCAAGTGATTCTCCTGCCTCAGCCTCCCGAGTAGCTGGGATTATAGGTGTGCACCACCACACCCAGCTAATTTCGGTATTTTTAGTAGAGACAGGGTTTCACCATGTTGGCCAGGCTGGTCTCGAACTCCTGACGTGATCTGCCCGCCTCAGCCTCCCAAAGTGCTGGGATTACAGGCGTGAGCCACCGTGCCCAGCCTATTTTTTCTTATATTGATATAGTTTTTGCTTTTTACATTTTGATGTTCTTTTTCTACATGACTTTTAAGGAAAGTTGTATCTTAATTGTGAATTATAATCTTGTTTTAAAAAACAGAGACAGAGTTTTAAAAAACCGAGACTCGCTCAGTCACCCAGACTAGATGCAATGGTGCAATCATAGTTCACTATAACCTTGAACTCTTGGGCTCAAGCTACCTCTCCGCCTCAGCCTCCCAAGTAGCTGGGACTACAGGTGCATGTCATCACACCTGGCTAATATTAAAATAATTGTTTTAGAGGGGTTCTCACTGTTACTCAGTCTGATCTTGAACTCCTGGCCTCAAGTGATTCTCCTGCCTTGGACTCCCAAAGTACTGGGATTATAGGCATAAGCCATAGCACTTCGCCTATAATCTTTAAGTAACAAAAAATGTTGTTGTCTTATTTAATATTTTTCTCTCCCAAATTCAATTCTGTCCGATAGTAAGATCAAGATATCAGAATTCTTTCATTTTGGATTTAGTTAATACACCTTTGCCTACCATTATCTTAATTTTAAATTTTAAAAAAATGTAAAGCTTTATCTTAATTTTCTTTTTTTAATTTAATTTTTAAAATATATTTTAAGGTATACAACATGATGCTGTGAGTAAAATGGTTATTACAGTGAAGCAAATTAACACCTCCATCACCTCACATAGTTACCTGCTTCCCTTCCCACTCCCAACCCCTCATTGCAAGAGCAGTTATAATTTACTCATTTAGCAAAAATCCTGAATACAATACACCATTTTTATTATTTTTTTAATTTATTTTTTTGAGACAAGGTCTCACTCTGTCACCCAGGCCGGAGTGTAGTGGCGCGATCTTGGCTCACTGCAACCTCCACCTCCCAGGCTCAAGAGATCCTCTCACCTGAGCCTTGCGAGTAGCTGGGACTACAGGCACGGGCACCACATTTGGCTAATTTTTGTAGAGACAGGGTTTCACCATGCTGCTCAGGCTGGTCTCGAACTCCTTGGCCTTAAGTGATCTGCCCACCTCGGCCTCCCAAAGTGCTGGGATAACAGGCGTGAGCCGTCATGCCTGGCCTACAATGCCCTGATATTAGCTATAGTTGGCAGGTTGGGCATTAGATCTCCAGACCTGTTCATCCTACATATTTCCTACTTTGTATCCCTTGAGGTACATCTCCCCATTTCTTCCACCCACCCTACCTCTGGTAATCACTATTTTATTCTCTATTTCTGTATATTTGACTTTTTAAAAAATTCTACATATATGTAAAATAATGCAATAGTTTTCATTTTGTATCTGGCAGGTTTTATCTTAATTTTCATTTAATCTGATATATATCCCCAAATAATTCCTTTAGAGGTTGTAACAGCGAGGAAGGAGCCAAGATGGCCGAATAGGAACAGCTCCGGTCTACAGCTCCCAGCGTGAGCAATGCAGAAGATGGGTGATTTCTGCATTTCCGTCTGAGCTTTGAAGAGAGCAGTGGTTCTCCCAGCACGCAGCTGGAGATCTGAGAACGGGCAGACTGCCTCCTCAAGTGGGTCCCTGACCCCTGACCCCCGA
The DNA here is from genome assembly GCF_000001405.40 of Homo sapiens. Classification (NCBI taxonomy): domain Eukaryota; kingdom Metazoa; phylum Chordata; class Mammalia; order Primates; family Hominidae; genus Homo; species Homo sapiens. Next base: position 1,503,944 of record NT_167245.2, read on the forward strand.
GCAGCCTAACTGGGAGGCACTACCCAGCAGGGGCAGACTGAAACCTCACACGGCCGGGTACTCCAACAGACCTGCAGCTGAGGGTCCTGTCTGTTAGAAGGAAAACTAACAAACAGAAAGGACATCCACACAAAAAACCCATCTGTACATCACCATCATCAAAGACCAAAAGTAGATAAAACCACAAAGATGGGGAAAAAACAGAGCAGAAAAACTGGAAAATCTAAAAAGCAGAGCGCCTCTCCTCCTCCAAAGGAATGCAGTTCCTCACCAGCAACGGAACAAACCTGGACAGAGAATGACTTTGACGAGCTGAGAGAAGAAGGCTTCAGATGATCAAATTATTCCGAGCTACGGGAGGACATTCAAACGAAAGGCAAAGAAGTTGAAAACTTCGAAAAAAATTTAGAAGAATGCATAACTAGAATAACCAATACAGAGAAGTGCTTGAAGGAGCTGATGGAGCTGAAAACCAAGGCTCGAGAACTACGTGAAGAATGCAGAAGCCTCAGGAGCCGATGCGATCAACTGGAAGAAAGGGTATCAGCGATGGAAGATGAAATGAATGAAATGAAGCGAGAAGGGAAGTTTAGAGAAAAAAGAATAAAAAGAAACGAGCAAAGCCTCCAAGAAATATGGGACTATGTGAAAAGACCAAATCTACGTCTGATTGGTGTACCTGAAAGTGACGGGGAGAATGGAAACAAGCTGGAAAACACTCTGCAGGATATTATCCAGGAGAACTTCCCCAGTCTAGCAAGGCAGGCCAACATTCAGATTGAGGAAATACAGAGAACGCCACAAAGATACTCCTCGAGAAGAGCAACTCCAAGACACATAATTGTCAGATTCACCAAAGTTGAAATGAAGGAAAAAATGTTAAGGGCAGCCAGAGAGAAAGGTCGGGTTACCCTCAAAGGGAAGCCGATCAGACTAACAGCGGATCTCTCGGCAGAAACTCTACAAGCCAGAAGAGGGTGGGGGCCAATATTCAACATTCTTAAAGAAAAGAATTTTCAACCCAGAATTTCATATCCAGCCAAACTAAGCTTCATAAGTGAAGGAGAAATAAAATCCTTTAGAGACAAGCAAACGCTGAGAGATTTTGTCACCACCAGGCCTGCCCTAAAAGAGCTCCTGAAGGAAGCACTAAATATGGAAAGGAACAACCAGTACCAGCCGCTGCAAAATCATGCCAAAATGTAAAGACCATCGAGACTAGGAAGAAACTGCATCAACTAACGAGCAAAATAACCAGCTAACATCATAATGACAGGATCAAATTCACACATAACAATATTAACTTTAAATGTAAATGGACTAAATGCTCCAATTAAAAGACACAGACTGGCAAATTGGATCAAGAGTCAAGACTCATCAGTATGCTGTATTCAGGAAACCCATCTCACGGGCAGAGACACACATAGGCTCAAAATAAAAGGATGGAGGAAGATCTACCAAGCCAATGGAAAACAAAAAAAAGCAGGGGTTGCAATCCTAGTCTCTGATAAAACAGACTTTAAACCAACAAAGATCAAAAGAGACAAAGAAGGCCATTACATAATGGTAAAGGGATCAATTCAACAAGAAGAGCTAACTATCCTAAATATATATGCACCCAATACAGGAGCACCCAGATTCATAAAGCAAGTCCTGAGTGACCTACAAAGAGACTTAGACTCCCACACATTAATAATGGGAGACTTTAACACCCCACTGTCAACATTAGACAGATCAACAAGACAGAAAGTCAACAAGGATACCCAGGAATTGAACTCAGCTCTGCACCAAGCGTACCTAATAGACATCTACAGAACTCTCCACCCCAAATCAACAGAATATACATTTTTTTCAGCACCACACCACACCTATTCCAAAATTGACCACATACTTGGAAGTAAAGCTCTCCTCAGCAAATGTAAAAGAACAGAAATTATAACAAACTATCTCTCAGACCACAGTGCAATCAAACTAGAACTCAGGATTAAGAATCTCACTCAGAACCACTCAACTACATGGAAACTGAACAACCTGCTCCTGAATGACTACTTGGTACATAACGAAATGAAGGCAGAAATAAAGATGTTCTTTGAAACCAACGAGAACAAAGACACAACATACCAGAATCTCTGGGACACATTCAAAGCAGTGTGTAGAGGGAAATTTATAGCACTAAATGCCCACAAGAGAAAGCAGGAAAGATCCAAAATTGACACCCTAACATCACAATTAAAGGAACTAGAAAAGCAAGAGCAAACACATTCAAAAGCTAGCAGAAGGCAAGAAATAACTAAAATCAGAGCAGAACTGAAGGAAATAGAGACACAAAAAAACCCTTCAAAAAATTAATGAATCCAGGAGCTGGTTTTTTGAAAGGATCAACAAAATTGATAGACCGCTAGCAAGACTAATAAAGAAAAAAAGAGAGAAGAATCAAATAGACGCAATAAAAAATGATAAAGGGGATATCACCACCGATCCCACAGAAATACAAACTAGTATCAGAGAATACTACAAACACCTCTACGCAAATAAACTAGAAAATCTAGAAGAAATGGATAAATTCCTGGACACATACACTCTCCCAAGACTAAACCAGGAAGAAGTTGAATCTCTGAATAGACCAATAACAGGATCTGAAATTGTGGCAATAATCAATAGCTTACCAACCAAAAGAGTCCAGGACCAGATGGATTCACAGCCGAATTCTACCAGAGGTACAAGGAGGAACTGGTACCATTCCTTCTGAAACTATTCCAATCAATAGAAAAAGAGGGAATCCTCCCTAACTCATTTTATGAGGCCAGTATCATCCTGATACCAAAGCCTGGCAGAGACACAACAAAAAAAAGAATTTTAGACCAATATCCCTGATGAACATCGACACAAAAATCCTCAATAAAATACTGGCAAACCGAATCCAGCAGCACATCAAAAAGCTTATCCACCATGATCAGGTGGGCTTCATCCCTGGGATGCAAGGCTGGCTCAACATACGCGAATCAATAAACATAATCCAGCATATAAACAGAACCAAAGACAAAAACCACATGATTATCTCAATAGATGTAGAAAAGGCCTTTGACAAAATTCAACAGCCCTTCATGCTAAAAACTCTCAATAAATTAGGTATTGATGGGACGTATCTCAAAATAATAAGAGCTATTTATGACAAACCCGCAGCCAATATCATACTGAATGGGCAAAAACTGGAAGCATTCCCTTTGAAAACGGGCACAAGACAGGGATGCCCTCTCTCACCACTCCTATTCAACATAGTGTTGGAAGTTCTGGCCAGGGCAATCAGGCAGGAGAAGGAAATAAAGGGTATTCAATTAGGAAAAGAGGAAGTCAGATTGTCTCTGTTTGCAGATGGCATGATTGTATACCTAGAAAACCCCGTTGTCTCAGCCCAAAATCTCCTTAAGCTGCTAAGCAACTTCGGCAAAGTCTCAGGATACAAAATCAATGTGCAAAAATCACAAGCATTCTCATACACCAATAAAAGACAGAGAGCCAAATCATGAGTGAACTCATTCACAATTGTTTCAAAGAGAAAAAAACACCTAGGAATCCAACTTACAAGGGATGTGAAGGACTTCTTCAAGGAGAACTACAAACCACTGCTCAACGAAATAAAAAAGGATACAAACAAATGGAAGAACATTCCATGCTCATGGGTAGGAAGAATCAATATCGTGAAAATGGCCATACTGCCCAAGCTAATTTATAGATTCAATGCCATCCCCATCAAGCTACCAATGACTTTCTTCATAGAACTGGAAAAAACTACTTTAAAGTTCATATGGAACCAAAAAAGAGCCTGCATCGCCAAGTCAATCCTAAGCCAAAAGAACAAAGCTGGAGGCATCACGCTACCTGACTTCAAACTATGCTACAAGGCTACAGTAACCAAAACAGCATTGTACTGGTACCCAAACAGAGATATAGACCAATGGAACAGAATTGAGCCCTCAGAAATAATACCACACATCTACAACCATCTGATCTTTGACAAACCTGACAAAAACAAGAAATGAGGAAAGGATTCCCTATTTAATAAATGGTGCTGGGAAAACTGGCTAGCCATATGTAGAAAGCTGAAACTGGATCCCTTCCTTACACCTTATACAAAAATTAATTCAAGACGGATTAAAGACTTAAATGTTAGACCTGAAACCATAAAAACCCTAGAAGAAAACCTAGGCAATACCATTCAGGACATTGGCATGGGCAAGGACTTCATGACTAAAACACCAAAAGCAATGGCAACAAAAGCCAAAATTGACAAATGGGATCTAATTAAACTGAAGAGCTTCTGCACAGCAAAAGAAACTACCATCAGAGTGAACAGGCAACCTACAGAATGGGAGAAAATTTTTTCAATCTACTCATCTGACAAAGGGCTAATATCCAGAATCTACAAGGAACTCAAACAAATTTACAAGAAAAAACAAACAACCCCATCAACAAATGGGCAAAGATATGAACAGGCACTTCTCAAAAGAAGACATTTATGCAGCCAACAGACACATGAAAACATGCTCATCATCACTGGCCATCAGAGAAAAGGAAATCAAAACCACAATGAGATACCATCTCACACCAGTTAGAATCATGATCATTAAAAAGTCAGGAAACAACAGGTGCTGGAGAGGATGTGGAGAAATAGGAACACTTACACTGTTGGTGGGACTGTAAACTAGTTCAAACATTGTGGAAGACAGTGTGGCGATTCCTCAGGGATCTAGAACTAGGAATACCATATGACCCAGCCATCCCATTACTGGGTATATACCCAAAGGATTATAAGTCATGCTGCTATAAAGACACATGCACACGTATGTTTATTGTGGCGCTATTCACAATAGCAAAGACTTGGAACCGACCCAAATGTCCATCAATGATAGACTGGATCAAGAAAATGTGGCACATATACACCATGGAATACTACGCAGCCATAAAAAAGGATGAGTTCATGTCCTTTGTAGGGACACAGATGAAGCTGGAAACCATTATTCTCAGCAAACTATCCCAAGGACAAAAAACCAAACAACGCATGGTCTCACTCACAGGTGGGAATTGAACAATGAGAACACCTGGACACAGGAAGGGGAATATCACACACCGGGGCCTGTTGTGGGGTGGGGGGAGGGCGGAGGGATAGCACTAGGAGATATACCTCATGTAAATGACGAGTTAATGTTTGCAGCACACCAACATGGCACATGTATACATATGTAACAAACCTGCACATTGTGCACATGTACCCTAGAACTTAAAGTATAATAAAAATATATAGACATTAAAAAAAATAACTTAAAAAAAAGAAATCTGTAACAATAAGATGATCCTGTGGGACTGAATGCTTTTGTCATCCTTAAACTCATAATTGAAACCTAATCTCTAATGTGATGGTGTTTGGAGGTGGAGCCATTAGGAAGTGATCATGCAATGAAGGCAAAACCCTCATTAATGAAATGAATGCCCTTATAAAAGGGACCCCAGAGAGCTCCTTGCCCCTTCCACCATGTGAGGACACCAAGGAAAAGCAACATCCATGAATCAGGAAGCAGCCCTTACCATACATGGACTCTTCCCAGGCCTTGATCTTTGACTTTCCAGCCTCCAGAATTGTGAGAAATAGATTTCTGTTGTTTGCAAGCCACATAGTCTATGGTATTCTTTTATAACTGCCCAGATTGACTAAGACAGATGATGATGAAAATACTACCAAGTATTGGAAATTAACATCAAAATTCTAAATGACAATTTATTCAAAGAGGAAATCTAGAGAAATTAGAAAGTCTTCTGTATTCTGAAGGATAATGAAACATACATATCAAATGTATGGGATGCAGCTGAAGTAGTACTAGAGAAAAAACCAATACCCTTAAATGCCTATATTAAGAAAGAAGGTAGGTCTCAAATTAGTAAATTAGCTTCTGCTATAAGAAACAAAGAAAAACAAATTAAACCAAAGCATGGAGAAGGAAGAAAATAATAATTAAATGGAAAAAATGAAGCAGAAAGACAGAGAAAATTAATGAACCCAAATATTGGTTCTATGGGGAAAAATCAGTACACTTTATAAATTTCTAGCTAGACTGATCAAGACAAAAAGATGCACATTAACAATGTCAAGAAAAAACGAACATCAGTGCACACTCTCTAGATCTCAAAAAGAAATATTGATAATCTCATGTCAATAAGTTTGACAAGCAAATGAAATGAACAATTTCCTTGAGAGAGAAAACTTATGAAAACTGACCTGAGAAGAGATAGAAAATGTGGCCAGTCATATATTGATTGTAGAAATTGAATGTGTAATCAAAATCCTTCTCATATAGGAAACTCCAGGTCCAGAAGGCTTCATTGATGAAATGTATCTAACAAATAATTTGGAAATAACATCAATTTTACACATACCTTTTAGAAATTAAAGGAGGCAACAACTTTCAATTTAATCTATGCAGCCAGCTTTCACAGTCAGGCGTGAGTATCTGGCTTTTCCAGGTGCACAGTGCAAGCTGTTGGTCAATCTACCATTCTGAGATTTGGAGCACCGTGGCCCTCTTCTCACAGCTCCACTGGGCAGTGCCCTAATAGGAACTCTGTGTGGGGGCTCCAGCCCCCTATTTCCCCTCCACACTGCCCTAGCAGAGGTTCTCCGTGAGGGCCCTGCCCCTGCAGCAAACTTTTGCCTGGGCATCTTAGCATTTCCATACATCTTCTGAAATCTAGATGGAGGTTCCCAAACCTCCATTCTTGACTTCTGTGCACCTGCAGGCTCAAAACCATGTGGAAGCTGTCAAGGCTTAAAGCTTGCACCCTCTGGAGCCATGGGCCAAGCTGTACCAAGCTTGGCCCCTTTTAGCAGCCGTGGGAGCAGTTGGGACCCAGGGCACCAAGTCCCTAAGCTGCACACAGCATGGGAACCCTGGGCCTGGACCAGGAGACCATTTTTTCCTCCTGTGCTTCTGGGTCTGTGATGGGAGGGGCTGCCATGAAGACCTATGGCATGCCCTGGAGACATTTTCCCCATTGTCTTGGGGGATCAACATTTGGCTCTTTGTTACTTACGCAAATTTCTGCAGCCAGCTTGAGTTTCTCCTCAAAAAAATTGGTTTTTCTTTCTATTGCATCGTCAGGCTGTAAATTTTCTGAACTTTTATCCTCTGTTTCCCTTTTAAAATGGAATGCTTTTAACAGCACCCAAGTCACATTTTAAATGCTTTGCTGCTTAGAAATTTTATCTGCCAGATACCCTAAATCATCTCTCTCAAGTTCAGAGTGCCACAGATCTCTAGGGCAGGGGCAAAATGCCACCAGTCTCTTTGCTAAAACGTAACAAGAGTCACCTTTGCTCCAGTTCCCAACAAGTTCCTCATCTCCATCTGAGACCACCTCAGCCTGGACCTTATTGTTCATATCACCATCAGCATTTTTGTCAAAGGCATTCAACAAGTCTTTAGGAGGTTCCAAACTTTCCCACATTTTTCTGTCTTGTTCTGAGCCCTCCAAACTGTTCCAACCTCTGCCTAATACCCAGTTCCAAAGTCAATTCCACATTTTCGGGTGTCTTTTCAGTAGCACCCACTCTACTGGTACTAATTTACTGTATTAGTGCGTTTTCATGCTGCTCATAAAGAAATACCCAAGACTGAGATGAAAAAGAGGTTTAACTGGACTTAGAATTCCACATGGTTGGGGAGGCCTCAGAATCATGGCGGGAGGTGAAAGGCACTTCTTACATGGCGGTAACAAGAGAAAATGAGGAAGATGCAAAAGCAGAAACCCCTGATAAAACCATCAGATCTCATGAGACTTATTCACTACCACGAGAACAGTATGGGGGAAACCAACCCCATGATTCAAATTATCTCCCACTGGGTCCCCTGGGTCCCTCCCACAACACATGGGAATTATGGGAGTACAATTCAAGATAATATTTGGGTGGGGACATAGAGCCAAACCATATCACCAGCATTACCCAAATAAAAATCCCAGACAAGAACATCACAAGAAAAAGAATCAAGAACAAATATTCCTCTTGAACACAGACTCACAATTCAATACAAAACGTTATCCAATTAAGATATACATAAAATGAATAATATGCCATGCCATATTGGTTTTTTTAAAGGGAAAGTAAGGTTGGTTTAACATCTGAAAATTAAACAATACAATTCACCCAATTAATAGAACAAAGAACAAATGTTGCACAATTATTATAGTCAATGCAGAAAAAGCACTTGCAAAATCAAGACCATTTCATGACAAAATAGCTCAGCAAACAAAATCGAAAGGAATATCTTCAATGTGGTTAAGGACACCCACGAAAAGTTTACAGCTACCCTCATATTCAATTATGAAAGGCCAGATGCTTACTTCCTAAGATTAGCAACAAAGCAAAGATGTGGCTCTCCTCATTTTTGTTTAAAACACCTTACGAGCATCCTAACTAGTGCAATATGGCAAGAAAATGAAATAAAAGACCAATAAAAGGGCCAAGTGTGGTGCCTCATGCCTGTAATCTCAGCACTTTGGGAGGCCAAGGTGGGAGGATCACTTTAGTTCAAGAGTTTGAGACTAGCTTGAGCAACATAGTTAGACCCCTGTCTTTACTAAATATAAATAATTTTTAAAAGAAAAAAAACAATAGATAGGAAAGGAAGAAATAAAATCTTTCTTTCTCAGCTTAATTACATATGTAGAAAACAATAAGGAATTCTGAAAAAGTCTCTGGAAGTAATAATTAAATTTGCAAAATTGTTCACAAAAGATATGTAATAAGTCTCTTAGACAAACATGACAAGATAGCAACAATACTAGTCATCAAAGAAGTGCAAGTTAAAACCACAATGAGAAACCATCACACATCACCTAGAATAAGTAAAGTTCAAAAGACATATGATAATTCTAAATACTGGTATGAATATGGAAAAAATAAAAATCTCTTATATTGTTGGTAGGAACGCAAAAAAAAGTTGCAGTCAGTTTGTAAAATAATATGGCAATTTCTTAAACAGCTACCCATCCATTTACCATATCACCCAACAATTCCACAAATATTTATTTATCCAAAGGAAATGAAAATTTAAGGCCATGCAAAGACTTGTAGTCAGTTATTTATAGTGGTTTCATTAATTACAGACCCTAACCGGAAATAACCCACGTTTATCAGCTGGAGAATAGAGAAACCAACGAATAAACTGGAATTCCAACAATACTCAGCAGCTACTCAGTGACAAAAATGAATGAAATATTATTACTCTTAACTACATGGAAAAATCTCAAATATTGTTATGACAAGTGAGAGACCAAAGGACTACATAACATATGATTGCATGTCCATGAAATTCTAGAAATTTCATTATTACAGTAACAGAAAGCACAGCAGTGGTTGAGTGAAGAGAAGGGGGTGAGGGTGGGAGGCAAGGATTAAATAGAAAAGGGGCATAAGGAAAGTTTTTAGGGAAAAGAAACTGTCCTCTATCTGGGCAATGTGGTAGTTACATGACTATAAATAATTACCAATATTCATAAAACATTGTAGCTAAAACTGGTGAGTTTTATTATACACAAACGCCCCAATTAGGAAAAAAAAAGGTGGGGGAAGAAGGCAAAAATGAAGACACTTTTACATAATCCAAATCAGAAAATTCATTTCCTAGGGATCTTGTACTACGTATAATTTTGAAGGAAGTTCTTCAGGCTGAAGGGAAATGATACTAGATGGTGACCTAGATATATAGAAAGGGATAATTAACAACAGAAATTATGCACATACACAGATCACATACACACTCATTTTCTTAATGACAATATGAATGCTTAAAACAAAAAGTATTACTGTATTATTGAGTTTATAAAGTATATTGATGTAATATATACAACAAGAATAGCACAATGGTAGGTTACATGAAACTACACTCTTACAAGTGTCCTTTATTTTGCTGGATGCAGCTTAATATTACCTGAACTTCACCATGAAAAGTCAAGGAATCGGGTTTCAATTCTTACAACAATAAAAAATTAGTGTAAAGAAATATACCTAAAAGCCACTAGAATTAAAACCATAAACTAAAAAATGTTTACTTAACACATAAGAAAGTAGGAAAGGAGGAATAGAAACAAAAAGATACGAGACAAATTGAAAACATACAGCAAAATGGTAGACCAAAACCCAACCATTGTAAGTGAAGAAATGACACGACCTGAGTCACATTAGCAGAACTGCTGAGCACTGTGGGGAGAACAGACATGGGCAGGAAGTGAGGGACAGTGTTAGTGCCACAATTCAGGGGTGAGAGGGTGGCAGGGACTAAGGGGAGGGGAGGGTGTGAGGGATGAGAGGGGCAGAGAGAAGGGCTGGAGAGACAGGAAGTGAGGAAAAGGAGCAAGGGAAAGGACTCTAAAGCAGTGGAGGAGCCTAGCAGGGGGTTCTTGACATGCATTCGGTATTTAATACATTTTGTGGGACTGCCAAAAACTAATGGCCTCCTCATGATTAAAAACATAAGAGTAAAAAAATACCAAGTATGCAAATAAAATGTGCACACTGCTTAGATGTGCATAATTCATAAAAACAAGCAGTGCTTAAGCATTGATGATAGGCATTTTGACTTCAGTGCAATTTTGAGGCTCCTTGTTACAATATACAGTAACAAATCCTGCTTCTTTGTATTGAGATGTCCTGGACTCACACAGGGAAACTCGGGCTATGGAATGAAGATAATTTTAAATGCAACAACCCAGAGTCATGGATCCACAGTCTGGGAAAGTAAACTTAGAAGCTTTGTGACTCGAATTGCAATGCTGTTTGGATACACTTATATATGAAGCAGGCAAAATCAGGTCTTTTACAGATTAGAATCCTGATCATTCAGGGGTTAGATTGTGCTAACCACTGTATTAATAAACAAACAAACAAAAAAACCTGGTCACTATGAGAATCTCTATCTTGTGCCTTCAGCCACAACTTCACCAGGTTTAAAGAGAAAACCCCTTTCTCTACACCGCCATTCCCAAGGCGAGCTCACTCTCTGGCATCAAAGTTCCCTGGGGTGAGTTTTCTTCTAGGATAGTCCAAGGGGAGAGGTAAGGAGTCGGAAGTCCAGTTCAGGGACGAGGATTCCAGGATGAGCGTGAATGGGAAGGGGCTGGGCCCAGCCTGGGGGTTCTCTCCCTAGTTTCCACAGACAGATCCTTGACCAGGACTCAGGCAGTCAGTGTGACAAAGAGGCTGGCGTAGGAAAAGAGAGGTCAGGACAAAGTCCCAGGCCCCAGGCGTGGCTCTCTGGGTCTCAGGCCCCAAGAGCGATGACTGCACTGGGGAGTCACAGGGTTGGGGATTGCCCACTCCCCTGAGTTTTGGTTCTCCCAACCTTCTTCCTGGATACTTGTGACATAATCCCACTTCTCACTCCCATTGGGTGCCGGGTTTTTAGAGAAGCCAATCAGCTTCGCCGCGATCCCGGCACTACGATCCCGGCACTACAGTCCCGGCGCAACCACCCGCACTCAGATTCTCCCCAAACGCCAAGGATGGGGGTCATGGCTCCCCGAACCCTCCTCCTGCTGCTCTTGGGGGCCCTGGCCCTGACCGAGACCTGGGCCGGTGAGTGCGGGGTCGGGAGGGAAAGGGCCTCTGCGGGGAGAAGCGAGTGGCCCGCCCGGCCCGGGGAGCCGCGCCGGGAGGAGGGTCGGGCGGGTCTCAGCCTCTCCTCGCCTCCAGGCTCCCACTCCTTGAGGTATTTCAGCACCGCAGTGTCCCAGCCCGGCCGCGGGGAGCCCCGGTTCATCGCCGTGGGCTACGTGGACGACACAGAGTTCGTGCGGTTCGACAGCGACTCCGTGAGTCCGAGGATGGAGCGGCGGGCGCCGTGGGTGGAGCAGGAGGGGCTGGAGTATTGGGACCAGGAGACACGGAACGCCAAGGGCCACGCGCAGATTTACCGAGTGAACCTGCGGACCCTGCTCCGCTATTACAACCAGAGCGAGGCCGGTGAGTGACCCTGGCCCGGGGCGCAGGTCACGATCCCTCCCCATCCCCCACGGACAGCCCAGGTCCCGGGTCTGAGTCTCCGGTCTGAGATCCACCCCGAGGCTGCGGGACCTGCCCAGACCCTCGACCAGGGAAGAAACTCGGGCGCCTTTACCCGGTTTAATTTCAGTTTAGGCCAAAATCCCCGCGGGTTGGTCGGGGCGGGAGCGGGGCTCGGTGTTCGGGGCTGACGGCGGGGGCGAGGCCATGGTTCTCACACCATCCAGAGGAAGCATGGCTGCGACGTGGGCCCGACAGGCGCCTCCTCCGCAGGTATGAACAGTTCGCCTACGATGGCAAGGATTACATCGCCCTGAACGAGGACCTGCACTCCTGGACCGCCGCGAACACAGCGGCTCAGATCTCCCAGCACAAGTGGGAAGCGGACAAATACTCAGAGCAGGTCAGGGCCTACCTGAGGGCAAGTGCATGGAGTGGCTCCGCAGACACCTGGAGAACGGGAAGGAGACGCTGCAGCACGCGGGTACCAGGGGCCACGGGGGCGCCTCCCTCATTTCCTGTAGATTTCCCGGGCTGGCCTCCCACCAGGAGAGTAGGAAAATGGGACCAATGCTAGAATATCGCCCTCCCACTGGTCCTGAATGGGAAGAATCCTGGGTTTCCAGATCCTGTACCAGAGAGTAACTCTGAGAGCCCACCCTGCTCTCTGGGACAATTAAGGGATGAAGTCCCTGAGGAAATGGAGGAGAAGACAGTCCCTGGAATACTGATCCGTGGTCCCCTTTGACCCCTGCAGCAGCCTGGGGCACCAGGAATTTTCCTCTCAGGCCTTGTTCTCTCCCTCACACTCAGTGTGTCCGTGGCTCCGATTCCAGCTCTTCTGAGTGCCTTGGCCTCCACTCAGGTCAGGACCAGAAGTCCCTGCTCCCCCATCAGAGACTCGAACTTTCCAAGGAATAGGAGATTATCCCAGATTCCTGTGTCCAGGCTGGTGTCTGGGTTCTGTGCTCCCTTCCCCATCCCAGGTGTCCTGTCCATTCTCAGGATGGTCACATGTATGCTGCTGGAGTGTCCTATGAGGAATGCAAAGTGCCTGAATTTTCTGACTCTTCCCCTCAGATCCCCCAAAGGCACATGTGACCCAGCACCCCATCTCTGACCATGAGGCCACCCTGAGGTGCTGGGCCCTGGGCCTCTACCCTGCGGAGATCACACTGACCTGGCAGCAGGATGGGGAGGACCAGACCCAGGACACGGAGCTTGTGGAGACCAGGCCTGCAGGGGACGGAACCTTCCAGAAGTGGGTGGCTGTAGTGGTGCCTTCCGGAGAGGAGCAGAGATACATGTGCCATGTGCAGCATGAGGGGCTGCCAGAGCCCCTCACCCTGAGATGGGGTAAGGAGGGGTGTAAGTTGTCTCCTCTCAGGGAAAGCAGGAGACCTTCAGCAGGGCAGGGCTGAGGCCTGGGGGTCAGAACCCCTCACCTCCCTCTCCTTTCCCAGAGCCGTCTTCTCAGCCCACCATCCCCATCGTGGGCATCGTTGCTGGCCTGTTTCTCCTTGGAGCTGTGGTCACTGGAGCTGTGGTTGCTGCTGCGATGTGGAGGAAGAAAAGCTCAGGTAGGGAAGGGGTGAGAGGTGGGGTCTGGGTTTTCTTGTTCCACTGTGGGTTTCAAGCCACAGGTAGAATTGTGACTTGCTTCATCACTGGGAAGCACCGTCGACACACAGGCCGACCTAGCCTGGGGCCCTGTGTGCCAACACTTGCTCTTTTGTGAAGCACATGTGAAAACGAAGGACAAATTTATCACCTTGATGATTGTGGTGATGGGGACCTCCCAGCAGTCACAGGTCACAAGGGAAGATCCCTACTGAGGACAGACCTCAGGAGGGCAGTTGGTCCAGTCACCACACCTGCTTTCCTCATGTTTCCTGATCCTGCCCTGGGTCTGCAGTCACAGTTCTGGAAATTTTCCTGGGGTCCAGGATTTGCTGTTTCCTTAAGGACCTCATGCCCCATGTCCTCCCTGACCTCTCACAGGTTGTTTTTTTCTCACAGATAGAACAAGGAGGAGCTATGCTCGGGCTGCCTGTTAGTATGGGGGATTAGAGGGCTGCTCCCTGAGATCGTTGGGACAGTGTAGACAAGATTCCTCCTTTAGCCACATCTCCTGTGGGCTCTGACCAGTTCCTATTTTTGTTCTACCCCAGGCAGCAATTGTGCTCAGTACTCTGATGCATCTCATGATACTTGTAAAGGTGAGACATGGGGGGGCCTGAAGTGGGTGGGGGTGAGGCAGAGGGGACATGATTCTGTTGAGGGGTTCTCTGGATTTAGACATCTTGACCATGTGGTAGGCTGTTCAGAGTGTCACCAGGTACAGTGACTGCCCTGGATTTGTTTATGATTATTTTCTCCTGTAGCTTGAGACAACTGCCTTGAGTGGGACTGAGAGATACAAAATTTCTTCAGGTCCTTCCTCTGACACACACCATTGTAATTTCAAGAGCTCCTGACTTCTATATCTGCACTTGACACGTGAATATATCTATGTGTCTGTGTTCCAGTTAGCATAATGTGAGGAAATGGGCTACTGGTCCACCACTGCCACCAGGACCACCACCCCACACTAACCTGTCCTCTCTTCCCCGGTCAAGTTTTTTTTCAACAGAGGTGAGGCTGGGACATTTCTATTCATGTCTTAACTTTTAAGTTTCACTGAGCTGCCACTTACTCCACTATTCAAAATAAGAACCTGGATATGAATTTTTCAAATTCTTGCCATGAGGTTGGGTTGATTGTTCAATGAAAGGAGAGCAAGACTCTTAAAACTTGAGAGAGGAAGTAAAACCTGAGAGCCTTCCAGAATCCATTTTTGCTGTGCTGGGCCTGTTGTAGGTGGAGACAGGAGAGAGAGGGCTGTGAGGAGCTGAGTGTGGACAGCCTATGCTCAGTTCATCATGGAATTTGACGTGGTCATTCATTGGGTTGGTCATCTTCACTGCTCCATTGTTTGTGTCCCTTCAGTAGAACCTTGTTTCACCAGGACCTGTGATCACAGGCACACAAACATTGCCTGGGCCTTGTCCTGTCTCTAGGACCGTGGACAGCAAGGGCTTCATGGGCTGGGTCAGTCTATGGTCTGGCCCTAATATTTTGTATCATTATTTTTGGTTTCTTTGTTTCTGTAGAGGACTATGCCTGTTCCTGTTCTGGTGTCTGCGTTCTGATCTCTTTCTCCCCTGGGTGTCCCTCATCTCTGACAGCAGCAGGAGTCATTTTTCCTGTCATTAACCCCACAAGGTGGAAGGCAGCCCCTGCACACAGAAGTCTGTGGTATTAAGAGATGAATTTTCAAGCCCGTGCAGCTTTTACCCTATTTCCAGGGCTCTTTCTTGGATTGTATTTTCTATCTTTTCCCCAACCTTTTTAAAGGAACTAGATTCTGAAATTAGCAGAGAAGAGGGATGCCACAAGTTCTCATCTTAGGTAACTTTCTAGTGGAACTCCTCTTCTGCTCAGCTCTCCTACCCACTCTCCCTTCCCTGAGTTGTAGTAATCCTAGCACTGGCTCTAATGCAAACTCATGGATCTATAAAGCAAAGTCTAACTTAGATTTATATTTGTTTGGAAATTGGGATTCATAGTCAAAGATTGTTCTTTCCTAAGAGGGAAATATAATTGCATGCTGCAGTGTGCAGAGGGTTGGTGTGAAGGAGGGATGCAGGGAGGAAGGGAGGGAGGACACACAAGCAGCACTGCTGGGAAAAGCACAGGCGGCCTGGATGTCAGTGTGAGGGGACCTTGTGCTGTCGTTGCTGCAAAACCGCATTTGGCCTGAGGCTATGTTAATAAAGATACTGCCTTTAGAATAGGAGGTGCTCTACAGTGATGATTCATTCAGCCGACATTTGCTGTCTGCCAGACATATGACAGAATGTTTTTGCATCTGGGGAAAGTCATTGAAGTAAAATCAGAAAAATCTCTAGCCTTGTGGAGCATGTGTTCCAGTGGGAAGAGGCAGACGGTACATACACTCTAATATATGCAGAGTAAATGAGGAAAGTGTTAGAAGGTGATAAGTGCTGTGGAACAGGTGATCAGAGTATGGGTTGTGGGACAGAGAAGGTAGCTATTGTGCCGGGGTTGTCAGCGTGGGCCTTGTTGGGAAGGTGACCTTTGATGAAATATTTGAAGGACATAAAGGAATTTGTCATGAGGGTATCTGGAAGAAGTTTTTTCTAGGGAGTAGGAACCTTCAGTGTCAGTGTACCAGGGCAGGATCATGTCTGTGTGTTCTGGGAAGAACACGGGATCGGGTATGGCTAGAGCAGAGAGTCACTGAGATAAGGTCAGGGGTTTGGTCAGATCATGTGGGCATAGGGCTCAAGTATGTGGGAAGGATTTTGATTTTGAATGAGATAGTTTTAAGCAGAATAAAGACATGCCACAACTTCTCTTTTAAAAGGATCACTGTAGCTGCTCTGCTGAGAACAGAATCCAAAGGCCGGCGATGAGCAAGGCAGGTGGGAAAACTGTAGGAAATGAGTGCAGTATTTCAGGCTGGAGATGTCGGTTACTTCAACTGGGGTGTGAGCAGTGGAAATAGTGGGACGTGATTGGATTCCTACTATTTCCAATCACTTTATACCGCATTTTCTAATGGACTAAATCTGTGGTATGAGAAAGAAGAGTAAAGGATACCAAAAATGTCAGACTGTGACTAAAAAGAGTTGCCATCAGCTGAGAATGAGAAGACTAGCAGGAGCATATGAGAGGAGGGGACGT
The DNA here is from genome assembly GCF_000001405.40 of Homo sapiens. Classification (NCBI taxonomy): domain Eukaryota; kingdom Metazoa; phylum Chordata; class Mammalia; order Primates; family Hominidae; genus Homo; species Homo sapiens. The sequence continues at coordinate 1,520,742 of NT_167245.2, forward strand.
CGCAGGCAGTCACTATGGGAGACGTGGGATCTGAGATGCCGCTGAGAAATACCAGTGAGGTAGTCGGGTTGGCAGTTGGACAGATGAATCTGGAGACATTTAGGAGAAATAGACTTGGGAGGTGATGTCATATAACAGTTATTTAAAGCCTTGAGTCTGAATGACGTCTCCAAGGGAGTGATTGGCTGTAGAAGAGAACAGGAACAAGGACTGAACACTAGGCCTCTGTTGCTAAAGGATCTGATCAGACAACACACCTAGATCAGACTGCACAGTCCTGACCCCACATCTAGAAGGTACATAGACCAGGGAGTTCTAGACTTTCCTGTGGACAGGAATCACCTGGACATCACCTTAAGTCTAAGCTGATCTGGAATCGAGAATGAGATTTCCTACTTATATAATGTTGCTGTTGGCGCTGATGCTGCTGGTCTTCAGATCCCACTTTTGGTAGCAAGAACACAGACCAGGATTCCTAGGCTATGCATCAGCCTCGCCTGTGAGGCTTGTTAATAAGCAATTCCTGCACTCCATGCGCAACATTCTGACACAGGGGCATCTGTGGAGAGGCCTGAGTATTCTACAACAAGCCCACAGCAAACCTGGTGCTCAGCCAGATTTGATATCACTGAGATCAGTAGTTGGAGAATGCCCAGGATGGGGAGGGGTCTCAGACCCACATTTAAGTGTTGCTTTATTCTGGGTTTTTTATTTATTTATTTATTTATTTTTAAGGAGGATGTGTTTCTTTAATTATAAGACAGGATGCTGAGAGATAAATGTCATTTTCTCTATCATGGGGTATAGCCAGATGGAAGATTGAGAAGTGGCTCACAGCTCAGCAGAATGAAAAAATATCTGAATGCTGCTTTCTGAAACTACTCTCCAGAATGATTTCACACTCACTCCTTGGAGCAAACAATGACTTGCAAATTTTTCTAATTTAAACATAAAGGAGTGTACATATTGGTATTAGTATTCATTTTATTTTGGGGAAGGGCACTGTATTAGTCCATAGTCCGTTTTCACACTGCCGATAAAGACATACCCAACATTGGGAAGAAAAAGAGGTTTAATTGGACTTACAGTTCCATTTGGCTGGGGAGGCCTCAGAATCATGGTGGGAGGCGAAAGGCACTTCTTACATGGTGGTGGCAAGAGAAAATGAGGAAGAAGCAAATGCCAAAACCCCTGATAAACACATTGGATCTCAGGAGACTTATTCATTATCATGAGAATAGCATGGGAAAGACTGGCCCCCATGATTCAATTACCTCCCCCTGGGTCCCTCCCACAACATGTGGGAATTCTGGGAGATACAATTCAAGTTGAGATTTGGGTGGGGACACAGCCAAACCACATTGGACACAGAACCAGGTTTGAAGCTACACAGCCAGGAACATAATCCACAGCCACCCTAATTCAGATCTCTCATAGGAACCACTGTCCCTGCTCCTGAGCACAGATGCTACTGCATATACCTCTGATACCCTGATGGCCGACACTGGGCCCTGTGGCAAAGACTGCTATCACTGCTGCTCCTGAGAACTGCTCCACTACTGCTCCTCAGCCATCTTTACCAAAATGCAGTATTTACTGTCCCAGCCTCTCTGTGTCATCTCATCCTGATTAGAAGCCCACATGTGGTTATCTAAATTGTGCAGCCAAAGCCTCTTGCAGTGTTTAACTGCAATAATGTTGGGGAAAGTGAATTTTTCTCCTTTGTAGAAGGAGGTAGTCCCTGCCTTCTAATAAGACTCTTCAACATAGGAAGAGAATTCAGTTGCTGGAGGTAGAGGGGTGAGGGATGGAAAAAGAATGACAAATTTCAATTCCTAGAATCATGTTCTGAGACTAGAACTTTATCTAGTACATTGCAGGCACCTGGGTTTGGTTGAGTGTATAATAAATGACATAGTTCAACTTATTCCCTTGACAGTTTGTTTTGGGGTCCAGCTTTTGTCTACCCCAGTTTTCACACACAGATACGTGGAGAAGCATTGTGTGATGGTAAAATGTTTACTTGAAAGCCTTTTTCCCTATCTTTGTCTCTTGCTAGGATTAAAAACCCGTATCTGTAAGACATCAGAGGATCCATGTATACACTGACATTTTATATAAATTTTTAATATTTTGTTCTATCTGCACATGCTCCTAGGGAGAGTTATCTATACATTCACCAGTTTTAATGTGACTGCTCACAGAAGCCTAAAAAACCATCCTAATTTAGATGCCATTTTACTCAAACTATTGTATGAACAGCTGATAACCATACTGTTTTTAGAAGACCCAGTGACATGGTATAAATGCTCATCTTTTGCTTGACTGTTACTAGTCTGGGGTGAGATAAAGTAGAGGTTTACTTGCATAGTTCACTCACAATTTCTATATGTATAGTATTGTGGGCTGCTAACAAACAGTCCACAGACCAGTGCTAGCCCACAGACTGCACTTTGAGAGTAGCATTGGTCTAGATGTACTTGTATTCCAGCATCTACCTCGGTGTCAGATTAATGGCAGGAATTAATCAGTAGCGAATGGGGATTCCATTTCCGGTAATAGGGTGAACTAGGTTTTAAAGCTGCCTCTTCTACCAAAAACAACTAAAAAAGAGATGAAATGTGAAAATCACCCAAAAGTATAGAAATATAAAAAAGGGAATAATCTTTTTGGTCAAAATATAAATGTGGGCAGGATTTAGAAAAAGGGAAGTTGCTTTTATCTTGAGGGCGTTTGCCAAATCTGGAAAAATCTTAGCTTTGGTTTTCTCAGCTTCATATGGTATAGTGCAAAGGAGGTAATTCTCAGAACTTGTTTGTATAGGGAGTATAAGAGGAGACACTTTTGTGTACCCCATGAAATATGGGAAACAAAAGATGTGTTTCCTCAGAGTAAGAAAAGAAAATCTGTTTCATCCCCCAGCACAAGAGTATTCTAAAGAAATTTGCCTTTGAGTCAGCAAAACCTGTTTTTGAGAATTTACAACCACCAGCCAGCACTCCTGCAGATTTGTTGCCCAAACTAGCTTTACCGTTTTGGGCCAAAATAACCTCAAAGCATGATTTTGATTAATAATTGTCCTGGATTAGCGATGATCCAAAAATTGGAAGAAGGAAACAAAAATCTTTATAGGAATGCATATTTAACCCATATGTCAAAGAATTTGCCCAAATAATTCTACAAGGAAAAAGCTGCTCAGAGCATGAACTGTATAAAGTACAAGTGGAGAAAAGTCAGTCTGATTGAGAACCAGTGGAAACAATAGATAAGAGGCTCATAAAGCTTCAATATTTGAATTATGAAACAAAATAACGTAACTAGTATTACATTTAAAATAATTATGAGCTGGGCACGGTGGCTCATGCCTGTTATCCCAGCACTTTGGGAGGCTGAGGCAGGCGGATCACCTGAGGCTGGGAGTTTGAGACCAGCCTGACCAACATAGAAAAACCCCGTCTCTACTAAAAATAGAAAATTAGCTGGGCGTGGTGGCACATGCCTGTAATCCCCGCTACATGGGAGGCTGAGGCAGGTGAATCACTTGAAACTGGGAAGTGGGCATTGTGGTAAGCCGAGATTGTGCCACTGCACTCCAGCCTGGGCAACAAGATCAAAACTCTGTATCAAAATAATAATAATAATAATAATAATAATAATAATAATAATGACAAGCTTGAAAATGCCTACAGAATGTATTAACCTAAAAATGACCTGTTTTTCAAAAGAACTAAAGTTAGTTTTTAGGAAGTAAAATTAACTTTGATTTTAAAATTTTTAACTTAGTTGAATTAAAAATTGAAAAGTCATGATCTATTGACTTTTGCTTTGGATTATGATGGAATAACAAGGACCAGATTTACTCTCATGCCTTAAGCACAACAAACTCAAAATAATATATGAAAAAATAGCTATGTACTCAGATACTAGACAGCAGGTATCCCAGAGACTGTGATCTCTGGGAGAAGGGGAATGGAAAAGGTAAGGTCTACAGTTGTCCAGCTTCCTTCCTGGACAGAGTTTCCAAGGCAGAGTGCAGAGAGGCAGAGCCCTAACCAGGAGGTTCACTGAGGTGAGGGGACAGAGTTGTGAACTTGGAGATTCCAGGACATCCAGAATATGCAAAGATGAAGGCACATAGAAAAGACAGCTGATGATAAAAAGCACTGTAAGTCTGCAGGAGGTACCCCTCAAATTTTCAGTTAATCAGCATATTATATAAGGGAACTACCCAAAGACAGGGAAAGAATTATCCGAAAGGACTTCAGAGAATAGTACCCAGTGATATACAGGGCTGGAAATAATGCCTGTTCCCACTAGCCAGACTGGAAAACCTCATAATTTGCTGAGCATTGGATAGAGTATTCTGAAGGGTCTTATGTCAGCAGTGGTAAATAATTAGCCCTGGACTAAACACTTTTTGTTTTTTTGCTAAAAGATATTAAAAGACTTAAAATGATCAAACAGCTCCTGAATAACTTAATTTGTCCCAGTAAAAATAAAAAGCTCAGCCGGGCACGGTGGCTCATGCCTGTAATCCTAGCACTTTGGGAGGCCAAGGTGGGCAGATCACCTGAGGTTGGGAGTTCGAGACCAGCCTGACCAACATGGAGAAATCCCGTCTCTACTAAAAATACAAAATTAGCTGGGCATGGTGGCGCATGCCTATAATCCCAGCTACTCGGGAGGCTGAGACAGGAGAATTGCTTGAACCCAGGAGGCAGAGGTTGCAGTGAGCCAAGTTCTCACCATTGCACTCCAGGCAACAAGAGGGAAACTCTGTCTCAAAATAATAATAATAATAATAATAAAGCTCATGAATACTTATAGAATGCAAAAATATCTGGCACCTAACCTGGTAAAGTCATGTCTGGCATTAAATAAAAACAATCACCAGGCATATAATAAAAACAAGAAAATACAACTCAGAAGGCAGAGAAAACCATCAGTCTAAAGTTACCTAGAACTGACATAGATGTCAGAATTAGCAGGCAATAACATAAAACGGTTATTGTAAATGTATTCCATATGTTCAAAAAGTTACACAGAGACATGAAAGATACATAAAACATCAAAATCAAACTTCCAAAGATGAAAATGTCAGACATAAAATACACTGGATGTGAGGTGAGATTAATGGTAAACTTTATGCTGTAGATTAAACAGTGACTTTGAAGACATAGAAATAGAAACTTTCTGGGCCAGGTGCGGTGGCTCAAGCCTATAATCCTAGCACTTTGGGAGGCTTAGATATAGAAGGAATGTATCTTACCAGGATAAAGGCTATGACAAACTCACAACTAACATCATACTCAATGGCGAAAGTTGCATACTTTTCCTGTAAGATCAGGAACAAGACAATGATGCCCACTCTGGCCACATCTATTCAACATTGTACTGATAATTCTAGGCAGAGTAATTAGGGAAGAAAAAGAAAAGGGATCTAAACTGGAAAAAAAGAAGTCAAATTGCCTCTGTTTGTAGATCACAAGATCTTATATATGGAAACCCCAAACACTCCACCAAAATACTACTGGCACTGAAAAAAAAAATCAGTGAAGTTGCAGCATACAAAATCAGCATACAAAAATTAGTGGTACTTTTATATACTTACCAAAAACTGTCTGAAAAAGAAATCAAGAAAATAATCTCAGTTATAACAGTATCAAAAAGAATAAATTAGGAATAAATTTGATCAAGGAGCTGAAAGATCTGCACACTGAAAGCCATAACAGTGACAAAAAAAATTGAAGAAGCCACAAATAATTGGAAAGATATCCTTGTTCTTGGATCAGAAGAATCATATTGCGAAAATGTCCATACTACCCAAAGCAATCAACAGATTTAATGTAACCCCTATCAAAATTCCAATGGGATTTTTAACTGAATTAGACAATCTCAAAAGTCGTATGGAACCACAAAAGAACTGCAATAGCTAAAGCAATCTTCAACAAGAACAAAGCTGGAGGCATCACACTTCCTGATTTAACATGATACTACAAAGCTATATTAATGAAAACAGTATGGTACTGGCATAAAAACAGCACATAGAATAATGGAATAGAACAGAAAGCTCAGAAATAAATCCATGCATATACAATTAACTAATCTTTGAAAAGGTGTCAATAATATATAATAGGGAAAGGATACTCTCCTACATATATAGTGATGGAAAAACTGGATATCCACATGGAAAAAAATAAAACTGCATCCCGATCTTACACCATATGCAAAATCAACTCCGAATAGATTAAAGATGTAAATGTAAGACCTGAAACCACAAAACTTGGAGAAGAAAGCAGGTGAAAAGCTCCGAGACATTGGCCTTGGCAATGATTTTTTTGGGGGTATTACCTCAAAAACATATGCCAAAAAAGCAAAATTAAACAAGTGAGACTACATTAAAGTTTTTGCACAGCAACACAACAATAAACAAAATGAAAAGGCAAACCACAGAATGAGAGAAAATATTTGCAAACCTTATATTCACTAATGGGTTAATATGTAAAGTCTATAGACTCCATAGAACTTAATAGCAAAAAACAGATAACCCAGTTCAAATATGGGCAAAAGACCCGAATAGACATTTTTCAAAAAAGACATACAAATGACCAAGAAGTATATGAAAAGGTGCTCAACATCATTAATCATCAGAGAGCTGCAAATCAAAACTGCATTGACATATCACCTTACATCAGTAAGAATAGCCATTAACAAAAAGACAAGAGATAATCAGTGTTGGTAAACTGTAGAGAAAGGGAACCCTTATACATGGTTGGTAGGAATGTGAATTGGTAAAAGCATAATGGAATACAATATAGATGTTCTTCAAAAAATTAAAAACATAACTACCATATGATACAGTAATCCTACTTCTGGGCATATATAAAAAATGAAATCAGTAAAGAAATTTCTGTACCCCCATATTAATTGCAGCACTATTCACAATGGCCAAGATATAGAAACAAAGTAAGTGTTTATTGATTAATGGATGAATAAAGACATTGTGATACACACACATACACACACACACGAATATTATTCAGACATGAAAAGGAAGGAAATACTGCCATTTGTAACAACATGGATAAATCTGAAGGACATTATGCTAAGTGAAATAAGACAAACACAGAAATAAAAATACTGTATGATCTCATTTATATGTGTAATCTATAAAGTGGAATTCAGAGAAACAGAGGTAGAAACAGTCAGTTGAATTAACTTAACTTTGACCTGAGGCTGCCTGTGTACCTAAGTAAGTAGGTAAACAAATCAAAACCTAAGTTAGGAGTATAACTGTTAGCTGGGGTTCACCCAATCACAAGCAGCCAGCTCATCACACCATGCCCAAATAAGGCAAATGCCTAGCTGTAGCCAATCAGGTGATTTTTCTTCTTCTGTGTCTGGCACATAAAGGCTTGCTGTGCACACTCCTGGGTGGAGCTTTCTGACCCTCTCCTGGTTCTGAGTGCTGCCAAATTTGTAAATTATTTTTTGCTTAAATAAACTCTTCTAAATTTAGTTTGTCTAAAGTTGATGGAATTTTTTTTTTTTTTTTTTTTTTTTTTAGGGGTTACTAGGAGTCATGGTTAGGGGAAATGGGGAGATGTTGGTAAAAGTTTACCAACTTGCAGTTATAGGGTGAATAAGTTCTGGAAACCTAATGTACAGTGTGAAAGGAAAAATAATCTCAGGTCCCCAAAATCACTAAGCCAAAGTGATTTGGGCTTACAACAGGATGGCAACTATTGGTATACTTGAAATTTACTAAGAGAATAGATCTTAAGTATTCTCACCACACACAAAAATATTAACTATGTGTCATAGATATGTTAATTAGCTTGATTGTGGTAATCATTTCACAATATATATGCATTTTAAAAATCATGTTGTACAACTTGAATGTATATAATTCTTGTTTGTCAATTATGCTTCAATAAAGCTAGGGAAAAATAAAATACTTAGAAATAAATGTAATAAAAGAAGTACGAAATTTATACTACAAAAAAACCGACAATATTTTTACAGAAATCAAAGAACTAAATAAATAAAAAGATGTTCTATTTTTATGGATCAGAAGACAATATTATTAAGATGGCAGTATATCAAAATTGGTCTACAAATTCAATGCAGTTCTATCAAAATCCCAGCTGACTGCTTTGCAGAAACTGACAAGATGATATTAAAATTTATATGGAAATTCAGTGAACTACAAAAGTTACAAAACTTTTGACAAAGAACAGAGTTTGAGGAACTATACTTGCTCATGGCAAAAGTTACTACAAAGCTGCAATAATCAATACAGAGTGATACTGACATAAGGATAGACATACAGATCAATAGAATAGAGAGGCTAGAAATAAAAGTTTATAATTATGGTCAATTAAATTTCAAAAATACTGCCAAGGCAATTCAGTGGGGGAAAGAAAAATCTTTTCGAGAAATTATACACAACTCAATAGCAATAAAACAAATAACCTAATTCAAAAATGGACAAAGGACCTGAATAGACATCTTTCCAAAGAAGACATACAAATGACCAACAGGTATATGAGATGGTGCTGAACGTAACTAATCAGAAAAATGCAAATCAAAATTGCAATGAAGTGTTACCTCACACCTGTCAGAATAGTTATTATCAAAAAGATAAGAGGTAATAAGTGTTAATGAGGGTGTAGAGGAAAGGGAATCCTTATACATGGTTGGTGGGAATGTAAATTGGTATAAGCATTATGGAAAACAGTATGGTTTTTCCTCAAAAAATTAAAACGATCTTTCCTTAAAAAAATTAAAAACAGAACTACCAGTATATGATCCAGCAGTTTTACTTCTGGGCATGTATCCAAGGAAAATGAAATCAGTATCTCAAAGAAATATTTGTACCCATATGTTTATCACAGCATTATTTCCTGGAAATAACCTGAATGTCTGTCAACTGATGAATGGATTAAACATATGTTTTACTCTATTTTATGCTGCTATAACACAATATCACAGACTGGGTAATCTATAACAAATAGAAATGTATTTTCTCTCGGTTCAGGAGGCTATGAATCCAAGATCAAGGCACTGGCTAATGGTGAGAGCCATCTTGCTGCATCATCACATGGCTGAAGGTAGAAGGGCAAGTAAAGTACAGAGAACACACTCCTGGAAGCCCTTTTATAAAGGCATTAAAACCACCCCCAAGGGTGGAACCCTCATGGTCCAATCACCTCTCAAAAGTCTCACCTCCTAATAATGTTACAATAGCAATTAAATTTCAATATGCAGCTGGGTGCAGTGGCTCACTCCTGTAATCCCAGCACTTTGGGAGGCTGAGGTGGGAGGACTGCTTGAGTCCAGGAGTTCAAGACCAGCCTGGGCAACATAGTGAGACCCCATCTCTACAAATATATATATACTTCAACCCATGTTGAAATATAAATGGGTTGAAACAACATGGGTTTTGGAGGGGACAAAAATTCAAACCATAGCAATATGGTGTGTATGTATACACACACACACAAAATGGAGTAATAGCCACAGAAAAAGGAAGTACTGACATTTGCAACAACATGGATGAACCTGGAGGATATTATATTAAATGAAATAAGCCAGACACAGAAAGACAAATATTATATAACCTCATATTTGCAATCTAAAACAAGTGAAACTCCTAGAAACAGAGGTAGAACGGTGGTTACCAGGGGCTTGAGTGGGAGAAATGGGGAGATGTTGGTCAAAGGGTGCAAATTCTCAGTTATATAATGAACAAGTTCTAGAAATCTAATGTTCAGTATGGGCAGTAATGGATTTGTTAATTTGGTTGCAATAATAATCATACAATGTATATGTGTATTAAATTATCATGATGTATGCCATGCACAACTTTGTCAATTAAATGTTTTTTAAATATGAAATGGCCAATGGTTAAAAAAAATTGTGCTGATGTAACTGTATATCCACCTGCAAAAGAATGAAGTTTGACCCTACCTCATATCATATACATAAATGACTTAACATGGACCAAAGACCTAAATGTTAGTGCTAAAACTATAAAACTTACAAACAAAAATGTATGCAAAAACCTTCATGACCTCGGATTAAGCAGTGTTTTTTAAATATGACACCAAAACACAAGTAACAATAAACCAAACAGATAAATTCTATCTCAACAAAGTTTAAAACTCTGTGTTCCAAAGAATACAATCAAAAAAGTAAAAATACCACCCTCAGGCTAGGAGAAAGTATATATAAATCTTATATGTGAGAAAGAATTAGTATATAGAACACACAAACTCTTACAAGTCAAAAATTAAAAGACAAATAATACAAGTAAAAAATGAACAAAGGGCTGAATAGATACTTCTCCACAGGAGATAGAAAGATGGCTAATAAGAATATGAAAAGATGCTTGGCACTATTAATCATCAGGGAAATGCAAATTAAAAGCACAGTGATATACCCCTGCACGGTCACTGGAATAGCTAGAATAAATAAGACAGATATCAATAAGCAGTGGTGAGGATGTGGAGAAATTGGAATTCTTGCACACTGCTGGTAAGAATGTAAAATGGTGCAGCCTCTTAAAGAATAGTCTGGCAGTTCCTCAAAGTTTGAATGTAGAATGAGTATTTGACCCAGCAATTCCATTCCCAGGTATATACCCAAGAGAAATGAAAACATGTCCATGCAAAAATTTGTACATAATGGTCAAGCAGCATTATTCTCAATGGCTGAAGAGTGGAAACAATACAGATGCCCAGGAACAAATGAATGAATAAGATATGGTCAATCTATGGAACGGAATATTTGGCCATAAAAAGAAATGCAGTACTAATAAATGCTGCAATGTGGATGAACCTTGAAAACATTATGCTATGTGAAAGACGCCAGTCACAAAAGACCATCCATTATATTATTTCATTTATATGAAATGTCTATAAGAAATAAATTTGTAGAGAGAAAGTAGATTAGTGGTTGCCTAGGACTGAGGAAATGTTGGAGGGAAAAATGGGGATGACTGCCTGAGAATAAATATACATGGGTGATGAAAATGTTCTAAAAATAGTTTTGGAGTGATGAACATGTTCTACAATTGATTGTGGTGATGGTTGCACTATAAATATGCTAAAAACCATTGAGTTTAAATGGTTGAATAATATATGAATTTTATCTTAATGAAACTGTTCTAATGAAAAATGATGGCTCACATGAAATAAAATCGATGTGCCAGAGCTGCCATGGCAGATTGTGGAGAAAGAGACCAAAAGGCTCAGAGCAGTGAGCATGCTGGCATAGATAGATACACTCTATAAAACTGGATCATGCACTGGGTGACTGTTTATTTGGAAGGGCCCAAAGGAAACTCTGTTTATCAGGCAGCAAGTCATGGGCAGGTGAACGGGGTATTAACCTAATTTTGTCCTTTGTGGGCTGGAGCTGACTCTATGAGATGATATTGGAGAACTTGGTGCCCTAGCAACAATAGGACAGTAGGATTCCAGAAAGCTAGAGGCCAGCTGGCAGCAAGGCAGAATCAAAATGGACAAAATCCCCAAAATAGTGAGTAATGTTAGAATGGAAGCCAGGAAATCCTGACTGCAAGGGATTTAGGGAAATTATTAAGACTATGGTGTTTCTAGTTGGGCAGCCTATAAGACTGTTGTTTAATATTAGAATCAATAGATGAAAAATAGATGAGCTGAAGTCTGAGATTAATTTCTCCAATAGAAGTTTAAAATCCCTTGCCCAGTTTCCAGACCTGAGCCAGTGCTTAGATCCAGAATCCATTCATTGAAGGAGAGTCACGTCCCCTGATGAAGTATCTGCAACACCATAAGTGTGTACAGTAGACACTTTCTACACCCTTCCCTAAAGGGATCAATGGCCATTTACTCAGGTATCAAGACACTGATAAAGGGGAATGTCCAGATATTTTCAGGTCTATTGGATACAGGGTCCAATTTCACACTGATACCTGGGGAACCAAAGCACCCTCATGGACTTCTATTAGAGGAGAGCCACACAGGGAACTGAAAATAATTTCCTGTCTCAGGTCCACCCGTATCTCCGTGGATTCTCTGTGTCCACACATCTGCTTGGTGGTTATTTTTCTGGTTTCCAAATATGTAATTGATGGATTTATTTTGTACATTAGTTATTTCACTCACACTTTAGTCATTTCACCTGTGGAATAAAGGATTTGTAGTAAGAAAGGCCAAGTGGATGCCCCTAAGAGAGCTTCTAATATCGACCAAGATAGAAATTTTAAAACAATGTAGTATTTGAGGGGCAATGAAATAAACTGTCACTCAAAGACATAAAAGATGCAGGGGTTGTGGTTTCATCATCAACTATTGAATTTACCACTCCAGTTCTAGCAAAAATTGGATGGATGATAACAGATGACAGTGGATTAATGAAAATGTAACCTATAATTAGCCCCAACTTCAGCAGCTGTGCTGAATGTGATATGTTTAAAAAAAAAAGATTTATTGTTTTTGTATATTATATAATGCCATTGATCTGCCTAAATGCATTCTTTTAAATACCTATAAAAAGGAGGGCCAGAAGCGAGTTTTATTCACAGAGGACAAATAATAATACATTTTAAAAAATATTTTATTTTTGATTTTCAATTTTTGTGGGTACATAATAGCTGCATATATTTATGGGGTACATGAGATGTTTTGATACAGGTATGCAATGTGAAATAAGCACATCATGGAGAATGGGGTATCCATTCCCTCAAGCATTTATCCTTTGAGTTACAAACCATTCAATTACACTATTTTTAAATGTGCATTATTGACTATAGTCCCCCTATTGTGCTATCAAATAGTAGGTCTTATTCTTCTAAATTTTTTTTTACCGATTAAACATCCCCACCTTCCCTTCAGCCCCCCACTACCATTCCTAGCCTCTGGTAACCATTCTTCTACTCTTTATGTCCATTAGTTCAATTGTTTTGAATTTAGGTCCCACAAATAAGTGAGAACATGCCATGTTTGCCTTTCTGTGCCTGGCTTATTTCATTTAACATAATGATCTCCACTTCCATCCATGCTGTTGCAAATGACTGGATCTCATTCCTTTTTATGGCTGAATAGTACTTCATTGTGTATACATACCAAATTTTCCTTATCCATTCATCTGCTGTTAGACATTTAGGTTGCTTCCAAATCTTAGCTATTGTAAACAGTGTTGTAAAAAACATAGGAGTGCAGATATCTCTTCCATATACTGATTTTCTTTTTTGAGACAGGGTCACACTTTGTCACCCAGGCTGGAGTGCAGTGGCATGATCTTGGCTCACTGCAACCTCCACCTCCTAGGTTCAAGTGATCCTACCTCAGCCTCCACAGTAGCTAGGACTATAGGTGTGAACCACTACAACTGCCTAATTTTTTTTTTGTATTTTGTAGAAATCAGGTTTTGCCATGTTGCTCGGGCTGGTCTTGAACTTCTGGGCTCAAGTGATCTGCCCTCCTCGGCCTCCCATAGTGCTGGGATTACAGGTGTGAGCCACCATGCAAAACGCTGGTTTTGTCTTTTGTGGGGTATATACCCAGCAGTAGGATTGTTGCATCATATCGCAACTCAATTTTTAGTTTTCTGAGGAACCTCTAAACTGTTATCCATAGTGGTTGTACTAATTTACATTCCCATCAACAGTGTACGAGGGTTCCCTTTTATCCACATCCTCACCAGCATTTGTTATTGCCTGTCTTTTGGATATAAGCCATTTTAACTGGGGTGAGATTATATCTCATTGCAGTTTTGATTTGCATTTCTCTGAGGATCAATAATCATCAGCACCTTTTCATATGCCTGTTTGTCATTTTTATGTCCTTTCTTTTTTTTCTTTTTCTTTTTTTTGAGACAATGTCTCTCACTCTGTCGCCCAGGCTGGAGTGCATTGGTGCAATTATGATTCACTGCAGGCTCAAGTGATCCTCCCATCTCAGCTTCCTAAGTAGCTGGGACTACAGGTGTGCACCACCACTCCCAGCTATTTTTTATTTTTGTATTTTGCAGAATTGGGGTTTGACCATATTGCTCAGTCTGGTCTCAAACTTCTGGGCTCAATTCCATCTGCCTTGGCCTCCTAAAGTGCTAGGATTAGAGGCATAAGCCACTGTACCTGGCTTTGTATGTCTTCTTCCTTTTTCTTTTTTTTTTTTTTTTTTTTTTTTTTGTGAGACGGAGTCTCACTTTGTTGCCCAGGCTGGAGTGCAGTGGTGTGATCTCGGCTTACTGCAACCTCTGTCTCCCAGGTTTAAGCGATTCTCCTGCCTCAGCCTCCTGAGTAGCTGGGATTACAGGTGTGCGCCACCATGCCTGGCTTATTTTTGTATTTTTAGTAGAGACGGAGTTTCACAATGTTGGTCAGGCTGGTCTCGAACTCCTGACCTCAAGTGATCCACCCGCCTGAGCCTCCCAAAGTGCTGGGATTACAGGCATGAGCCACCACGCATGGCCTGTATGTCTTCTTTTGAGAAATGTCTATTCAAATCTTTTGCCCATTTTTTTACTTAGACTTTTAGAATTTTTTTTTTTTTTTTTTTTTTTACTATAGAGTTGTTTGAGCTTCTTATATACTCTGGTTATTATTTCTTTGTCAGATGGGTAGTTTGCAAATATTTTCTCCCATTCTGTGGGTTGTCTCTTTATTGATTGTATCCTTTGCTTTGTAGAAGCTTTTAAACTTGATGTGATACTATTTGTCCAGTTTTATTTTGGTTGCCTGTGCTTGTGGGGTATTGCTCAAGAAATTTTTGGCCAGACTACTGTCCTGGAGGTTTTCCCCAATGTTTTCTTATAGTAGTTTCATGTTTGAGGTCTTAGATTTAAGTCTTTATTACATTTTGAATTTATTTTTTATTTTTTGAGATGGAGTCTTGCTCTGTCGCCAGGCTGGAGTGCAGTGGCACAATCTCAGCTCACTGCAACCTCCACCTCCTGGGTTCAAGCGATTCTCCTGCCCCAGCCTCCTGAGTAGCTAGGACTGCAGGCACATGCCATCACGCCCAGCTAATTTTTGTATTTTTAGTGGGTGGGGGGGGGTGAGTTTCACCATGTTGGTCAGGATGGTCTCAATCTCTTCACCTCGTGATACGCCTGCCTCAGCCTCCCAAAGTGCTGAGATTACAGGTGTAAGCCACCATGCCTAGCCTTGATTTGACTTTTGTCTACAGTGAGAGGTAGGGGTCTAGTTTCATTCTTCTGCATATGGATATCCAGTTTTCCCAGCACCATTTCATTGAAGAGACTGTCTTTTCTTTTCTCCAGTATAAGTACTTGGCAACTCTGTCAAAAATGAGTTCCCTGTGAGTGTGTGGATTTGTTTCTAGGTTCTCTATTCTGTTCTGTTGGACTATGTGTCTGTTTTTATGTCAGTACCATGCTGTTTTGGTGATTATAGCTCTGTAGCATAATTTGAAGTCAGGTAATGTGATTCCTCCAGTTTTGATCTTTTTGCTTAATATAATTTTGGCTATTCTGGGCATTCTGTGTTTTCATATAAATTTTGGGATTTTTTTTTCTATTTCTCTGAAGACTATTATTGGTATTTTGATAGGGATTGCATTAAATCTGTAGATTGCTTTGGGTAGTATGGACATTTTAACAATATTGATTCTTCCAATCCATAAAGATGGAATTTTTTCCATTTTTTTTGTGTCCTCTTCAATTTCTTTCATCAATGTTTTATAATTCTCCTCATAGATATCTTGCACATTTTTGGTTAATTCCTAGGTATTTAATTTTATGTGTGGCTATTGTAAATGAAATTACCTTCTTAAATTTAAAATTTTTCAAATTGTTCACTGTTGACATATAGAAATGCTACTGGTTTTTATATGTTGATTTTGTGTCCTGCAACTTTACTGAATTTATTGATTCTAATAGTTTTCCTGTGGAGCCTTTAGGTTTTTTCCAAATATAAGTTCATATCATCTGCAAACTAGGGTAATTTAACTTCTCCCTTTCCAGTTTGGATGGCCTTTATATCTTCTCTTGTCTGATCGCTCTAGCTAGAACATCCAGTACTTTGTTGAATAACAGTGGTGACAGTGAACATCCCTGTTGTGTTCCAGATCTTATAGGAAAGTCTTTCACTTTTTCCCCATTCAGTATGATACTAGCTGTGGGTCTGTCATATCTGGCTATTACGTTGAGGTATATTTCTTTTATACAGTTTTTTGAGGGTTTTTATCATGAAGGGATGTTGGATTTTATAAACTACTTTTTCAGCATCAATAGAAATAATCATATGGTTTTAATCATTCTTTTTGATATGATGTATTACATTGATTGATTTGCATGTGTTGAACCATCCTTGCATTCCAGGGATAAATCCCACTTGGTCATGATAAATGATTTTTTTTTTAATGGAGTCTCACTCTGTCACCAAGGCTGGAGTGCAGTGCCACAATCTCAGCTCACTGCAACCTCCACCTCCTGGGTTCAAGTGATTCTCCTGCCTCAGTCTCCTGAGTAGCTGGGATTACAGGCATGCACCACCACACTCGGCTAACTTTGTATTTTCAGTAGAGACGAGGTTTCACCATGTTGGTCAGGCTGGTCTTGAACTCCTGACCTCAGGTGATCTGCCCACCTCGGCCTCCCAAAGTGCTGGGATTAGAGGCTTAAGCCACTGCACCCGACCCTGATGAATGATCTTTTTAATGTATTGTTGAATTTAGTTTGCTAATATTTTGCTGAGGATTCTGGCATCAATATTCATCAGAGAAATTGGCCAGCAGTTTTCTTTTTTTGATGTGTCTTTGTCTGGTTTTGGTATCAGGGTGATACTGGTCTCCTAGAATGACTTTGGAAATATTCTCTCCTCCTCTATTTTTCAATAGCTTGAGTGGGATTGGTATTAGTTCTTCTTTAAATGTTTGGTAGAATTCAACAGTGAAGCCATCGGGTCCTTGGTTTTCTTTAGTGGGAGACTTTTTATTATGGCTTCAACCTTGTTACTTGTTATTAGTCTGTTCAGGTTTTGGATTTCTTCCTGGTCCAGTCTCAGTAGGTTGTATGTGTCTAGGAATTGTCAATTTCTTCTAGATTTTCCAATTTATTGGCATAGAGTTGCTCATAGTAGCCCCTAATGATCCTTTGAATTTCTGCAGTGTCAGTTGTAATGTCTTTTTCATTTCTGATTTGTATCTTGTCTCTTTTTTCTCAGTCTTGCTAAAGGCTTGTCAGTTTTGTTTAACTTTTGAAAAAAAGCAACTTTTTGTTTCATTGTTCTTTTGCATTGATTTTTATTTCAATTTTATTTATTTATGCTCTAATTTTTATTATTTGTTTTCTTCTAATTTTGTGTTTGTTTTGCTCTTGCTTTTCTGGTTAAGGTTCATTGTTAAATTGCTTATTTGAAGTTTTTCCTCTTTTTTCATGTAGGCACTTATAGCTATCAATTTGCCTCTTAGTACTGCTTTTGCCGTATCCCATAGGTTTTGGTATGTTGTGTTTCCTTTATCATTTGTTTCAAGAAATTGTTCAATTTCCTTCTTAATTTCTTCATTGACTCAATGGTCATTCAGGAGCATATTGTTTAATTTTCATGTATTTGTAGTTTCAAAAATTCCTCTTGTTATTAGTTTCTAGTTGTATTCCACTGTGGTCAGAGAAGATGCTTGATGGTATTCAACTTTTTTAATGTTTTAAGACTTGTGACCTAACATATGGTCTATCCTTGAGAATGATACATGTGCTAAAAAAGAATGTGTATTCTGCAGCCATTGGATAAAATGTTCTGCAAGTATGTATTAGATCCATTTGATCTACAGTGCAGATTAAGTCTGATGTTTCTTTTTTATTTTCTGTCTGGAAGATCTGTCCAGTGCTGAAAATGTGGTGTTGAAGTCTCCAGCTATTATTGTATTGGGGTCACTCTCTCTCTTTAGCTCTAATCGTATTTGCTTTATATATCTGGGTGCTGCAGTGTTGAGTGCATATATATTTATATTTGTTATATCCTCTTGCTGAATTGAACCCTGTATTAGTCTATTCTTGCACTGCTATAAAGAAATACCCGAGACTGGGTAATATATAGAGAAAAGAGGTTTAATTGGCTCACAGTTCTGCAGGCTGTACAGGAAGCATGGCTGGGGAGGCCTCAGAACACTTACAATCATGACAAAAGGTGAAGGGGAGGCAAGCCTGTCTTACATGGCTGGAGCAGGAGGAAAGTGGGAGGAGGTGGCACACACTTTTAAACAATCAGATCTCACAATAACTCACTCACTGTCATGAGAACAGCACCCAGGGGGATGGTGTTAAACCATGAGAAACCACCCCCATTATCCAATCCTCTTCCACCAGGCTCAACCTCCAAAATTTAGGATTACAATTGAACATGAGATTTTGGTGGGGATGCAGATCCAAATCATATTATTCCACCTCTGGTGTCTCCCAAATCTCATGTCCTTCTCATACTGCAAAATACAGTTATATCTTCCCAACAGTCCCTCAAAGTCTTAACTCATTCCAGCATTAATTCAAAAGTCCAAAGTCCAGAGTCTCAACCTGAGACAAGGCAAGTCTCTCCCACCTGTGAGCTTACAAAATAAAAAAACAGTTAGTTACTTCCAACATACAGTGGGGGTACAGGAATTGGGTAAACACTCCCATTCCAAAAGTGAGAAATTGGCCAAAAGAAAGGGGCTACTGGACCCATGCAAGTCTGAAACCCAGCAGGTAGTCATTAAATCTTAAAGCTCCAAAATACTCTCCTTTGACTCCATATCTCACATCCAGGGCACACTGGTGCAAGGGGTGGGCTCCCAAGGCCTTGGGCAGCTCAGCCCCTGGGACTTTGCAGGGTAAGCCACTGTCACTGCTTTCACGGGCTGGCATTGACTGCCTGTGGCTTTTCCAGTTGTACAGTGCAAGCTGTCATTGGCAGATCTATCATCCTGGAATCTGGAGGACAGTGGCTGTCTTCTCACAGCTCCACTAGGCAGTACACCAGAGGGGAAGCTGTGTGGGAACTCCAACCCCAAATTTCCCCTCCACACTACCCTAGTAGAGGTTCTCCATGAGGGCTCTGTCCCTGCAGCTGGCTTCTGCCTGGACATCCAGGCTTTCCCACACATACTCTGAAATCTAGTTGGAGGCTCCCAAGCCTCAATTCTTGCACTCTGTGCACCTACAGGCTTAATTTAACACCACACGGGAGCCACTAAGGCTTATAACTTGCATCCTATGGAGCAGCAGCCTGAGCTATACCTGGGGCCCTTTGAGCTGAAGCTGGAGCTGGAGCAGCTGGGATTTGGAGAGCAGTTTCCTGAGGTTGTGCAGGGCAGCAGGACCCTGAGCCTGGCCCAGGAAACCATCCTTCCCTCCTAGGCCTTTGGGCCTGTGATGGGAGAGGCTGCCCCCAAGGTATCTGAAATGCCTTCAAGGTGTTTTTCCCACTATCTTGGCTATCAACATTTTGCTCCTTGTTACTTGCAATTTTCTGCAGCTAGCTTGAATTCCTCTCCAGAAAATGGTTTTTTTCTTTTCTACAACATGGCCAGGCTGCAAATTCTCCAAACTTTTACACTCTGCTTCCTTTTTAAATATAAGTTCCAGTTTCTTGTCATGTCTTTGCTCACAAATATGAGCACAGACTACCAGAAGCAGCCAGGCCACGTCTTGAACGCTTTGCTGCTTAGAAATTTCTTCTGCCAGATACCCTAAATCTTCGCTCTCAAGTTCAAAGTTCCACAGATTCCTAGGGCAGGGGCACAATGTCTCCAACCACAATGTCCTAACAAAAGTGACCTTCACTCCAGGTCCCAATAAGTCCCTCATCTCCATCTGAGACCTCCTCAGCCTGGACTTCATTGTCCATATCACTATCAGTATTTTGGTCAAAACAATTTAACAAATCTCTAAGAAATTCCAAACTTCCCCTCATCTTCCTATCTTCGGAGCCCTCCACACTCTTCCAACCTCTGTCTATTTCCCAGTTCCACTGCTGTTTCCACATTTTCAGGTATCTTTCTAGCAATGCCTCACTCCTCTTTACCAATTTTCTGTATTATTCTGTTCTCACACTGCTATAAAGAAATACCCAAGACTTGTTAATTTATGAAGAAAAGAGGTTGAATTGGCTCATAGTTCCACAGGCTGTTCAGGAAGCATAGCGGCATCTGATTCTGGGAAGGCCTGAGGGAGCTTTTACTCATGGAATAATGCAAAGTGGGAGCAAGCATCTACATAGCAGGAGTAGACCAAGGCAAGCGGGTGGTGTGGAGAGGTGCTACACACTTTTAAGCAACCAGATTTCAGAAGAACTCACTATCATGAGAACAGCACTAAGAAGATGGTGCTGAATTAGTCATGAAAGATCCACCCCCATGATCTAATCACGTCCCACCAGGCCCCACCTCCAACATTGAGGATTACAATAGAACACGAAATTTGGGTGGGGCACAAATGGAAACCATATTAACCCCTTTATCATTGTATAGTGACTTTATTTGTCTCATAGTTTTTGTATCAAAATCAATACTCCTTCTCTTTTTCCTGGTTTCCATTGGCATGGAATAACTCTTTCCAACTCTTTACTTTCAGCCTATGTGTGTCTTTATAGTTTAAGTGTGTTTCTTGTAGGCAACAGATCAATGGGTCTTGTTTTCTCCATTCATTCAGCCAGTCTATGTCTTTTGATTGGAGAGTTTAGTCCATATTTCCATTCAATGTATTATCGATAAGTAAAGACTTACTCCTGCCTTGTTATTTATTTGTTTTCTGGTTGTTTTGTGGTCTTCTTCTTTCTTTTCTTCCTGTCTTCCTTTAGGGAAGGTAGTTTGCTCTGGTGATATGATTTAGGTTTTTGCTTTTTATTTTTTATGTATCCAGTGTATGTTTTTAGGTTTGAGGTTACCATAAGGATTACAAATACTATTTTGTAACCCATTATTTTAACCTGGTAACACTGTTTGCATTAACAAACAAAAAACTAATAAAAACTCTACATCTTAACTTCATCCCCCCACTTTTTAACTTTTTGTTGTTTCTAATTTTATCTTATTTTTCTGACTGGTCTTGAAAAGTTGTAGTTACTATTTTTGATTGGTTTATCATTTATTCTTTCTACTTACACACCACAGTTACAATGTTATCACACTTTGGGTTTTTCTGTGTACTTACTCTTAACAGTGAGTTTTTTACCTTTAGATGATTCTTTGTTGCTCATTAATGTCTGTTTCTTTCTGACCAAAGTACTCCCTTAAGCGTTTCTTATGGGACCAGTCTAGTGTTGATGAAATCCCTCAGCTTTTGTTTGTCTGGGGAAGTCTTTGTTTATTCTTCATGTTTGAAGGATATTTTTGCTGGATATACTATTCTAGGGTAAAAGGTTTTTTCCCTTCAGCACTTTAACATATGTCATGTCACTCTCTCCTGGCTTGTAAGGTTTCCACTGAAAAATATACTGCCAGATGTATTGGAGCTCCATTGTATGTTATCTGTTTCTTTTCTCTTGCTGCTTTTAGGATCCTTTCTTTACCCTTGTCCTGTGGGAGTTTGATTATTAAATGCCTTGAGGTAATCTTTGGGTTAAATTGGCCTGGTGTTCTATAACCTTCTTGTACTTGGATATAAATATCTTTCTGTAGGTTTAGGAAGTTCTATGTTATTATCCCTTTCAACAAACTTTCTATTCCTATCTCTTTCTCTATCTCTTCTTTAAGGCCAATAACTCCTAGATTTGCCCTTAAGAAGTTATTTTCTAGATCCTGTGGGCATGCATCATTGTTTTTTATTTTTTGTCTCCTCTGAATGTGTATTTTTCTTTCTTTCTTTTTTTTTTTTTTTTTTTTTGAGATGGAGTCTTGCTCCTTCACCAGGCTAGAGTGCAATGGTGTGATCTCGGCTCACTGCAACCTCTGCCTCCTGGGTTCAAGCAATTCTCCTGCCTTGGCCTCCCAAGTAGCTGGGATTACAGGCATGAGCCACCACACCTGGCTAATTTTGTATTTTTAGTAGAGATGGGGTCTCTCCATGTTGGTCAGGCTGGTCTCAAACTGCCGACCTCAGGTGATCCGCCTACCTCAGCCTCCCAAAGTGCTGGGATTACAGTCGTGAGGTGAGCCACTGTGCCCAGCTTTGTTACTGTTAATAGTGCTGCAATGAACATACACTTGCATGTGTCTTTATGGTGGAATGATTTATATTCCTTTAGGTAAATATCCAGTAATGGGATTGGTGAGTCAAATGGTAGTTCTGTTTTTAGCTCTCTGAGGAATCACCACACTGCTGTCCACAGTGATTGAACTAATTTACACTCCTAACAAGTGTATAAGTTCCTTTTCTCCATAACCTCACCAACATCTATTATTTTTTTACTTTTTTGTAGCCATCCTGACTGGCAGATGATATCTCATCATGGTTTTGATTTTGCATTTCTCTAATGATCAGTGATAATTGAGGTTTTCTTTAACACGCTAGTTGGCTGTATGTATGTCTTTTTTGAAAAGTGTCTGTTCATGTCCTTTGCCCATTTTTTAATGGAGTGGGTTTTTTTTTTCCTGTAACTGTGTTTAAATTCCTTATAGATGCTAGATATTAGCCCCTTGTCAGATGCATAGTTTGCAAAAATTTTCTGTCATTTGGTAGATTGTCTGCCCTGTTGTTTATTTTGCTATGAAAAAGCTCTTAAATCCAATTTGTCCATTTTTGCTTTTGTTACAATTGCTTTTGGTGTCTTCATCATGAAATATTTGCCAGTTCCTATGTCCAGAATGGTATTGCCTAAGTTATCTTCAGGATTTTTATAATTTTGGGTTTTAACTCTTTAAACCATCTTAATTTTTGTACATAGTAAAAGGGGTCCAGTTACGATCTTCTGCATATGGCCAGCCAGTTATCCCAGCACCATTTATTGAATAGGGAGACCTTTCCCCATTGCTTGTTTTTGTCAACTTTGTTGAAGATCAGATGGCTGTAGGTTTGTGGCCTTATTTTTGGGCTCTCTATTCTGTCCCACTGGTCTGTGTGTCTGCTTTTGTACCAGTACCATGCTGTTTTGGTCATGGTAGCCCTGTAGTTTGAAGTTAGGTAATGTGATGCCTCCACCTTTGTTCTTTTTGTTTAGGATTGCCTTGACTACTCAGGCTTTTTGGTTCCATATGAATTTTAAGTTTTTTCTAGTTCTGTGAAAAATGTAATTGATAGTTTGATAGGAATAGCATTGAATCTATAAATTGCTTTGGGTAGTATGGCCACTTTAATGATATTGATTCTTCCTAGCCATGAGCATGGAAAGTTTTTCCATTTGTTTGTGTCATCTCTGATTTCTTTGAGCAGCGTTTGTGATTCTCATTGTAGAGATCCTTTACTTCCTTGGTTAGCTGCATTCCTGGGTATTTTATTCTTTTTTGTGGCAATTATGAATGGGATTGTGCTCCTGATTTGGCTCTTGGCTTGGCGACTGTGTATAGGAATGTTAGTGATTTTTGTACACTGATTTTGTCTCCTGAAACTTTGCTGAAATTATCAGATGAAGGACCTTTTGGGCTGAGGCTATGGGGTTTTCTAGATATAGAATCATACTGTCTGCAAACAAGGATAGTTTGACTTCCTCTCTTCCTATTTGGATGCCCTTTATTATTTCTGTTGCCTGACTGCTGTGATCAGGACTTTCAACACTATATTGAATAGGAGTGGTGAGAAAGGGCTTCCTTATCCTGTGCCACTTTTCAAGGGGAATGCCTGCAGCTTTTGCCCATTCAGTATGATGTTGGCTGTGGGTTTGTTATAGTTGGCTCTTATTATTCTGAGTTATGTTCCTTCAACACAAGATGGGAAGCTCCCCAAATCCACATCTCTTGCTTGTGGGGGAGCCATCCTCAGCACATCGGCCCTACCCAACCCACAGTAGATACCAACATCCCTATGATGGATGAGCTATGGTGGAGTCCCCCCAACCCCAGAGTGAGAATTGGCCCCCGATGGGGACTTAGGGAGGGCTGAGTTGGCGAGCTGTGGGAGGTCATCATCAGTGGGGCTCAAGCTCTCCCCTCCAAGCTCCAAGGATCTCTGCAGCCACAGGACGCATTCCTTCTCCACTTAGATCTTGTCTGTGAAGTATCCAATTGCCTTCCATTTCTACTTGGTGTAGAATGTAGGGGGCAATGAATGAAACTGCCGCATATTGCAGAGGGTCCATGTCCAAGCACAGGCAGTTGTAACGGTAGTAGCCACACCACCAGTACCTGTGGTTCCTGCTAGCCCCTCCACTGCCCAGGCCAGACAGTGTCAGTCTGGCAGATGTACCCCCAAGGACTCTCCCTCATGGTGTCTGCTCCTCTGCCCCACCCTTCTGATCTCACAGCTTCTCCTTAGGTGACATTCACACTTTAGACAAAGTTGTTTGGTCCCCTGATTATGATCTCCTTTACTTGCTGTCAGCTCTGCCTGGGAAGAGGTCTATGCTCAGTTCCAGGATACATGGAAAAGGCAGTGGATGGGCAGGTACAGTCTTGGGCTTTACCATGAACTGTGTTGTTTAGTCAAGTTGTTTAACCTCCACTCTGTTCATCTTGTATATATGGGTGGGGGGTGAAGACTATGAGCCCACAGGTCTGCTTCTGTGCTCACTGTAACAGATTCCTAAGTGCAAGTCCCTGAAACAGGATCACAGTACACAACATTAACATAAGAGGGTACATTATGCACGGTACAGCTTTCCTTGAGGTTCTAGAGAATGCAAACCTTAACATTAACAAGTACCAAACCTCTGCTGAAAAATCCTCTAATGAATTTCAAGGTTAAATATAAATAAACTGTGGGATTGTTCTGCCTAGAGTAGCCACACCCTCCTCGGGGGTCCCACAGTCCACAGGCTCAAACTCCTCATCCAACAGTTACATGCTCCACCAACTTTCAGACTGTCTCTCCCAGTAGGCAGTGAGCCCCTAGAAGGCAGGGACTATGTAACGGTGACCTGGCAACTTTGTTGAACAGCTGCTCCTATCAGGATCAGTTCGTAAAAAGCCAAGCACTGCTCAGCCTTTTATTATGCCTCTTACTGATTTATGCCTTCATTTGGCATTCAAGAACTTGCTCCAATAGTGCCAAACAGTTGGGAGATATTTACTACAAATTATTAAAACTGCAGTCTATCCTCTGAACCAACTGTGCTCAATCCCACCACACATCTTGCTGCTCCCTAACTTCTAGCTGCTTGGAAAGTCTCATTTTCTTCATCTACTCAAATCATACACATCCCTCGGGTTCCATGCAAAGTTCCATCTCATTCATGAAACTCCCTGACCACTGGGATATCTGGCCCATGAACTTGAGCAAACTATTTCTTCTGCATCTCATTTGGCATTTGAGGAGGGACTGTTCTCTGACGTCTCCTGGTATGCCTCACAGAGTCAGTAAAGTGTTTCCAGACCTATAGGTACCACCCCATATTGTTAGCTCTTTGAGGATACACACTAGGTTATACTTTTCTGGTTCTCCACCCTAAGCACCCAAAAGGCAGATGGTAGGTACATCTCAGCTCCAAAGAGACTGCTGAAGACTGAATGAATTAATGACACACAGAGAAACTGACCCTGGTGACCAGCCTGGGCCAGTTCACTCACGTGACTGTGGGGGCTGGCAAGTACATAATTTTCAGGTTAGACTGGCAGGCTGGAGACCCAGGGAAGAGCTGACACTGCAGCCTGAGGCCACAGGTAGCAGTGTTGCTGGGTTGCTGCATTCTTTACTGTGAGATTTAGAAAAACTGTCATTATCATTATCCTAATATTGTCAAAACTTGTAGGCAGCCTATTTGCTGTTTTTGGTTCTTATTGTTAGTGTGTTGTTATTCCTGTGGAAATCATAATTGTGCAGCGTTTTGATATCTATGAATTCAAAAACTTAAACAGAATATTAAGAACAAACTAATAATAAAGTGACAAACTTTGGATACCTTTTTAACATTGTTTCTAAATATTGTAAACATGAATCTTCTGGACCTCAGAGGGAACAAGGAAGCAATGATATTAATAATGAATCATAATCTGGAACACCTGATATTGTACACAAACTATAACAACTGGAAATGCCTTTGCAACTGCATAAGAGTTAGTTCAAAGAAACAATAATTTGCATTTCTAAAATTTAAAAAATCCCCAATAACTTTTGACAAAACTCACAGATGGCTTATTATTGCTAGCAATGTAAATATTGGATGCAAATCATGCTCAAAAGCTGTGTGAATAGCCAAAAGTGCTAAGCACATTCTGTCAGTGCTCATAATTCAAGGAAAACATTAGCAAAATTCAAAGAAAAAAACTTGAAAAATATTAAGAACAGCTTTGTACAATAAAGTATTTGAAAAAAGCAACAAACAGTGGAAAAATGCCATCAGATGTTAGTATACAGTTTACCCAAATGTGTAATTAAATAGAGCATTTTACATCATTAAGTAGAGGCTTTTAAACAATTATACATAGTGCATATCATTGCAGTATAGATTAATGGTTCTGCTGGTTGCAAACCATATTCTACATAAGACAACTTTTGGAAAATTTATTAATCCAAGCAATAAATCATTATCAGTGAAGTGTCAACCATTTCACAAAATGTATTTAAGTTTTAGTTCCTTAAATACTAAATGTAAGACTTACAGGAAAATGGGTTTTTGTTGATCTGAGGAACTTATACCAACCTTACTCATCAGTGCCCAAGAAAAATAGCTTTAATGTGAGACAGTTGTATGATGGTACAGATAGTGCCAGTATATGCAACGAAGAAAGTTCAGGTTTCACCAAAATTTTGCAAAATTTCGGGGTTTAAAAATCTGTTTATCGCAGAAGTCACATTGACTGTCTCACATTTACTCTTCCTCGTGTCCTGATCCTGCTGACTTGTCCACATGGGCAACTACGAAGCTGGCACAACTATACTTCTTTGTTCACTTTGGTCACCACCATTTGTTCTGCTGTTGGGCTGCCCATGTGTAGGCAGGTTTCACGAAAATATCAGGTTCCCTAAGCAACATGAACTGGGAGGCTCAGAGAGGGATTTCCCTAGTCACTGACTTACTGAGGGATTGACTCAAGATTCCCAGGCACTAGACAGAAGCAGTCGGGAAAGGAATCATTTCCTGATTGCCTGTGGGGGAAAAAGAAACTTTTTTGGATAGAACAGTCTGGATGGACTCTAACACAGTAAAAAGTGAAGGCAGTGCATTCTTCAGAAGGGCGGCAGATGGGGCACCACGCATCCCCACAGAGGGGCTGTCCTGCGGTCCTTGCAGGAGTTGCCAGGCTCCCAAAATCTCCTCCTGCTGCTATCCCCACCCTGCCTGAAAAGAGGTGAGGAGGATGATGGGGAGGGAGTCAAACAGACTTGGGATAGGAGGAGTGAGTGCGCTGGTAAAACCAATTACTTAGCTAAACCTTTGGCTAAAACTCTAGGAAGGGAGGCACAAAATGGGAAAGTGTGGGTTTTTTTTTTTTGCTTCTCTAGGTGAAGGTTTAAATTAACTTCAGCATGGGTAAAACTATTCTTTCCTTCTTTTTTCTCTCCCAGAGTTCTCACCACCTCCTCCCAGGCTAAATCCTTCATGTTGCAGGAGACAGAGAATCCCAGGTGAGACCCGGACTTTTTCTCCTCCCTCCCTTCCTTTTTTCACCGTGTTCAGGATAAATTATCTTGGTTTTGTTTCTGGAGGGAAAAGGGCAGAGAGGCCCTGACTTGAATCTCAATCACATTTCTGCACACAGTACCTGAGGAGACAGAATAGCAGAGGGGTGGGAACAATTAACATTGCTTTATGGGCTTTAGAATGGAGAAAAAATAATTCCCACTCTTTTTTCTTTTACCCAAATCCAACTTCAGTTTTCTCTCCAACTCTCTAAAACCACCACCAATACTATTATCACATCATGTGTAGCTACTTGGGGGGTGGTGAAAGGCTGAGTACGCATCATGTTCAGGTAGTAGGGTGTTAAACGAAATAGTTCCTCACAGCAATGCCCAAAGTCATCCTTGGTCACAATAAAGGAGAATAAAGGGAAAAAAGTATGATTATTGTATTAGATTGTGGGGTTGCAGGTGAGTTTTTTTTTTCCATTTTAAAAATTATTTTGTGGTTATAATGATGATGTCAATTTTTAAAAAAATAAAAGAATGGAAAAAGTTGACTTGGGATTTCATAATGCAAAGAAAAAAGCAAAACAAAAAAGAACAACAAAAAGCAAACAAAACAGATTTACATGTAATACCTAATTTAATCCCTTCATAACTCTGTGAAGTGGGTCAGTATTGACGGGTCAGCTTAACTAACAGATATTAGGAATGAGATCCAAAACAACCAGCCATGGTCGCACAGTTTGTGGAACCCAGGTTCTTTGACACTCAGCCCAGTGTTCCACCTGCAATGGCAACCTAAGTGAGGAGGGGGCCTCAGAGATGAGGTGGTCGACCCTTACAATGTTGATATTCTCCATGCTTTCTCAGAGCAAGTGGCTGAATCTCTTTCGTGACAGAGAACTCACCACCTACCAAGGCAGCCCATTTTATTAAGTCTAACTTTTAAAAAAGATACTTATGATGAGCACAATTCTGTCTCTCTCATACTCTATGGAAACGACCAATTTCTGACCTCTATGTCACAAAGAGTAAGTTTAGTTCTTCACATAATAGCCCTCCAAATATTTGAAATCTCTAGTCATAGCCAGATATATTGCATCAAAATAAATGGCTATTTTCTGCAGGAGGGTTGGTCCAAATGTCCTAGCCTACCATTACCTGAAGCAAGAAGTCCTCCCTATTTTTTGAAGAACTATATTTATTTGCTCAAATCATATTTATTAGGGGCCTGCTATCTGCCAGGCAGTGGGGATGCAGCGATACACAGGTCAAATAGGCATTTGGAGTGTGGAAGTGGGTGCCCACCCTAGTCGGGGAGCATCTCAGGATGTCCTCCTCAAGGAGATGACATGTCAACTGAGCCCAGAGGACAACAGGAGTTGACAGGGAAGAGTATTTCCTAGAGCGAGAAACTGGAGGCAGCTGTAGTGAGGTGCTGATGGGTTCTGGCCACCACCTGGACCACCTAGATTTGATGTTTCTCCACCCCCACTTAGTTGTGTGACCCTGGACAAGTTCCTCACCCACTACGTGCTTTAGAACCCTCACTGTGAAATGGGAGATGTGATAGGAATGTTGTGAGGATTGTTTGAGTGAATACATGCAAAGGACTTAGGACAAGCCTGGCACATAGTTAATGCTCAATCAATGTTTTCTCTCGCAACTGGAGGGAAACAAGGTAGTGGGCAGGAAGGGGGAGTGCGCAGACAGTTCCTGCTAAGCCTTGTAAGTTACCATGGCCCAGCACTGTAACCAGAGAAGTGAGGATGAGACTTCCACTTTGAGAAAGGCCTCTCTGGCCGCAGCATGTAAAGGAATGGGAGGGGATTAGAATGTGTGTGCACGGACTAGGTGGGAGCTAACTGCAGGGCCAGCATCTGTGGCACAGATTATCTCTCTTCATCCTGAACCCCTCCCTCTTCCCGTCTCGAATCCTTTTCCCACTCCTGACCACATCCTCCACCTGTCAGAAAGTCACAGTTAAGGAAGAGATTTCCGAGCACACCTTGGACAGAAGTCATGATGATGGGGCCCATGACTGGCAACCTGCTGGGAGAGGTGGCCTGCAGTGTGTCTGGAGTACATGGGGGACCCCGGGAGCATCTTCTGTGTCTGTGGCCCCTGGCAGGCCTGCATCACTTGGTGCTATGCCACTATCAGATCCACCACAGGAGCCATGTGCTATTCATTCCACAAGGAGCCCTTTCAACAGGGAGACATCAGGCCCAACTGGATTCTAGCCACCTTGGTCTCCAGTCTCCTACTCTCAAGCCCATGAGTGACAATTCAGCACAGGAAATTTGGTTCTGTGAGCAGCATCTATTGGCAGGATGACCAGCAATTCTTGTGTGTGGTTTGCAAAGATCTTAACGGAGAACAAATGTTACTTAGTGCTGCAGAAGGAGAACAATGCTAGGTTCCACAAGGTAGTCTGTCCTTTTGCTGTCTTGTCTACACCAGAGAACCTTTGGTTGACTTGCTTTAATATTGGCTTCAGTCCTATTACAAAACAACAACAAATTATTGTATTCTAAACACAGTTCTAAATGCAACAATAGTTTATCTTTTAATCCTGGATTATACAGTTTACAATTACTTGCAAATGCATAGTACCTCACTCCAAAAAACCTCAGGCATCCAGGCATCACAATTTCTCTATCTGCATGACACAGAAACTTCCATGTCACTAGAGGATTTCACAATCCATATATGAATCCCCTGAAGACTTCTTGGTGTGAAGGAAACATCACTGGACACAACACTGAAAATGGCAATAGTCCAGGCATGGTGGTTCATGCCTGTAATCCCAGCACTTTGGGAGGCTTACGCGGGTAGATCACCTGAGGTCAGGAGTTTGAGACTAGCCTGGCCAACACAGTGAAACCCCATTTCTACTAAAAATACAAAAATTAGCCAGGTGTGGTGGTGCATGCCTGTAGTCCCAGCTACCAGCGAGGCTGAGGCAGGAGAATCACTTGAATCCCGTAGGCTGAGGTTCTGGTGAGCTGAGATCACGCCACTGCACTCCAGCCTGGGCAACAGAACGAGACTCCGTCTCAAAAAAAAAAAAAAAGGCAACAAAAGCCCTGGATAGATAGGGTTTTTTTAGGTGAGCTATAACATCTGGGCAAATAAAAACACTATGTTATTCCTAGAAAAATTATAGAAATCTAACTTAACCTTGTCAACATGGGGATTCATTATCTTATTTAGCAAACTAAAGGAACAATAATGTAACTGCACCTCAGGTACAACTGGAACCAGGGATTTGAATGCAACTAAGACTTCCCATCTTTTATTTTCTCTTCTCTAGATTAGCTCAATTTTTTGCAACACATTTCCTGTATGAACTATAACTATAGCCATTTCTAGATTAATACCTCTTGTCAGCAAAGCAAGACAGAGGTATTCTCTGGTCATGAAGAAAATTCCAGAAAAGAGCTCTGAATCAAAGGCCAAAATCCTGGCATATCTGGTGCTGTGCAGAGCTGAGAGACTGGCTGAAGAGTGTGCCAGCAGTAAGCTATCCTAGGCATAGGGCCTGACTAGAAATCAAAGACCCTAATGTAGCAGTATTGCATCATCTATAGCCTAGATTATGCTGCAATGATATACAACTCCCGTATCTCACTGGTATAAACCAAAAAGATTTCTTTTACATGCTACCTGTTCATCAGGAGTTGCTGAGGGGGTCACTTGGAGATCCAGGCTCGCCAAGCAGCCACTGTCTTCAGCACCAGCTAATGCCCTGCTAGTGGGCAAAGAGGGAGCTCTGGAAGAACATAAACCAGCAGTTAAATTCCCAGTCCAGAAGAAATACATATCACCCCTACTAACACCTCATTACAGGGCACAGATGATGACAATAATGACCTCTCAGGCTTAAGGACCCTTCAACTCTGAGAGAGGGTATCTAGTGGTCACCTAGCTACTATCCTGTCTTTCCCTCAGGCAGAAGTGGGTGTGGTTTCCAACACCCCCAGCTGTGTCCCGGTCCGTGACAACAAAATCTTTGTAATCTAAAGTTTGAAGCATTTCAGAGGTCAGAAGGGTGTTTGCTGTTACGACTCTTGCTCTCACTTCTACCTGACAAGAGAGAAGAATTTGTATAGACTGTTAGACATGTTACTATTTTTTGAAAGCACTAGGTATTTGGGACAAGGTCAACATGTTTCCCTATCAGAAATCACTCATAGATATGTTCTTTGAGGTCAGGAATTCTATGAAATAAAAATAAAGAAAATTATTGAGCCTCTCTTGGATGCCAGCACCATGCTCAGTGCTTTCATTTTTTTCAGTATACTCACATTACTGATTATCCTTCATTTTACTTATGATCAAAGCAAGAGTTGAAGGAATGTCCTTGGTTCAAGGCTACACCTTAGGAGACACAGTCAGAATTTAAATCCAGCTTTCTTTCATTTGAAAGACTGTGCTCTGTGCTGGACCACACTGTACAGTTTTTAAAGTGATCTAACAACGACAGCATCCATCAGTGAACTCTGAGTCTACCAAACAGAAATTGCTCTTAATGGGTTCATCTAATGGCAGGGCCGGCTCAAGGCAAAATTTTTTGCCCCCATCCCTCTTTTTCATTCGACACGATTTTGCTGTATCATCCAGGCTGGACTGCAGTGGCGTGGTCACAGCTCACTGCAGCCTCAAACTCCTGGCTCAAATGATCCTCCCTCCTTATCTTCCTGAGTAGCTGGGACTATGGGCGCATGCCACCATACCTGCTAATGTTTAAAATTTTTGTAAAGATGGGGTCTCACTATGTTCCCTAAGATGGTCTCAAATTCCTGGCCTCAAGCAATCCTCCTGCCGCAAATCTCCTGAAGTGCTGGGATTATAGGTAGAAGCCACAATGCCCAGTCCCCTTCTCCCTGATTAAAAATATATTTTTTTATTTTTTTTCACTATTCAACTTCCATTTTAGGTTCAAGGGGTACATGTGTAGGTTCGTTATATGGGTAAATTACAATGTTGTGGGGGTTGTGTATACAGATAATTTTGTCGCCCAGGTAATCAGCATAATACCCAAAAGGTAGTTTTTAAGTCTTCACCCTCCTTTCACCCTCCACCCTCAAGTAGGTCCTGGTGTCTGTTGCTCCCTTGTGTCCATGTGTACTCGATGTTTAGCTCCCATTTAAAAGTGACAACATACAGTATTTGGTTTTCTGTTCCTGCATTAATTGTCTTAAGGAATGGCCTCCAGCTCCATCCATGCTGCTGCAAAGGACATCATGTCATTCTTCGTGGTTGTGTAGTATTCTATTCCACGGTGTATATGTACATTTTCTTTTTTTTTTTTTTTTGAGACAGAGTCTCGCCTTGTCACCTAGGCTGGAGTGCAATGGCGCGATCTCGGCTCACTGCAACCTCTGCTTCCCAGGTTCAAACGATTCTCCTGCCTTGAGTAGCTGGGATTACAGGCACCTGCCACCATGTCCAGCTAATTTTTGTATTTTTAGTAGAGACAAGGTTTCACCATGTTGGCCAGGCTGGTCTCAAACTCCTGACCTCGCCGAACTCCACCCGAATCGGTCTCCCAAAGTGCTAGGATTACAGGCGTGAGCCACCGAACCTGGGCATCTAGGTTGATTCCGTATCTTTGCCATTGCGAATAGTGCCGCAGTGAACATACATGTGCGTGTGTCTTTAGGTAGAACTATTTATATTCCTTTGGGGATATACCCAGTAAAGGGATTGCTGGGTTAAACGGTAGTTTTAAGTTCTCTGAGAAATTTCCAGACTGCTTTCCACAATGGCTGAACTAATTTACATTCCCATTTGCAGTGTATAAGCATTCTCTTTTTTCTGCAACCTCATCAGCATCAGTTAGTTTTTGACTTTTTTAATAATAGCCTTTCTGACTGGTGTAAGATGGTATCTCATTGTGGTTTTGATTTGCATTCCCCTAATTAGGGATATTAAGCATTTTTTTTCTTATGTTTCTTTTGAAAAGTGTTCATGTCCTTTGCCCATTTTTTAATGGGGTTCTTTTTTGCTTACTAAGTTCCTTATAGATTCTGGTTATTAAACCTTTGTCAGATGCACAGTTTGCAGATGTTTTCTCCCATTCTGTAGGCTGTTTACTCTGTTGACAGTTCCATTTTCTGTGCAGGAGTTCTTTAGTTTAATTAAGGCTTATTTGGCAATTTTTGGTTTTGTTGCAGTTGCTTTTGGAGTCTTCATCATGAAGTCTTTGCCAGGGCTGATGCTCAAAATGGTATTTCCTAGGTTTTCTTCTAGTATTTTCATAGTTTTAGGTTTTACATTTAAGTCTTTAATCCACTTTGAGTTGATTTTTATATATGGCGAAAGATAGGGGTTCAGTGTCATTCTTCTGCCTATGGCTATCCAGTTATCCCAGCACCATTTATTGAATAGGGAGTTCTTTCCCCATTGCTTGTTATTGTCAATTTTGTCAAAGATCAGATGGTTTTAGGTATGTGGCTTTATTTCTGAGTTCTCTAATCTGCTCCATTAGTCTATGTGTCTGTTTTTGTACCAGTGCCATGCTGTCTTAGTTACTGTAACCTCATAATTTGAAGACAGGTAGTGTGATGCCTCCAGCTTTGTTCTTTTTGCTTAGGATTGCTTTGGCTATTTGGGCTCCTTCTTGGTTCCATATGAATTTTTGAATTTTTTTTCCTAACTCTGTGAAAAATGTCATTGGTAGTTTGACACTGAATCTGTAAATTGCTTTGACTAGTATGGCAGTTTTAACAACAATATTAATTCTTCCTATCCAGGAGCATGGAATGTTTTCCCATTGGTGTAATCTGATTTCTTTGGGCAGTGTCTTGTAAAATTCTCATTGCAGAGATTGTTTACCTCTTTGGCTAGCTGTATTCCTAGGTATTTTATTCTTCTTGAGGCTACTGTGAATGAAACTGCATTCTTCACTTGGTTCTCGGTTTAGATGTTATTGGTGTATAGAAATGCTACTGATTTTTGTAAACTTATTTTGTATCCTGAAACTCTGCTGAAGTTCTTTTTCAGATCTAGAAGCCCTCAGGAAGAGACCATGGAGTTTTCTAGGTATAGAATCATTATCTATGAAGAGAGATAATTTGACTTCCTCTCTTCCTATTTGGATGCCTTTTATTTCTTTCTCTCACTTGACTGCTCCAAATAGAACTTCCAGTACTATGTTGAATAGGAGTAGTGAGAGTGGGCATCCTTGTCTTGTTCCAGTTCCTAAAGAGAATACTTCTAGCTTTTGCCAATTCAGTATTATGTTGGCTTTGGGTTTGTCAGAGATAGCTTTTATTATTTTGAGGACTATAACTTCAAACCTAGTTTGTTGAGGGTTTTTAACATGAATGAATGTTTAATTTTACCAAAAGCCTTTTCTGCATCTATTAAGGTATCATGTGGTTTTTGTTTTTAGTTCTCTTTATGTGATGAATCACATTTATTGATTTGGGTAAGTTGAGCCAACTCTGCACTCCAGGGATAAAGCCTACTTGATCACAATGGATTAGCTTTTTGGTGTGTTGCTGGATTTCATTTGGTAGTATTTTGTGGAGGATTTTTGCATATATGTTCATCAGGGATATTGGCCTGAAGTTCTTTTTTTCTGTTGTGTCTCTGCCAGGTTCTGGTATCAGAATGATGTTGGTCTCACAGACTGAGTTAGGGAGGTGTCCCTCTTTCTCAATTTTTTGGAATAGTTTCGGTAGGAATGATACCAGTTCTTCTTTATATGTCTGGTAGAATTTGGCTGTGAATCCATCTGGTCCAGGACTTTTTCTGGTTAGTAGGCTTTTTATTACTGATTCAATTTTGGAACTTGTTATTGGTCTGTTTGGGGTTTCAATTTCTGGTTCAATCTTGGGAGGTTGTATGTTCCCAGGAATTTATCCATTCTTCTAGGTTTTCTAGTTTGTGTGCAGAGGTGTTCATAATAGTCTCCAAGCGGTTTTTGTATTTTTGTGTGGTCAGTGACAACGTCCCCTTTGTCATTCCTGATTGTGTTTATTTAGATTATCTCCCCCCTCCTTTTTTTATTAGTCTAGTTAGTGCCTATCAACCTTATTTATTCTTTCAAAGAACCAACTTTTGCTTTCTTTGATTTTTTGTACGGTTTTTCTCATCTCCATTTTGTTCAGTTCAGCTCTGATTTTGGGTATTCTCTTCTGCTAGCTTTGGGGTTGGTTTGCTCTTGTTTATTTAGTTCCTCTAGATGTGATGTTAGGTTGAGATCTATCTTTTTGATGTGGGCATTTAGCACTATAGTTTTCCCTTAACACTGCTTTAGCTGTGTCCCAGATTCTGGTATGTTTTTATCTTTGTTTTCATTAGTTGTAAACAATTTCTTGATTTCTGCCTTAATTTCTCTTTGTTTACCCAAGTCATTCAGGAGTAGATTAATTTCCACTTAATTATATGGTTTTGAGAGATCTTCTTGGTATTTATTTTTATGGCACTGTGGTCCAAGAGTGTGGTTGGTATTTCAGGGTTTTTTTGTTTTTTTGAGATGAGTCTCACTCTGTCAACCAGACTGGAGTGCAATGGCGTGATCTCAGCTCACTGCAACCTCCTCCTCCCAGGTTCAAGCAATTCTCGTGACTCAACCTCCGAAGTAGCTGGGATTACAGGCGCATGCCACCATGCACGGCTAATTTTTATATTTTTTAGAAGAGATGGGTTTTTGCCATGTTGGCCAGGCTGGTCTCAAACTCTTGACCTCAAGTGATTTGCCCACCTCAGCCTTCCAAAGTGTTGGGATTACAGGTGTGAGCCACTACACCTGGCCGGTATTTCAGGTTTCTTGAATTTGTTGAGAATTGCTTTCTGGCCAATAAAGCAATTGTGGTCGATTTTAAGAGTATGTACCATGTGCAGCTGAAAAGAATGTATATTCTGTTTTTGTTGGACAGAGAGTGCTGTTTTTTGTTTTCCATTTGCTTGATAGATCTTTCTCCATCCCTTACTTTGAGGCTATTGGTGTCCCTGCATATGAGATGGGTCTCTTGAAGACATACAGTTGGGTCTTGCTTCTCTGTCCAACTTGCCACTCTCTGCCTATTAATTGAGGCATTTAGCTCATTTACATTCAAGGTTAATATTGATATGTGCAGATTTGATCCTATCATCATGTTGTTATTTGGCTGTTATGTAGACTTCATTGTTTACTTGCTTTATAGTGTCAATGGTCTATGTACTCGAGTATATTTTTGTGATGGCCAGTATTGGTCTGTACATCTCAGGGTGGCTTAAAGCACTAGGAGAAAGCATGCAAAACAGCCCAAGGTGAAGCTCACTTGGCAGCTGAGAGTGAGTTCACACCATGTACTCTAAAATGAGGAGGTGCTCTTTTCTTCTCACTCTAATTAAAGAAGACTGAGAAGCCCTTCAGCACTTCACTGTGCCCCCTGCTGCCCTGCACCTCCCGGCTACTTTGTGGTAGATTCCTGGCACTTGAACTCTCTACAGGCCCAGGAGAGAACAGCTTTCTTGAGGTCCTAAGGATACCTGAGAATCATTCTCAGAGTTAATGGAATCTTCTATATTTTCTGTGGATTTTGATTATCTACTTTTTTTCTAACTTCTGTGAGATTAGAGAATTGAAAGCCTGTCATATCACTGGAACTCAGTTAAAATGTGGTGTCTTCTCCAATATTGTCCAACTAGAAGATGTGGGAATCCCAACTGATATAAGAACTAAGAAATATGACTACAAACTAAAGGGAAAATAAGAGAAGAACTTAAAGAATATTTGGGAGTTTTAGGGAGGTCATAACTGTAATGAGCTAATGTCATCCATATGTCCAAGGGAAAGTGAATCTGAATTTACAGGGCAACTTCCGTGGGCCAGGTTCCTTCACACATAATTTCAAGTCATGCTAAAATGAATGCATCCAAGGAAAATTTTATCATACATAACTTATGATAAGGAAACTTATGCTTAGGAAGATTAATTAGGAGGTTAAGGTCACCAAGCCTCTAGACTGTTTCGCCAGGACCCAACCCAGGTCTGGCTTCTGTTTGGTTTTGGAGTATGTGTTATCCCCACTCCATCATGCTGCCTCTCCAACCTGCAGCCCAGTGCCCAGGGCACAGGGGTCAGGCCAAGATCAGAAGGGACACTAACACCAACAGGCCTGGCGAGGTGGGAAGTACAGGGAAGGGGTGACTCCAGCTTACTCTTCTCTCCCTCCCAGAGGGACCATCAGGGCCATTGGCACTGTTGGGTGATAGAAGTTGTAAATACGGGGTAAGGTACATGGATGACACCATCTCCATATGTGTATGTGATAGAGTGGCAGGCCAGAAGTTAATAGCCACATCCAGGGAGCCAAGGATATAGTTCCCAGTAACGGCGCTTGCGTTCTGCTCTCAGGGCTGATGAAAGAGGATGGAAGTTGTACTCTGTTCCTCTACTTCAATAGAAAGTAAGCTAAAAGGAGAAACTGGGAGACAGAGGTTTACAAAAGGAAATTTATAATGGGGTCATATCAAGATAATTCAAGAGGGAAAATAAGACAAGGTGGCTCCTTCCCTGAATTGGTGACACAACACTAATCACTGTCCCCACAGAGTGGCTGGGCCTGACCCCAACTACAGGAGCTCAGCTGTCTCTACCCTCTGAGGGTAGACAGGAAGCAGTGGTCATGCTACTGCAGCCTAATGACTTGAGATTAGAATTGGCCATTGCCCCACTGCAGGGTGTGTGCCCAGCACACTTTGACAGCTTCCCTCTCTGTTCAGTCTTGAGAAAAAAATAACACTAAATAAGGAAGGTGAAGCTACAGAAAGTCCTGACTATCAAAAAATGTTAACATTCAGGGCGAGGAAAGACTTTAGAAATCATTCCAAATTTCATGAGGGTAAATCAATTGTAAGGGCCATTAAGGTTGGCAAGTGGCAGAATATGGATGCAAACCTAGGGCCCTTCACTCCTCCTCCAGTGCACTTTCCACCATGCCAGGAGGAAGGGCGAAGAGTAAAGGTGCCAGGGGAAGGGCTGAGGCTTGTCTCCTTCCACTTCTTTACCTCACAGAAAATGAAGGATACAAATGGAGCCGAAAATTTAGGCCTCTGGAAGCTACAGGTCTGTTTCAGATGGATCTATTCTTTTTCCTGGGTTCAGTGAAGTTATTTGGCCATAAAGCCCTAAGCCATGTATGATCATAACATTTTAAGAAATAGAAGCCAGGTATTAGAAGGTTCCGTTTTCTCTATAAATAGTTCAAAGTATCTCAATGAAGTTTAGGTATCCAAAAAAAAAAATACCCCAACTTTAGGAGCATTAAGTATTATGAGTAATAAAATAAATACTTATAGCAATGGGGGTTTCAGGACAATTTACCTCTTGAACATAAGTAGATATGCTCAAGAAAGCTATCCCAAGGACAGGGTTGCATGCACGAAGAGACGAGACCAAGTTAAGTTCCACAGTCAAAACAGACATCCCTATTTCCTTCCTAGTAGCATCTGTACAGCATAAATAGGTATTTGTGAATGAAGTCATGAAAAGATCCTCAAAGGTCTGTGTTAGAGCAACTGTGGTTAAAATACGAGAGTAGGAAAAGTGAGATTCTCCAGTTAAGTTACTAATAATTCAGACTTAAGACTTTTTAGAAAGATGATCATCTTTTATTTCTTTCAGGAGCCATGGCTATCAACCTGGAGAGAGGCCAAAAGACACCTAGGCTTTTTGTAAACCAAAGATTGAGGTATCCACATCAGTCAGCAGTGGCTTCTGCAGCAGCAGCCACAGAAAGTGAGTAATGGAAACAAAAGGATAGAGATATACAGGAAGTCCTCTTTCCTCACCTGGAGAAGAAAGAAGACAGCAAAAAAAATTAGGTCAACCCCACAATCAAGGTAGAGCTGCTCTAAAATCTGAGGTAGCCAATGACCAACACAAACCACCTCACCTTTCTGAGACTCGGCTCTCCTGTAAAGGAGAAACCACACTGACCCTGGATCAAAATCCCCAGACAGTAGACGTGACCTTGGATTTCAAGAAGGAGCAAATTACCTCTGCTAATGCAGATAAAGACGCCACCATTTTTGGTTTTCAGGATTTCACAGGGAAAATAGTCCCATTATTTGGCCTCTATTAGCCAGAGGCCCAGATGACCCTGTGTCCCTGAGATAGGACATGGCTTTCCCATGGCCTCTTATGAGAACCTGCCCAGCAATAAGTGTTTTTGTTGTTGTTGTTGTTGTTTGTTTTTTAGACAGTTTCACTCTTGTTGCCCAGGCTGGAGTGCAATGATGCGATCTCAGCTTACTGCAACCTCCACCTCCTGGGTTCAAGTGTTTCTCCTGTCTTAGCCTCCTGAGTAGCTGGAATTATAGGCAACCCCACCACGCCCAGCTAATTTTGTATTTTTAGTAGAGATGGGGTTTCACCATGTTGGCCAGGCTGGTCTTGAACTCCTGACCTCAGGTGATCTGCCCACCTTTGCCTCCCAAAGTGCTGGGATTTCAGGCGTGAGCCACTGTGCCCGGCCACAATAAGTTTTTAATTACCAGAGTCAGTGGTTCCTGTCATTGATTGAGCTTACTGACTGGACAATGAGAGGGTCATATGTGGCTGTCTCCAGCCATTACATTAAGGTGACACTTGAGCATGACACGAGGTCTGCATTCTCTACAATCAACTGGATCTGTCCCACTGCTTCCCACCAGGAGCAGAAGCATGCTTGTGCCAGTTCCTAAACATCATCATTTCATTTTCAGCCCACAGCCCTCCCCTGCTCAGATTTCCCACCATCTAAGGCAGCAATCCTCAAATGCTAGTGTGCACAAGGATCTAAGGCACTTGCCGAAAATGTAGATTCCTGCACCAACCCCAGAGAACCAGAAGCAATCCCTCTAGGGTAGAGCTTGAGAATTTGCTTTGAAAAAAGATCTTACATGTTTTTGGATAACACTTAAAGATGGTCCTAGAACAGTGCTTCTGGAAATTTTAATACGTAAGCAAATTAAGAGCAGCTTGTTAAAATGCAGACGTTTAAAAACTTGGTGCAGGCCTGAAATTCTGCACTCATATGTTCTCCCAGAGAAGCTAAAGCTGCTGGTCCTTTTGGCCACACTTTGAGTCACCAGAACCCAAAGGATTTCCGGCCTGTATCTGGGCCCAAGAGAGCAAAAGTGTCACAAACACACACAGTTTTAACCTTCCCTGATTCTCTGTGGAGTAGAATCTTCTCCCTTACTTCCAGTCAGACAGGTCCCCATGGATAAGGGGGTACTGCTCTGCCTTGTGTGCCCTCAGTTTCCCTTTATGGAACTCTGTTCTGATCTCAAGCTTCCACTAGACCTGCTATTAGAAGTGCTGAACACTGATTTTCTGTGAGTATAAAGTAGTTAAAAGAAAAAAGAAATATATGTAAGGCTGTAGAGTTTCCATCTGTAGATATCAAGAAATGAGTATGAACTGTTAGGCATTCCCCAAGATTGTTGTTCAAAGATCCTCCCAAGTTTGAGACCTCAAATTCTTTCAGGTGATATTCATATCATTTACTCTTTTTTTTTTTAAACTTAGAAAGTGAGTTGCAGCAAATTTTCTCCTGAAAGAATTGCAAAGATGAACCGTGGCCTCTTTCTATATTCATAATTTTTGTCTTAGGGTTAAAAAGACTCCCCCAAGGACAGAAAATTGTACCTAATGATACAGCCTAGAGCGCATGTTGTTCCTTTTGTCTACAGTACCTTCTACCTCTGGCTCAAATGCACTCTGGTCACTGATGCACCTCCAGTTCTCACAGCTTAGTAAATTATGGTGTAGTGATCACGTCTATGTCCCTACTTCCCCAACCAAATTTTCTGAGCTATGCCAGGGTGAGGATGTGGCCCTTTTCATCTTGTAATTCCCAAAAGTCTGTGGTGGAGTGCAGAGATGACCACTAAATGAAAGAATCACTCGTACTGGTTGAAACAATACCAATAAATACCTTAGGTTCTGTGGTGAACACAGATCAGTAAATAAATGTTGGGCAATCTTCCAGTCTCTCAGTGTCCCACGGTATATCTGTTCCCCCATAGGGAGCACAGCTAGAGCTCCTTTACCTACGCTGCGGGGACACTGATTTGCATGGGGAGGCCTGGTGCAAGGCCTCTGCTGGGTATGAGCAGCAGTACAAGCCTTTGAAGGCTGTGTGCTGTTCAGAACTTGGAGCTGGTTGGGGGCCTCCGATGCCCTGTGCTGACAAGCTGGCCTGGGGCTTCTCCCCACTAGAGTCTTCTCTATATCTCAAGGTATGCACATCTCTTCCTGGGCACACAGGCAATGGGCTAGACAAGCATCTCTCTCCTCTAAGGCTTGTCACCAAGCATTCCTTCCTTCCAGGGGGTGGGGTTTGGAAATTCCCACTTAATATAGCCCACCTTCTGTCATTTGACATTTTCTAACACTGGAGTGGTGGTTCCCAATCTCTTCACCATCAAGGAGGCTTAATTTCTTCCCTCTCTATTTTAATACGGTTTTAACTACCAAACAGGATCCTCTAAGTGATCATTTGTTTTCTTATACTGTTCATCAGAGAGATGTTTAAGATCAACATGAAGATGACAAAGTTACATCATTTGCTATTCAATATTGGAAAATACATCTCACCCCATATTGAGATCCTAGTCTGGGCTAGCTGAGTTACGGGGGCTGCTAAAACTCTAGTAATAGCAACAGCTGTCTGCCTTCCATTCTCCTGCTATGGCACACACTTCTTTCCTTCAGAATCACACCCCCGAGATATATGATTCATAACCTTATGGCTAGAAAAAAGAGGACATGATCATTCTACAGGTCCCTTGCTCCCTTGAATTACCTCTCCTGGGCCCATTAAGAACAGGCACATGAAGAAAGAAACCCAGGGTTGTGCCACAATCGCACAAAAATCTGTCCACAGATAACACCTCAAGGAGGTAGGGCCTGCCCACCTGAATCACTGTTGTCTACATAATGCAACTTAACCATCCTGTTCTGCGTTTAGCTATTCAAGACTTTTGTAACCAGTCCCTGTGGTATGGGTTGTTTTCCCAATTGTACCCTGACTGAATCACTGGGTATCATGTCAGAGGAGGGGGACCTATTTAACCTCTTTTCCCTGGTGTCCTGGAGCCCAGGGGCTCCTACGTGGCAATGGGTGCCAGATACCCTTCCTCAGCTAGGATATAGGGGTCCAGATTTCCATAATATCTATAGATTGATTTACTTAAAACTTATTTGTTGTCAAAATACAAATACCCTGGGCTTAGGAAGAAATTAATACTTATCAAGACTATGTCAAATAAAAACAACTACCACTAACTGAAACCACTTAGTTATCAGATATATTATACATATCACTCCATGTAATCCTCCCAACAAAATGATGTCATCTAAGAGATGAGAAACTGGGACCCAGACCAGTGAAGCCCCATGGCATAAGTCACACAGGCAAGAAATGGTAAAGCAAAAATTCACACCTACGTCTTCCTGGGCTTTGCCATAACGCACACTGGCTTCTTCACTGTGGCTATTGCCTGACAGAATGAGACTCAAGTAATTACAAGGATTCATCAGAAGGGAAAAGCTGACATGACCAGAACTAGAACACAGCCCAGGGAATGCAAGTCTGGGTAGATCATGGTACTCGAAGCCCAAGGATCATTTGAAAGAGGTTTAAAAAAATAAAAAAAGGAGTAAAATGCACAAGTGAAATGGAGGTGAAACTTAACTATAGCTTAATTTTTACTTCAAAGACTGCTCAGCTCATTTTGGGAATGTGAGGGGAATTAAGAAGATTCTGGATAGGTTTGTAGGAGAGGCAAGGTGTGTAGGGTATATGTGGGGACAAAGGGAGCAATTGTATCCTAGACTGTATCCAATAATTTTCTGGGACAAAAGAGAGCAAATGTAGACGTGGGGAAGTAGTAGCTTGAGTGGTATCAGGTGCCAGAAAGAAGACCAAGGGAAAAACCTCTGATGACCATGGGGATAGTGTAAATTGAGTAGCAAGAGGAAGGAGGACTGCAGAAGTTCAAGAATGATGAGAACTGAGGAAACGAAGATAAACACAGAGATAAACACAGACAACTTCACTGCAGCGAAAGAGAAGATGGTGTTACACAGGTAAGCAGGATCAAGAAATGGCTTTTTTGTTGTTGCTGTTGTTTGTTTTTTTTTTTTTTTTTGATTCGGAGTCTCGCTCTGTAGCCAGGCTGGAGTGCAGTGGCGTGATCTCGGTTCACTGCAACCCCCGACTCCCTGGTTCAAGTCTCCTGCCTCAGCCTCCCGAGTAGCTGGGATTACATGCACGCGCCACCA
This sequence comes from Homo sapiens, assembly GCF_000001405.40. Lineage (NCBI taxonomy): Eukaryota > Metazoa > Chordata > Mammalia > Primates > Hominidae > Homo > Homo sapiens. The sequence continues at coordinate 1,564,600 of NT_167245.2, forward strand.
TGCCTGGCTAATTTTTGTATTTTTAGTAGAGATGGGGTTTTGCCACCTTGGCTAGGATGGTCTCGATCTCCTGACCTCGTGATCTGCCCGCCTCAGCCTCCCAAAGTGCTGGGATTACAGGCATGAGCTACCGCACCTGGCCTGGCTTTTTTTTTTTTTTTTTAATGGAGTGTAGCTCTATTGCTCAGGCTGGAGTACAGCGATGCGATCTCGGCTCACTGCAATCTCTGCCTCCCAGGTTCAAGCAATTCTCCTGCCTCAGCCTCCTGAGTAGCTGGGACTACAGGCATACACCACCGCACCAGCTAATTTTTGTATATTTAGTAGAGATGGGGGTTTCGCCATGTTGGCCAGGATGGTATCGAACTCCTGACCTCAGGTGATCCACCCGCCTTGGCTTCCCAAAGTGCTGGGATTACAGACATAAGCCATCGTGCCAGGCCAAGAAATGGCTTTTAAAAATGCTGATTTGAAAGCAAAAGAGAAGGAAGTAGAGGAGAGATTTATGATTTTAAGAAAAAGGAGGAATATGAAGGATCAACTTTGCTCTTTTCACCAGCCAAAGGGCATATTCTAGAAAGATGGTTTTAAACCTTCTCTTCCTGCATTTGTAAGTGTGCAAAGATGCCATGCCTTTATTTCTCTAGAACTGGTTTTTCTTCCTCACAAGTCTCTCATCCATAACCTTAGTCCAGCCCAATGGACAAAACCATGAGGAACCTCAAACACCCTTCCAAAAAGATTTAGATTTTACTCAAGAGGTGAAGGAGAATCATTAAAGATGACTGAGTAGGGGAATACTATAGTCAGAGTTTTTTGTTAGAAATATCACTGAGGCCATACAGGGGAAAGACTGGGAGTGTGGCAAGAGAGTGAGACCAAATGCTCAGATAAAGGTAGGGAGGCAATTGTTATAGTCCAGAACTGAAATAGGACAGTGGAAGTGGAAATGGAGGGAGGGGACAACAAAGACATGTTTAGAGATATCAGAAATTGACCATTAAAATAGGCATACAGGAAGGGAAAATGTATCTCATTAATTAAGAAAGCAATGGCATACTGGATACCAACAGCAAATAGCAAAGAAATGGTTGTGTGGGTGTGTGTGTTTTTTTTTAAGGGAAAAAAATGAGGATAAAGGGAAGAGAAAGTGATGTTACTAACCCTCCATGTAATGATAATCTCCAAATAGCTCTTCCCAGCAGTTCCATACTTAAGGGTCAGGATCTCCATTCAGGGATCTTTCTGTGGTGCTCTAAAGGGGCAGACTGAGGACTTTAAGGGCTATCACTTTCAGGTGGCTTTCTAAGCAGCAGAATTCGTGGGATGAGGAGGACATGCTTGTTCTTTACAGATTCACTGAAGTGAATCTGGGGGCTGATCGATGATAACACTGTGTTGATCCCAGAGATGACAAAGGGGCTGAGTGTGAGATAATGGAGTTCCTGAAACCCCTACGATGAATATGTCCACCCTTCCTTTTCATCAGCTGCTAGTCCCTATCTCATCCTTCTCCTGTCCCAACCCCATTATTCCTAAATCTGAGCTCAGGCTTGCCAGCACCTCTAGGAGTAAATCACAAGACTGAGACCAGAGCAACAAGAAAAGCAGAGACAAATGACTCAACAAGACAGCCACAGGAGGCAGGGCAAGGTGGCTCACGCTTGTAATCCCAGCACTTTGGAAGGCCGAGGCAGGCAGATCACGAGGTCGAGATTGAGACCATCCTGGCCAACGTGGTGAAACCCTGTCTCTACTAAAAATACAAAAATTAGCTGGGCATGGTGGCATGTGCCTGTAGTCCCAGCTACTGGGAGGCTGAGGCAGAAGAATCACTTGAACCTATGATGCGGAGGTTGCAGTGAGCCGAGATCATGCCACTGCACTCCAGCCTGGCGATAGAGCAAGACAATGTCAAAAAAAAAAAAAAAAAAAAAAAAAAAGACAGCCAAAGGAAAGGGACTAGAAGAGAGAGGAATGCAAAAGAATAGAAAATCTGGGCCAGGTGTAGTGGCTCATGCCTGTAATCCTAGCACTTTGGAAGGCCGAGGCAGGCAGATTGCCTGAACTCAGGAGTTCGAGACCAGCCCAGGCAACATGGCAAAACCCCATACAAATACAAATACAAAACGTTAGCTGGGCATGTTGGTGCATGCCTATAGTCCTAGCTACTTGGGAGGCTGAGGCATTAGAATTACTTGAACGCGGGAGGCGGCAGAGATTGCAGTGAGCTGAGAATTCACCACTGCACCACTGCATTCGAGTCTGGGCAACAGAACAAGGCTCTGTCTCAAAAAAAAAAAAAAAAAAAAAAAAAGAACAGAAAATCAAACTCTAACACCATCACCTGGGTAGTTCCCTCCATTCTCCTATGACTTCCAATAAGTCATTAGCAGATCACCTATCATCTCTTTAATTTCTTCAAAAACAAATAAAATCTCAAACTTGCATTTGGGAAACTGAGAAACTTTCAGGAAACACAGAAACACATCTTCAGGACCTTGGACAGCAGAAAAAGGACCACCCCGCACACACCCCCACCCCACCCCGGCCTCCCCACAACACATGACACCCACGCCAGCAAGACTGCTGAGGAAATGTGACACCTCAACATGCTGATGAGGGAAAGGATAAATAAAGGGCTATATAGTCATCAATGGAGAGTGTTCAGGGAAGGTATGAAGACTCAGGCTACAATAGTCAAGAGGAGCCCTGGGCCCTACAGAATGCCTAGTCCAACTTCCTAATACTCTGAGCCAGAGAAGGACATTCTCTACACCTACATTACAACTTCCCTCTTCAGACATTGATTTTTAAAAGAATATATAGAATAGAATATTGATATTGAGACTTTTTCCAATTCCTTGGGGAAAAATGCATAAAAATATAACTTGCAGTTCACGGATCTAGAAATAGCCTTACAAATGATAAAGAAAATTTCACAAAGGTAAAATATCTCATCAAGGTAGAGTAACACAAGAGCTGTTGACCCAGTATTAGTCCTTGGACATCCTGACTTCTGTGCAGTGTTTTTCTCTTTGTAGTTGGTAAGTGGCTAAAGATCTGGATTCTTCTTCTAGCTCTGCCATACACCAGATGTGTGACCTTTGGCAAATTACTCAATCATGCTGAGCCTTGGGTTCCTTCTTTGAACTGAGCCCCCACCCCCACCCCACACGTCAGGCACTATTAGGGAATGAAAAACAAAACCAATCTCCATGCTAAAGTAGCTCTCCAGTGTAGCACAGTTCAGATATGAAAATATCAATAATCCAACAATACTAGTTAAACATATAAAAGTAGTACAGAGAAAAACATTAATAACCTGACATTTAGAGCAAGATTAGGAGGGCTTCACAATATAAGCAAAGGGAAATCCAGGAAGAAGAAACAGTAAAAGCATCAAGCGGTGCAACAAGACATTAGATTTAGGAAACCATCAATAATTTAGTTTTGATGGATGGCAATGGTGGTGGGGAGAGACATGGGGTAATGAAACCTATCATATACTGATGTTGTGGAAGTCCAATGAGTCACTATAGATAATCATTAGCTACTATTATGCCAACAGCTATCCCTATGAGAAAAACATTCCTTAATTTAACATTTATAGAAAACCTCTGTTTGCTCCCTATACTAGGGGCAGCTCCTTTTGGTCCCTTCCTAAAGAAATAGAGCCAGTTTGAGAAACAGGAAAATCAAGTTCCATACTTTCCTAGCCTATGAAATACCAGTCAAGAGGTAAAAGTGCTTCCTCTGTCAATATCCTGATTCTTCCACTGAAATGTCACTTAGCAGAGCACATCTTTTACTTGTGCGATTTGAAAACAAGGCTTTGCCTAAAGACCAGGGTATGCAAGGGATCACCTCTGGGACGATCTCATGGCACTGAGCACTCAAGCAAGGTGGTAACATAAGAGTCAGACTTGATAAAAGTCCATTTCCCAGGACCACTTGACAATAAGGGCACAGAAAAGTGCTCTGAGGAATAATCTTCATGCTATTACCATTTTCAACCTCTTGTACTTAATACTAATTTTCTTAGCTTCCTATAATTAGATATGTACATATGAGCTAGTAGCAGCCACAGTCCTACAATCTGACTAGTTCATGCCCAACTGCATGCCTGCATCAGGGACATCTGGCTATTGTAGTGTCATGGAAACTCTCCTCTCTGGTGAAGAGTATCTAGAGACACCCATGAGTTTTATTATCTATACCCTGTACTGGTTTGAACAGTGTCCCCCAAACTCATGTCCACCCAGAACCTCAGAATGTAATCTTATTTGGAAATAGGGTCTTTGAAAATATAATCAAGTTAAGATGAGGTCATACTGAATTAAGGGTGGACCCTTAATTCAATGACTAGTTTCCTTGTAAGAGGGACACTTGGATGCAAAGAGACCCACCCATAGAGAATGTGATGTGATGATGGAGGGAGAGATTGTAGTGACAAGCCTACAAGCCAAAGAATGCCAAAGATTGCCGGCAAATGCCAAAAGCTAGGAGAGAGGCATGAAATAGATGCTCCCTTAGACCCTCCAGGAGGAACCAACCTGGCTGACACTTGGATTTCAGACTTCTGGCCTCCAGAATTTTGACCAAATAAATTTCTGTTGTTTTAAACCACCCAGTTTTTGGTAGCTTGTTAAAGCAGCCCTAGGAAATAAATGCATACCACCACCACTCCATCTATTTTCCTTCTATGTGCCCAACATTTATCTTCTCAGAGGATGATTATAAACCCTAGTTATTGTATCAACACACGGGAAGGGACACTGAGCAGAACAGCAGGAGAATGAACAATTAGTATCAGATTAGCAACTTCACAGGTAAGGTAAAGGGCATGGGAATTTACTTCTCAAGGCTCTATAATATGAGACTCTTTAAAAACCCTGTGGTGTTTTTATATACATCTACAAGTTCTGTGATATGCTTCCTTTGAAAAAGGCAGAGCCTAATTCCCCTCCCTTTGAGTGTGGTCAGTGCTCGATGACTTGCTTTTAACAAACAGAAGTGACAGATGTGACTTCTGAAATTAGGCCATTAAAAACAATGTAGCTTTCTCCCTGCTCTCGCTCTCAAATCACTTGCTCTGGGGGATGCTAGCAGCCATGCCATGAAGACACTCTAAAAGGAGACTTATGTGACAGGAAACACACCTTCTGCCTCAGGCACACCCAGCACACCCTGCCAGGCACATGAGTGAGCTACCTTGGAAGAGGATCCTCCAGCCCTGCTCACACTTTCAGAACTGCAGCCCCAGCTGATATCGACTGGAACCACATTAGACTCTGAGCCAGAGCCACTCAGCTATGCCATTTCCAGATTCCTAACCACGCAAACTGTGAGACAATACAAGTTTATTGTTTTCAACCATTAATCTTTGGAGAAAAACAGGGCAATAGATAATTAACATAAGAACCTTTAACATAGTCTTCAAGTCCTAGTAAGTACTCTTCCTGCCTACAAGACACCCGCTATGTGATTTCTTCCTGCCTCTAACATACCTCTGAAACAAGTGCAATTCCAAATCCCTTAACCCAAGCTAGAGCATAGAATTCACAGGACCGCTGCCTTTGTCCTCCTCCAGCTCAGAGACTGATGTCTATATCATGAATGCGCTAAGAAAGGGAGAATCACGAGTGGAATCCAGTATCAGTAGCTGGGAGCAAAAGACACTTGCGGTAAGGGTCCTCGGGTTTTTCACTGCAAGACTTTTACCTGTCAAAAAAATTAAAATGGAAAAGAAAATTTAATCATTTGAAACAAACATTCATTGAGTACCTTCAATGGCAAGCATAGTACCAGACAGCAGGCATAAAAATGGTCCCTGCTTAGAAATTCACAGGAATGACAAATAGGTTTTGTAACAGAAGCTACTGCTGTACCATTTATATTCCCTTAGACCAAGATCTGGCTACAGAATTTGTGAATCCCTGTGCAAAACAAAAACGTGGGGTCCCTTGTTCAAGAATTTCAAGAGGACAGCAGCAGACCAGTAAACCAACTCCATAGGTATATGTCCATGAAGCTAGCCCTGCCTCAGGCATTCACCTCTGTGTGAAGGCTACTAACTGCTCTTTCAGTAAGCTTTTTTCTGGCTGATTTGGATGCTTAATTTGCACCAAGGGAAAGCTTAATATCCCTGAAAGCAGCACTCAACCAACGGCAAAATGGCAGTTGGTAGATAAATGCTCCAGCTTCTTCCCCCCTTGGGTGGTATAACTGAGAACTATTCTAGTGTTGAGTTTTCCAGTGGGATTGAGATGCAAGTGTCCACAGTGTAATTGGGAGATTCCTTAAGATTACCTCTAAAATAAACTACTTATACTCACATTCTTATCTCACAGTCTGCTTCTTGGTAAACCCAAACCATGACATCTTTCATCTTTCAAGCCAACTCTAACTTGGAATACAGTAAAATGAAAAAAATCTAAAGCTGCATCTCATTCAACAGGAATGAATGTAATATAGTAACGCTGGCCCTCACCATGGCAAGGAAAGTGGTGGCTCTTTAAATCTGAATGGTGAAAGACCTTGTGTTTGGACTTTGAGACAAAAAGCTGTTAATGAAGGCTGTTAAGCAGCAGTTACAGGGTCTTATTTTAGAGCTACTTCTTTCCGTAATGTACAAGTGGATCAAAGTGTGGCAAGGCTGAAGGTAGGAAAACCAATTAGGAAATGAGAAACTCGCAACTGGTAAATAGGACAGGATATCTACCTGGATGACTACCCACATCATTGACCAAAATGGAGAAAGCACACTAAGTTGTCAAGAATAAATCAATCTGTGTCACATAAGTGGCCACAAGTACTGGGATCACCTACCCATTGAGCCCCTGAATTTAACTAGCAAGGAGTGGGAAATGAAGAAGGCCAAGGGGCCGATGATGAGCACTGGGAACTGATGGCTCTTTTTGATACTAAGACCAAATTAGGAACACGAAGCACTAACAATGCTGCCGCATCCACCACTGATTTTCACCACGGAGTGCTTAGCAAAATCAAAACAAGAACTTGTATCCTAAAGATGATATCACATGGGCCTACTGAACACTAATCTTACGACTTTTTAGGAATTTAGAGATGATCACTCCATGAGACACTGAAATGCTGTCTAGCTTGGCAAGGTAGAAGTCTGTTTCTCTGACATGTGATGGCCTTGTTGTAGGTAGTCTTGGACTAAAATGCTGTCAGCAACATAGACTTCCTCAGTGTTCCTGCTCTGGAACTCCCAAGGCAGTGGTTCCCAAAGTCTGCTGCACACTGGAATCACTTGATTTTTTTAAACAATGATGTCTGGCTTCCACCCTGAGACATTCTCATTTGATTGGTACACATGGTGTGACCTGGGAACCGGGATTTTTAAAAGTTCCCCAGCTAATTCTAATGTGCAGCAAAGTTTGGAGGTGACTACCCTAAGGAACTGGGCCCACCACAGGGTCTGACAGGGCTTACCGCCATACCTGTACTGCACTCCAAACAGTGGGACAAAGCAAGGGGCATGAACCAGAAGCTGCACACACCATCTCTGCTCACCCTTACTGGCCAGTCACATGGCCATACCTGGTTGCATAAGATGCTGAAAAATGTAACTTGTATTCAGCCAGCCATGTGCCCAGCTAAAATTTTTTATTCAGGAAGAAGAGGAAGACAGGTACTGGAAGATAACCAGCAATCTCTCCCACCCCCACGCTTGTCTTTTTCAAACAGAAGCAGCCCAATCTGGCAAAAGTACCGATCCTTAGATCTGGAGACAAAACTCAACAACGGGCTTCTCTGACTTTTGTCAGACATCTTGCACATCACATGTAGATAGAGCCAGAGACTGTAACGCATCATTGTCAGCGGGAAGAAGATACAAGCTTGGAGATATGCATCAGAATGACTACCCATGCAAATTCTTGAATTTTCACCTGAGGGAGGTGTTGGAGGAATAAATTGTTCTACGGGACAAAATCAGGTGCAATATCAAAATTCCATGTACCCACTCTAGTTGACTGAATACAGTGAAGCATTTCCAGTACAACAATATAGGAAAACTTCAAATAAAGGGGTATTCTCTAAATTCCACTAAATACATCATCTTTGGCCTGAAACTATCTTGTTAAGCTACTTGTTGAGACTCTTCACTCTAGATATGCTTGGTGCTGCCTTTGCATTCAAGTCCTGTTTTCCAGACGAAATACAGACATAATCCAATTGTAATTTCATCACCATGCATCTTGGATGCTGCAGTTAGCCTAAATGAAATAAAATATACTAATCATGAGTGACAGTGATTTTTTTAATCGTAAAACGTATTATCAAGCTATTTATAAGTAAATTTCACATTACAAATAAGGCATTAACTAAACCACTGCTTTACAGAAAATCACTTAATGACACTCTAGTATTATATACTGTTTACAGATTAAAAACTTAAGTTTAAAAAGGTAATTTGTTTGAAGTCACATAGCTAGTAAACTACTAGTTATAACTTAATTAAGAGTACATTGAATTAAGTTATAACTAGTAAAGGACTAAACTTCTAGACTTGAACTTCTGATGGTCTGACTTCAAAAATATCTTATTTTTAAAATCATAGCACGGAGCACCTTGTATATCATGATATAGCTATATTACTTTGCAGGGTTTTTATGTCTAAGTTATTTTCTCCTCCTGTTCCACTTCCACCCTCCCATTCACTCTCTTCTCTCCTAGTAGACAAAGTCCTTACCTGTCTGCCAGTCCCCAACCCCATGCATGCAATTACCTCATGGAAGGACGGAAGGGGGGCAGGGAAGAGGGGACCTCCTAGCCCACCACCTTCCAACACACCTCTGCAGAGCCCAGGCCCTTTCAGGCACCCCAGTCACAGCCACACCAAGCTTCTAGCTACTGCTCAGCACACACTTACCACCTGGTTTCCCTGTGCTTCTCATTTGTAATTTTGGATTTTAGTCTAGTTCAGACATTCCTTCAATTCACATTAAGCATCCATTTCCTCTCTGATATTCTTGTCTCTGGTCCCTTTTTTGTCTTATCCATTTGGACATCTATTCCTAAGCAAAACATTCTAAATTCTATTTTCATTATCTTACTCCTTAGCCCAGATCACCAGAAGCTCCCTACTATCAACACAAATTGGAAAATCTCTGGTGTGATTATGAGGAGACCATTCAGTATTTTCTTTGACACTATTAAACAACATTGAGTTTGCCTAATGTCAGTACTAAAGGCCAGGTTGTAAAATAGTAAAACCTGCAGTGGTCTCTAAGGCAACTAGCTGTTTATTATAGTAGTTGGGGAAAGGAAGATATAAAAAATCTTCTAAGGAACTTTATTATAGATCTGTTTACTTAGGTAAAGCATATACAGGAAGATGCGGGAATCATAATAAATGCTTATGAAGCAAAACTAAATGCACCTGTACTGCTACATCCAGATTCACATACAAACGACAAAGAGCTTATATCCAGACTGCATGTGTCTGTTTTTGCACTGCTATAAAGAAATACCTGAGACTGGGTAGTTCAGTTTATAAAGAAAAGAGGTTTAATTGGCTCACGGTTCTGCAGCCCGTACAGGAAGCACAGTGGCTTCTGCTTCTGAGGAGGCCTCAGGAAATTTACAATCATGGCCGAAGGTGAACAGAAAGCAGGCACATCTTAAATGACAGGAGTAGGAGCAAGAGAGAGAGTGGGGAGGTGCTATACATTTAAACAACCAGATCTCACAAGAACTCACTACCATAAGAACAGCATCCAGGGGGAAATCCCCAGGACTCAATCACCTCCCACCAGGCCCCACTTCCAACATTGGGGATTTTCATTCGACATGAGATTTGGGAAGGGACACAAATCCATATCACAGACTGTATAAAGAACCCCTCCAGTCCAGGCGTAGTGGCTCATGCCTGTAATCCCAGGGCTCTGGGAGGCCAAGGTGGGAAGAGTGCTTGAGGCCAGGAGTTTGAGACCGGCCTGGGCAACACAGTAAGACTCTGTCTCTACAACAGAAAAAAAAAAAAAAAAAAAGGAATTCCTCCAGGTACGGGGGATGCTGAATATAGAGTCAAGGGTGATTATTCCCCAGCTTTGAGATTTAATGTCTGCCCTCTTAGGCTTTGGACTTGCTTGGGGCTTATTAACCCTTTCTTTTGGCCTACTTTTCCCTTTTCAAATGGGAATGTCTATCCTATGCCCGTCCTGCCGTTGTACCTTAGAAGTAGATAACTTGTTTTGATTTCACAGATGGAATTTTGGACTTCTGAGTTGATGCTGAAACAAGTTAGGACCTTGGGGATATGGGGATTAAGTATAGTTGTATGTGAGAAGAACATGGGTTTGGGGGACCACAGGCAGAATGCAATGGTTTGAATGTTTGTCCCCTCCAAAACTCATGTTGAAACTTAACCTTCAATGTGGCAGTATTGACAGGTGGGGCCTTTAAGAGATGTTCATGGATTAATGGGTTATCATGGGAGTTAGACTAGTGGCTTTATAAGAGGAAAAGAGGCTTCAGCTAGCATGCTCTGCTCCTTTGCCATGTGATGCCCCATACCACCTCAGGATTCTGCAGAGTTCCCATGAGTAAGGAGGCTCTGACCAGATGCATCCCCTTGACCTTGGACTTCCCAGCCTCTGGAACTGTCAGAAATGAATGTTATTTTTTTTCTAAAAAATAAACAAAAAACTCCTTCATAAGAAAAAGATTGATGACTCAATGGAAAAATGTGAGCAGAACAGATGTTTCAGAATAGAGAATACCAAATGGCCTATAAACATAGGACAATATATACTATCTGATTTGTAATCATGGAAAATACTCAGTAAAAATGGCCAAAATTCAAAAGTCTGAAAATACCAAGTACTGAGAGAATGTGAAGCAATAGGGACTCTGCACTGCTTGGTGGAGCTGCTGTGAGCTGATACTAGGGAGAATGAATGGATCTGGGAACAGAGATTAACATGTAAATAGTTCTCTTTGACACTGAAAGGGTCTGTTCAGGTGCGAGTACACTCTGGGTCTAACAAGGGAGGGCAAGAAAAAACAACAGTTCTCTTTGGTGGGTGTAGATCTTAGGCAGATAAAGAAACTTCAACTTATTTGAGAGAGGAGGTAGGGGATGGGGAGGTCACAGAGAACTCTGGGTTTCTTCAGTTTACTATGCCACAGCACCATATTTTCGGGTATGAGTTCTGAGCCCCACAATGGCCATAAGCACTTAACCACAGACCTAGTGACGTATGTATAAAATATACACTAGATTCCAAAGACTTAGTATACAAAAGAACATAAAATATCTTATTTGTAATTGTTTAAAACTGATTACATGTTAAAATGATAATATTTTAAATATAATGGGTTAGGTTGGTAAAATAAAATATATTATTAAAGTTAATTTTAACTGTTTCTCTTTACCTTTTTTAATGCAGCTATAATTAGAAAACCACAAATCATATAAGCGGCTTGCATTATATTTCCTTTTTTGAGACAGAGTCTTGATGTCACCCAGTTTGGAGTACAGTCGCGCGATCTGGGCTTACTGCAACCTCTGCCTCCCGGGTTCAAGCGATTCTCCTGCCTCAGCCTCCCAAGTAGCTGGAATGAATTACAGGCATGAGCCACCAGGCCTGGCTAATTTTTTTGTATTTTTAGTAGAGATGAGGTTTTGCCATGTTGGCTAGGCTGGTCTCAAACCCCTGACCTCAAGTGATTAACCTGCCTTGGCCTCCCAAAGTACTGGCATTACAGACGTGAGCCACCGCACCTGGCTCGCTTCCATTATATTTCTATTGGACAGCACTGCTCTGGAGAAAAATTAAGATTCTCCTTTTACAGGATATTTTTAAAAAATATTTAAATGTAAGGAATAAAAAATATTGTAAGAAACCGAAGAAAGCAAATTAGAATCTGGAGGTCAGGATGGATTTCTTAATGAGGACAGGTAGGGGTGTGTGTGTGTGTGTGCGTTTGCATGCATGGACACACGGATAGGGCAAGCACACATACATGTGTGCATATGTATGAGACTGATAAACAATCCAATAGGAAAAATGGGCAAAGGATAGAATTGAAAATGCACAGAAAATCTGAATGGCAAACAGTAACATAATCAAAATTACTAAAGGAAGAGAAAATTAAAAGTAACTAAGACTTCTCTTTATTGGCTGGGAAAAAAATAAAAACATAAATAATATGTATCTTTGCTGGGCAAGTGGGAAGGGAGCAGGATCATACATTGTTGTAAGGAAATGTAAAGGTTAACAGCCTACTGAGAAAGCAATATGGCAACATCCATCAAATTAGAAACATGCCATATCCTTCGACCCAGAAACCTTTCTCACAAAAATCTACCAGCACATGACATGTGTTCAGAAAGTTATTATTGTAATACTGTGTAGCAGAAAAAAAGAGGAAACTAAGTATCAATAGGAAATGAAGTAAATGCCTATCTACTGACAAAAGGTTAAAAACATTACCTGCAAAACAAGACCTGTTATGGAATTATTAAGGATTATAAATAAAAATATCAGCAAATTTTTAAAAATATGAAAATATCAGGAATGGCACCACTGTAGGAAAACAGACTACAGTAGTTCCCTCTTATTCTTGGGAGATATGTTCCAAGATCCCCGGTGGATGTCTGAAACCACTGATAGTACTGAACCCGATTGCTGTTAATAGGAAGTTTTTTTTGGTGATGTTTCCCACCCACAATTTTAATGACTTTTCTATCTTAACCAAGTGCTTAACATGCACTGTGGCTGCAACTTTTCCATTTTGAAGTGTGACAGTAAAACTAGCAAAAATTTCTTTTTCCTCCTTTATAATTTCAGGGATAGAAGATTTGTTCTGACCATGGATCTTAGCAAACTCAGCATTTAAAAAATTTCCTTAAGTCAAGAACTTTTACCTTTTCACTTAAAAGAAGCACTTTATGGCTTCTCTTTTGTATATCCAAGTTGCCATCATTAGTACTCCTGCACTTTGGGGCCACTGTCATGTAAAATAAGGGTTCCATGAATATAAGCACTGTGATACTTAGGCAGTAAAATTGATAAGAAGGCTATTAAGTGACTAATAGGCAGGCTGCATATACACTGTGGATACTGGGCAAAGGGATGATGCAAATCCTGGGGAGGGATGGAGTGGTATGGCATGAGATTTCATCATGTTCATCAGAATGGTGCAGCGCCCAATTTAAAACAGGAATTGTTTAGGTGCCAATTTAAAACTTAGGAATTATTTCTGATATTTTCCACTTAAAATATTCAGACTGTGGTTGCCAAGAGTAATGAAACCTTGAGAAATGAAACCGAGGATAAGGGGAGGACTACTGTATTTCATGATATGCTGGTGTGGATAAAAATAGGTGCAACCTTACTGAAGTTGACCATGAGGTTGATCACCTGTTGACCACTGAATAGGCCCCACAGACAAAAGCTCCTGATCTGAGGAATTTCGAAGGGAACAAAGACCACCTGGTGACCACCAAACGGGCCAGACAGAGGCGAAACTCCTTTTCTGGGAATTCAGAAGTAATTAAACTTTCCTAGTATCTAAAGTCTGGTTCCAGGCCTCTTTCAACTTTTACAAGTAACTAAAATTTATATACATCTCTGAAATGCCATGCCGAAACTCTTTTTACTATCCTAAGCTCCTGCCTTAAGGTCCATAAATACCTCTAAAGAAAAATCCATGGCAGCACACTTAGTCCTCTTGCTGAGGCGCCCCACTGCACTCTTCTGCAGTGTTCTGTTACCGCCTAAGGGGTTCACCTTGCCCATGCCTAGACAGAGTCAATTCATCGAGACAGGGGAATTGTGATAGAGAAAGAGTACTTCACGCAGAACCAGCTGTGTGGGAGATCAGTCTCCCCGAGCACGGGGGAGCAGAGTTTTAAAAGATAACTTCGTGGGTGGGGGGAAGCCAGTGAGCCAGAAGTGCTGATTGGTCAGGGATGAAACTGTAGGGAATCAAAACCGTCTTCCTGCACTGAGTCAGTTCCTGGGTGGGGGCCACATAATCAGATGAGCCACTTTGGGCAGCCAAAGTGAGTGGATCACCGGAGGTCGGGAATTGGAAACCAGCCTGGCCAACATTGTGAAACCCTGTCTCTACTAAAAAACAAAAAAAAAAAAACAAACAGAAAAAGCCAGGCGTGATGGCAGGTGCCTGTAATCCCAGCTACTCGAGAGGCTGAGACAGGAGAATCACTTGAATCCGGGAGGCGGAGGTTGCAGTGAGCCGAGATCGTGCCATTTGCACTCCAGCCTGGGCGACAAGAGCAAGACTCCGTCTCCAAAAAAAAAAAAAAAAAAAAAAAAAGAGCCAGTTTATTGATGTGGGTAGTGCCAGCTGACCCATCAAGTACGGGGTCTGCAAAATACCTCAAGCACTGATCACAGGAGCAGTTTAGGGAGGGTCAGAATCTTGCAGCCTCCAGCTGCATGACTACTAAACCAAAAATTCTAATCCTGTGGCTAATGTTAGTCTAGTCCTCAGACAAGAAGGAAGTCTGCTTTGGGAAAGGGCTGTTACCCTCTTTGTTTATAAACTAAGTTTCTCCCAAAGTTAGTTCAGCCTACGCCCAGGAATGAACAAGAACAGCTTGGAGCTTAGAAGCAAGATGGAGTCGGTTACGTTAGATTTCTTTCACTGTCTCAGTCATCATTTTGCAAAGGCTGTTTCAGTTCTTCCTTTCTAATAAACTTTCCTTTTTTCAAACCTATACTGTTTGTAGGTATGGTAAATTCATTTTACCAACCTGCGAGTTGACCACTTCCCGGTGCCAGGGCTCTGACACCTTGCCAGGCACTTACGGAAAGATAATTGTAAAAATCTAATAGAATTTTAAATTTCCATGCCTTCGAACCCAGCAGCCAAACTTCCAGAAATTTATCCTACTAATATAATGGCACGACGATCTAAAGAGATATGTACAAGGATGTTCTCGACAGCCTTTATTTAATAAGATGTGGAAAGAACCTTAAATGTCTACTCAAAATTGTTGAATAAATCACATGTCTACAAAATGAATAATGCAGACTTTAAAAAGAGTGAGGTAGCTCTATGTCACCAAACTGGAACAATAAAAGCCACTATAAAGTATAAAAAGCAAGCTGAAGACTGTCTCTATGTTTGAAATTTTTCATAATAAAAAATGAAAAAAATGGAGGGGGATTAGATATATTGCCTTTTCATGAGTAAGAATCTCACAAGTCTTGGACAATTAAACCCCGCCTTCATCCCTCCCATCTCATCATATCTGACCTCAACCAGTTTCCTACCTACACTGCTTATATGCCCATTTGCTCTATATGACTCAGTCATTTCAAGATTGCTTCTGTTTTCCCTTATTGATATAAAAATATTAAAAATGTATATTTAAAATTTGTTTAATTACATCCCATTATTACAGTTCATTTTTGCATATTCCTGTGTTGAAAATCCTTTGGTATAAATCAACATCAAAACTCGGTGTTATTCCACTTTTCTTGAACTGTAATCCTTTTTAAACAAGGAATATACCTTTTCTTGTTTAGAGAATATACGTACATTCATAAATCTTGGCAACTTTCAAAGGCCATAACAAATTTGTGTTAAGAATTCAGATCCCCTTTATTATTGTGGTAAACAGACAGATGAAATTAAGAGATTATAGCTTGTTTTCACTCTCTCCCAATTACTATCGCTTGAAAAATACCGGATATTTCATTATTATCCTGTCCGGAGTCGGCAAACTACGGTCTACTATCTGTCTTCGTATACGTCAAAAGCTAAGAATGGTTTTTACATTTTTAAATGACTGGGGAGGGAGGGCCAGAATCCAAGGGGAGTATTTAATGACACTTGAAAATGTTATTAAATTCAAATTTTAGCATCCATAATAAAGTTTCATTGGAACACAGCCATGCTCATTTAGCTTTTGTTTGTTTTTGGAGACAGAGTCTCGCTCTGTCGCCCAGGCTGGAGTGCAGTGGCGAGATCTCGGCTCACTGCAACCTCTGCCTCCTGCTTTCAAGCCATTCTCCTGCCTCCGCCTTCCAGGTAGCTGGGATTACAGGTGCACGCCACACGCGCCACACGCCCGGCTAATTTTTGTCTCTACTAAAAAGTAGAGACAGGGTTTCGCTATGTTGGCCAGGCTGGTCTCAAACTCCTGACCTCAGGTGATCCACCCGCCTCGGCCTCCCAAAGTGATAGGATTACAGGCGTGAGCCACCGCGCCCAGCCTTCATTTAGTACTGTCTAATGATGTTTTCATACTGCAAGGAGAAAGCTGAGTATGGACCACAAGGCCAAAAAGATGTCCTCTCTGGCTCTCTACAGCAAAGATTTGCCAAGCCCTGTTATATGTCATACTACTTGCGCTTCATAATTTTATAGTTTTACCTAGACAGTCTCCCTTTTTTCCTTCCATATTCAGCATAAAATCCCCTTAATATCAGTCTCTAGGCAAGCACATTCTTCACAGTCCTTAGAACTGGACCTCCTCTTGTTAATTTCCTTAGTCTAATCACATTCCTCCTGGTTATCTACAAACAGAAAGCCAGAAAGGAGGGCTATCAACATCTTAAGCGCCACAAATTAACAAATCAAAACCAAATCTCTCTCTCCCTCCGAAGCCACGGCTAAGGAGGCTCACTGCCCAGTTAGTGGCTTTCAAACTACCCTTACAAGTGAGACATCTTGTGAATTAGAACAAGTGCTGCTGCTAAAATCCCTAACGGCTACATAGCAATGTGAAAAAAGGTATCAAATGTAATTTTCTCAAATTTAATCTTCTTCAATTCTTGGCACAAAAAAAGGAACAGTAAAGGTAGACAACTGTAATTAGCATGTGTGATCCCAAATCTTTATACCTTAGATACTGGATTATATTTTCAGCAAGTAAATAGTTTCTGGCTCCCAAGATGAGAGGTTAAATAATGCAGGGTGTTTGTAAACAGCAGCACAATTTACACCGGAAATTAGGGCCCTTTCTCACCGAGGAGAGTACAGCAAAATCTGCTCATCTCTTTCAATGAATATTCTCCATGACTAGTGCTGGCGGCTGGGAGGCGGAGCAAGCTATCTTTTCTACCAGCCGTGTCACACCCCTCCTAGCACTAACCCCTCCTCCTCAGCCTTTTCACACCTCTACCCACTACTAGCCCCTCCCCAGCCCCATCACCTCTTCCCGGGCCCCTCACACCTCTCCCAGCATACTCTTCCCCAGCCTCATCACCTCACCCACTTCCTCCAAAATCACTGACCTGCTAAGCTTCCAGCAGCAGGCGGGCAAAGCAGGGAGGCTGTAATGCAAAAGTCCGCAGTCCCTACACAAACACTATCTGCTCCTGCGGAGAAACTCAAGTCACAGCCCCAGAAGTGGAAAGAACAGGCCTTGGCTCTCACCCAGTTAACAAGCGTTTATCCAGCGCACGTGTTGCGGTCGGACCCCATGCGAAGGAGCTAAGGACACAAAGGTGAGCAGCAGAGACGCGGTTCCAGCTCTCCCCCGGCTCCCACTCCAGCGGGATAGGTAGATAATTTCGGTAAATTTCGCCAAGCAGGGGCAGGACAAAGAGTATTTGAAGTCTACCGCGGGGAGAACTTACCTAATCCTTGAATGTTAAAAGGCTAAAAACTCCACTAGTCGGAAGTGACGTGCCAGCTTAGCCCCGCAGGTCCGCCACGTAATTGGCCGCCGCCACAGCTAGCCACCCTCTCCCCAGACTGGCCCGAAGAGAGGAAAAGTGTGGAAGTCCACAAGCCGCCCCCGCCCCGCCCTCTTCGTCGACTTTCAGCTGCACCGGGAGGCGGCGGCGCCTGGCCAGAGCCGGGGCCTGGAGCCTGGACTAGACAGCCTCGCCGGCCGGGGCGCCAGTCCAGCGCCCTGCGGGCAATGGGCTTCAGCGCTCGAGCACGCGCATGCGCGGGCCTGTATCTCCAGAGGATTCCTCGGGTCACCTGGACGCCAGCATCTCAGCCACCTGCCCCTCTGGGTCCCTTCTTGCCCTTGATTCCCCCTGCTGCTTCTCATCGCCAGCCCTCCTCCTCCTTCTTCCGCAGGCACCGCTAGACCCGGCCGCGGCCGCCCGCCGACACCCCAGCTTCCACTGACACGAGCCTCGGCGCGGCTTCCGCTTCCGGCGAGTATTGTGTGTCGCGCCGCGGGGCGGGGGCGAGGGGAGGAGGAAGGAGGGAGGCAGCGCTCCGGCGGCTCCGCGCCCCGCACTCCCGGACCCGAAGCCGGGAAGGTAGGTGCTGTCCCGCCGCCGCGCCCGAGCCTGGGGCCTGCGCTCGCCGGCCGGCTCCGCAAGCCGCGTCCCAGCGCCCCGCGACTGCGTCACCGGCCCCCCGCACGTAACCACAGCTGCCTCCGCCCGCCTCGGGCCCGGGCGGACGTTTTGCCGCCCCGGCGACGTCAGCGCGTCCGGCGTTGCTTGGCTACCCCGCCGTTCCCCCGTCCCGCTGCTGCTCACCTCCCCGGGTGAAACTCTGACGCAGTCACCGCGGGTCTCGGCAGCGTCATAGCGGCGGGCATCCCATCTGCACGTCACACCTCTTTCTCACCTGGACACGCATCCCTTCCTACCCTGCCAGCCACGACGTTTCCTCTTTCCCCTCTCCAATGCCCCAGCCCCAGATCTGGCGGAAGAAGATGGAGAACGGGGGTGGGACAGAGTTGTGGACAACCTCTCAGGAGAGGGTCGCAAGGTGGGACCCTGAACAGTGGTAGAAACAAAATGAGATTGTCCCTGAAGTTTGCCCTTCAGCTGAGACACAAGGAGTAGAGGAAGAGGAAGGACTAACGCAGAGGCACTCAAGGTCTCACTATGACTGTAGTTGAGAGTCCTCTCCCTTCTTCCCTAACCCTTTCCCCATTTCTCTCACCACTTCTTTGCCAGTCTAGATCCGTCCTGGTGCCTTACTGTGCATACAGTTCTACTCGTCTCAGGTGAGGAGGCCACTTAATTTGTAAAAGACTGAGGAAGGGGTAGGATCACCACAAGTCAAAGTTGGATTCCCACAGATAGAAATCATCTGACTGAACTTCTCTCCTATTGCTGACAGAAGAAATTCAAATCCAAAGAAGTTATCAGTTCCTACTCCAAATCAAACACATTTGTGTGTGCCAACAATATATACAGGAACAATTGTTGTTAACCTACCTCATTACATGGCCACTTATCTCTCAGCACATAGATCTACCAAATTTCCTTCCTTCCAGTAGGTCCCTGGAGAAGGATGGGGGTCGGGAGGAGAAAAGGTTATGGGGATAGTTAAATCAACTTACCCATGGCTAAAAGTATGGATGTTTTAAGGATGGAGTAGGGGGCCAGCCTTGTGTTTTATAAATCTCTCCTATGCATTTCCAATTCTTCTGAGGCTGCGCTTGAGGGAGATCTCATTGCCTCTTTTGTGTCTCTTAATTCGCAACCACTCCAGGACCTATAAGTTGGAGACACACTATGCCCAGGGTGTTAGTTATCAATAGCTATATTGAAAGATTCCAGTCACTACAAATAGACTCGTTGCTCTCTTTTCAAGAAGTTGTTGGCCTGAGCTCAGCAATATTTAATATGGTTGCCATAATTTATCAGTTTTCAGCAGTTCTGAGTGTCCAGATGAACACAAGAGAAATGGAATGTTGCGTGAAATGTCATTCCAAGAAGAGAGCAGATTTCCTTTAGGCTAGTCTGATGGATAAAAGGAAGAATAATTTCAGATTTTCCTGAAAAGAGGAGGTTGCCTTTGCCTCATTCATTCCATTTGTTAGCCTTTAGAGCAGTGGTATCTAACCCTTTCAATATGAGGACTCTCTTTGCTTATCTGTGGTGGCTGATAAAAATTATGCATGGACCTTCTGTGGTGGTGATAGAACAAAAGTTATGCATGGACTTTTTTTTTTTTAAGCTTATCAGCTGTCATTAGTGTCAATGTATTTTATGTCTGGCCCAAGACACTTCTTCCAGTGGGCCCAGGGAAGCCAAAAGGTTGGATATTGTGATTTAGAAGAATGAGAGAACAGTGTCAGAGAATCAAGCTTAGACTCCAGTGGATTAATCATAAAGCTCTTATAACATTAAACTTTAAAATATGGTTAATTTAAGAAATGTTAATATTTTTATGACATTTTTTACTTCTCAGATTCCTTTCTTGTCTGTTAGAAACGTATGTCAAACGAGGATACAGTGTCTGGAACTATTGGTTCTAAGATATAAGTGGAATGAGCCTGGATCAGGAGAAGTATGCTGAGCTAGAGTTGAAGGAAGCTTCTCTTTCTAACAAGAGAAAGCAGAGGTAAGAGACAAGATAGATCAATTGGGGGTTGTGTGTCAGTTTACTAACAAGAAAAAAAAGGTTGATGGCTGGGAGTCACAAGTTTTGAAAATGGAGAAACAAAGAGGTTGAATTGATTGGAAGAGAAGATGGAGAATAACAAGAAGGGGCAAATCTGGAGTTAGGACTTAACATAGGGATAAATGTCGGGTCAGGGATGCAAAAAAAAAAAAAAGAAAAAACCTCCAATTAATATTTTTATTTTCTCTGTCCTCTTCCCCACTCCCAAGTTAAATTATGGCAGAGACAAGTCTGTTAGAGGCTGGGGCCTCTGCAGCCTCTACAGCTGCGGCTTTGGAGAACTTACAGGTGGAGGCGAGCTGCTCTGTGTGCCTGGAGTATCTGAAGGAACCTGTCATCATTGAGTGTGGGCACAACTTCTGCAAAGCTTGCATCACCCGCTGGTGGGAGGACCTAGAGAGGGACTTCCCTTGTCCTGTCTGTCGAAAGACATCCCGCTACCGCAGTCTCCGACCTAATCGGCAACTAGGCAGTATGGTGGAAATTGCCAAGCAGCTCCAGGCCGTCAAGCGGAAGATCCGGGATGAGAGCCTCTGCCCCCAACACCATGAGGCCCTCAGCCTTTTCTGTTATGAGGACCAGGAGGCTGTATGCTTGATATGTGCAATTTCCCACACCCACCGGGCCCACACCGTTGTGCCACTGGACGATGCTACACAGGAGTACAAGGTGGGGAAGCAGACACACGATGTCAGTGTGGGTAAAAAGGGAGAAGCGGCAGAGGATGAGATACTCCCTAGGTAGAGATCGTAAGCTCCTACTACTCACTTTGTATTCTCAGAGCTGCATATGCAGGGGCACACAGTATGTGTGATCAGTTGTCCTCTAGCCTGAAAAAGAGCAATGGTGAGAAGTGCCCTAAAATTTCTCTCTGACTTTTGCAATACATGTGAGTCTTATGGGTGAATATTGGTATGTGTGGTCATATTTTTCATAAATGAATGAAACCACATGGAAAAGATTAAACTTAGGAAGAACTGAAAAGTAGTCTGGTTTCTTCATTCTGCCTGCCTGCTCAGAATGCTCCTTGTTTTCACACTGGTTATTGGGCATAGGTAATATCGCTTGAGACTGATACCTACCGGACTAAGCTGAACCATTCAATTGTTTGCAGCTTCTCTAGGTAATGGGTAACATGGCATATCATTTAACTTACTGCTGAGACAAAGGAAAATGTTTGAATAAAGGGAACAGAGATATGAATGTGTTAGCATTTTATCATATACTTTGCTTAGTTATGTTACTCTTGAAAACAAGATTTCAGGTAACTTACAGTATAATAACCATGTTTTTATTGTAGGTGGACAGAGGTGGATGGGAGGACAGGTTTAAAGAGAGATATTAGGGTACAGAAGGTTGCTTGGATGGTAATAGGCAGTTGCCTCAGTAAGAAAATGGAAAGAGTTGAGAAAGGACACAGAGTTGATGACAGCTATCTCAGATTCAGTAAAAGGACAGTTGGGTGAGCAGAGAAGGTGATGTGGACAGGCTAGTGGCAGGAGGAGGGACTGTAGAAAGTTGACATCCCAAATGACAGGCAAGGAAGGAAGTCAGATCAAGAGGCAGTAAGATGGCTAGGAAGCAAATAAATGGTTTAAAACAAATGGTTTAATCTCTGAATGGTAGGTATACCAGTCAACCCCAAATGTCACCTCTCCCACTTCCTCCCTACCCCTCAGGAAAAACTGCAGAAGTGTCTGGAGCCCCTGGAACAGAAGCTGCAGGAGATCACTCGCTGCAAGTCCTCTGAGGAGAAGAAGCCTGGTGAGCTCAAGGTAAAGGCAGGCAATCCCATGTAGGCTGCTCTGAAGGGTATTTGCCTATGAGGGAATTAACTGTACACTATTTAATCCACCAGTTCCGGTTCATTAGAAAAATGCAGTTCTCGCCGGACATGGTGGCTCACACCTGTAATCCCAGCAATTCTGGAGGCCAAGGTGGGCAGATTGCTTGAGCTCAGGAGTTTGAGACCACCCTGGGCAACATGGTGAAACCCTGTCTTTACTAAAAACAAAAAATTAGCCGGGCATGGTGGCACATGCCTGTAGTCCCAGCGACTTGGGCGGCTGAGGCAGGAGAATTGCTTGAACCTGGGAGGCGGAGGTTGCAGTGAGCCAAGATCACACCATTGTACTCCAGCCTGGGCAACAGAGCAAGGCTCTGTCTCAAACAAACAAAAAAAACAAAAAAAAAAAAAGAAAGAACAATGTAGTTCTCTCAAAAATGATGGCATTTTATTAGGCTTGATTGTCATTAAACATTGTACTTAAATTACTTGTCATGAATTAAGTATTAAGAGGGATTTAAGAGATGAAGAACAGACAGAATATCTTACATCTGGTGAGCTGAGAGAGTTCGTGCCTCTTGGTCTCCTTTTTTTGTTAAAGCAGCAAAGGAGGCTTTCTGCTGAGAAGGCAGGGATGGGAGTTTCTTAGAGGACTTGAAGAGAGGAGAATATGGAAGATTCACTGGGGAGAAAGGGAAAAGGAGCTGACCAAGAGTCTCAGAAGAACTATCTAATGACATTAGGACCACATTCTTAAAACTCAAGTAAGCTTACATATGCTAGAATGTTCTCCCCCTCCCCATCCTCCACCATAGGATCTTATTCATCTCTCAGGCGGGATGAAAGCCACTTCCTATGCAGCCTTTCCTGACCCTTCAGAAATTAACATTCTTAATTTTCATACAATTTTGCACCTCTTTTATAGCATTGCCTTATTTGTAGCATGGTATTTTGGTGTCTGTCTGTCTTCCATTGAACAGTGAACAATTATCATTTGTAGCAAAAATAACTAGAATTGAGTCCTATGCATTAATTCATTAGGTATCCGTAACATTCCAGATTTATAGGGTTGTTAGGGTCTTAGAGTTCAGGCCAAATTGGGATAAGTGAGACATAGAAAAGCTACGAGAAAGAGACAGAAGGAAATCCTGAGGCCATCTTTAGTAAGATGTAGGGGTAAACCTAGATATTCTTTAAGGTAGGTATTATTACCTTCAGCTTACACAGAAGGAAATGGACCTTGGGTAAGTGACTAGTCCAAGATCATAAAGCCAGTAAGTGGCAAAACCAGGAATACTAGTTCTTCGTGAATCAGTAAATATTTGTTAAGCTCCTGGTTTAGGCCAAACCCGGTATTTGACACTGGGGAACAATGATGAGCAAAAACACAGTTCCTGCCCTCCTTGAGCTTAAAGTTAAGTGGAGAAAATAAGTAATGGCACAAAATGCACAGCTGCAAGTTCATAAGAAGACAACATAGAAATTTGGCCTCATTAAAGGTTTCCCGAAGAAGTAATGAGTTTTTAAGAGTTGACATGTAGAGATCACCAGAAGCTAAATCCAAGTTTTGATTCATAGAAACATGAATTTTTAAATGAATGATAACATTTCATCAGAAAGCAAGTATTATTACCTTAGTGCCTTATACATTTTAGCAAAGTAAGCATTTGAAATTTTAAAATTTGAACCAATTTTGGTTAGAAATGTGAACTTTTAAAGTTTTTTGTTCTTTTAGAGGCCTTCCAAGAAACCTAAAAATATGAAAATGGTGCTTATTGCTAGTCATTAACTTTCTTCTTCATGTTGATCACCTTCTTGAAGGTAAAGGATGGAGAGAGAAATATACCTTTTTAAAACCTTCTAAATGCTTGAACAGAACTGTCCTGTTTTTTAAACTGTAAATTGTCATTTCAGTGGTCTCCAAAACTACCACCAACATTCCTCTTGTGACCATTTGAATTCTCCCTCCTTCTCCCTCATCAGACTCAATGCCCCTTTAAAAAATAATTTGTAATTATGCTGAACTGAAAATTACAGGTAATATAACCTATGTGCATAATGTTAAATTTTAAAGAGTCTATCATGTCCAAATATAATATAATGAAACATAATTGATGATAAAATGTGGTATGTAATATTTGGGCATGACTACCCTGAACGACTTTACAGTGTAGCTGGTTATATGCTTGCCCCTATATGTGTCATTATCAGCAACGCCATAAATACAAATTCAGACTGAGATGGATGTGTGCCAATATGATTGAAATACCATAAGTAGCTTAGCTCTTGGTGATATGATTTTTCATAGTAATAACTTTTGGTAAAGTTCTAAGTATAACAATATAATCTTGGGTTTTATTCAGCTATTGCTGAAAAATTCACGTATAGTAAAACCATGTAAGAATTACTCTGTGTTTATACTATATAAAATGGCATTCAAGCCCAGGCCTATGTTTTTGTTTTTGTGGTTTTTTTTTTTTTTTTTTTTTGAGACGGCGTCTCGCTCTGTCATCCAGGCTGGAGTGCAGTGGTGCCATCTCGGCTCACTGCAAGCTCTGCCTCCCGGGTTCATGCCATTCTCCTGCCTCAGCCTCCCAAGTACCTGGGACTACAGGCGCCCACCACCACACCCAGCTGATTTTTTTTTTCTATTTTTAGTAGAGACAGGGTTTCACCGTGTTATCCAGGATGGTCTCGATCTCCTGACCTTGTGATCTGCCCACCTCGGCCTCCCAAAGTGCTGGGATTACAGGCGTGAGCCACCGTGCCTGGCCGCCCAGGCCTGTGTTTTTGAATATCCAGCAGAACATTAGAAAATGTTGCAGGTCAGTTCACTATGCCGGATTGTCTCACACATTGGAGGAGTGCTTGCGTCATTGTCAGGAACTTCCCCAACCATGGAAAACAAGAAGATGTGCCTATTTCCAAAATATCCTTAGAGTGTGTTAACAGCTTCATCAAGAACCACTGCCCTAAAATATAGAGTGAAAAAAAGAGAAAAGATTACCGGTTTATAAGAGGAAGGGCCTTTTTGCTTCCTATTTATCACAGTCATGAATGTTAAACTTACACCCATACCTAAACAAACACACATGCATGCACACACATGTGCAAACACACACACACAAAGGCTGTGTTTTATTGAGGGCAAATGTGAGAATATATTTTGTTCAGATGTACACTGAGAAGGCAGTGGTGGAAAGTGAAGCAGCAAGTGGCCCTAAACTAGAAGAGCTAGTCAGCCTCTGCCAGGAACTAGCTTGAATCCACAAATGCCACGCTTGTCAGGCCCATCCTGGCTTTGCATCCCCACTCTCTCTCCACCCTCAAGCCTGCCTTTCATTCCCTATCCACTTCCTTCTAGAGTCCCAGTCTCTGCTTCTCACTTTGCTTCATCATCAGTCACATGATGCTTGGGGAATTCTTTCTTTAGGGAGATCACTATTTGTTGTAGTGGAGATGCAGAAGAGAGGATGTGCTGATAATTCTCAGAAAGTGTTATGGCTGGTGTTTGAGTCCTATATTATCAAATTTCAGGAATGTTAGAGGCTTAAGTCTGTGTGCTGGCTTAAAGAAAGCATGTTTCAAATTTCAAGAAACTAAATTACTAACAAACTTCTGTAACCTGTTCCTGGGGTAGGAATTGCCAGTTCTCTGAAGTGACTTGAAACAATTTAACAAGTTCAGCCCTGAAATCTACATATGTATATTTTATAATAACCCATATAACTCTTACTGATTCTTACACTTTCCCAGTTCTCTGGTTTTTATCTGGTGCATGTGTTGCAATATGCAAAGGATGACAATCTTATTTTTAACTTTTTATTATTTGTACTTTCCTTTTTGTTTCGTTGTTTTTTGTTTGCTTGTTTTGAGACAGAATCTCACTCACCCAGGCTGGAGGGCAGTAGTGATCACAGCACACTAACTCAAACTCCAGTGTTCAGGCCATCCATCCTCTTGATTCTTTTTGAGTAGCTAGGACTGCAGATGTGCATTGCCATGCCCGACTAATTTTTTTTTCTTTTTAGTTGAAACAAGGTCTCACTATGTTTCCTAGGTTGGTCTTGGCCTCAAGTGATCCTCTCACCTGGGCCTCCTAAGCACTAAGTTTACAGGCATGAGCCACCATGCTGAGCCTATACTTTCCTTTTCTCGACAGATTGAATTAACTAGAACTTTACAGTTGATAATAACACAGATATCTCTGATATCTGTAATAGTTAATGTCATCATATTATTGAGTTCTTTATCTTAAATTAAAACAAATATATATATCCGCAGTGGTCTTCACTACCAAGTCATCAGTAGGGGGGTGATAGTGATGGAGCCATTCTTTACAGAAGGAAATTCCAATGGAATAAAAAATGAGTGTTCTGTTAAACCATTTTCTCTCATTTTCTTTCTTTCTTTTCTTTCTGTCTTTGTCTTTCTGTCTTTCTTTCCTGTCTGTCTGTCTTTCATCTCGATCTGTTGCCCAAGCTGGAGTGCAATGGTGCAACAATTTCAGCTTACTCCAACCTCTGCCTTCTTTGCTCAAGCCATCATCCCACCTCAGCCTCTCCAGTAGCTGGGACTACAGGCATGCACCACCAGACTCAGCTAATTTTTTGTATTTTTTGTAGAGTTGGGGTTTCACCATGTTACCTAGGCTGGTCTCAAACTTCTCATCCCAAGCAATCCACCTCCCTCGGCCTCCCAAAGTCCTTGGATTACAGTCATGTGTCACCACACCCAGCCTTTGTTAAACCATTTTCAATGAAACTGGAAGTCTGTGTTAATTCATACATATGGTGGGTGAGAGAAAGGCTTCCTTATACCACACTGACCCTGCTGATACAACATCTTCCCTCTCTTCTCAGAGACTAGTGGAAAGTCGCCGACAGCAGATCTTGAGGGAGTTTGAAGAGCTTCATAGGCGGCTGGATGAAGAGCAGCAGGTGTTGCTTTCACGACTGGAAGAAGAGGAACAGGACATTCTGCAGCGACTCCGAGAAAATGCTGCTCACCTTGGGGACAAGCGCCGGGACCTGGCCCACTTGGCTGCCGAGGTGGAGGGCAAGTGCTTACAGTCAGGCTTCGAGATGCTTAAGGTTCGACCTTTGCCCCTGCATAGCCCCTCAGGCTGAGTGCAGCGTAGCTTTGCGTAGCCTGGGATTTGTCAGCCTGGGATACTCATTCTTCTGCTCTCCTTCTCTAAATCCAGTTCTTTCTGCCAGGTGTACTCAAAGGGTCTTTGCTACGGAAAAGTGATTTCTCCCATCCCCTTCTAACCATTTTTGTGTTCTTATCTCTGGTCAGCAATTATGTGCTTAATCTGTTCCAAAGAAAAGATTCATTCTTTTGAAAGGAGGGAAGTCTAGCCTGAGTTAGTGAAAAACTATGCATTAAAAATTTTGTAAATGCAGTTACCATTACTTTTAAGTCCTGAAATTTGATTTATGTACTGCTGAAAAAGGACAGAAACATAGTTTAAAGGATACAGGCATACCTCAGAGATATTGTGGGTTCAGTTCCATACCACTTCAATAAAGCGAGTATCTTGATAAAGCAAGTCACATTAATTGTTGGGTTTCCTAGTGGAATCATATTTTTGCTGGTGGAGGGTCTTGTGTTAGTATTGACTGATCGAGGTGGTGGTTGCTGAAGATTGGGGTGACTGTGGTAATTTCTTAAAATAAGACAACGACGAAGTTTACTTTCAACTCTTCCTTTTATGAAAGATATCTCTGAGCATGTGATGCTGTTTAATAGCATTTTACTCACCAGTAGAACTTCTTTGAAAATCTTTGAAAACCCACATTTGCAGTTACTTACAACATGGGAGTCTTGAACCCCTAAAAGTCATCCATAAGGGTTGGAATAGACTTCTTCTAAATGCCTGTTAATATTGATATTTTGGCTTCCTTTCACAAATCACAAATGTTCTTAATGGCATCTAGAATGGTGAATCCTTACCAGAAAGCCTTCAATTTACTTTGCCTAGATCTATCAGAAAAATCACTATTTATAGCAGCTTTATGAAATACATTTATTAAGACTTGAAAGTCCAAATTACTTCTTGATCCATGGGCTGCCGATTGGATGTTGTGTTAGCGGACGTGAAAACAACATGAATCTCATTTTACATCTCTATCAGAACTTTTGGGTGATCAAGTGCATTGTCAGTGAGCAGTAATATTTTGAAAGGAATCTTTTTTTCTGAGCAGTAGGTCTCAACTTAAAATTTTCAGTAAAGGGTTGGGCACGGTGGCTTACACCTGTAATCCTATCACTTTGGGAGGCCAAGGCAGGTGGATCACCTGAGGTCAGGAGTTTGAGACCAGCCTGGCCAACATGGTGAAGCCCAATCTCTACTAAAAATACAAAAAAATTAGCTGGGCATGGTGGTGGGCGCCTGTAATCCCAGCTACTCGGGAGGCTGAGGGAGGAGAATCGCTTGAACCCGAGAGGCAGAGGTTGCAGTGAGCCAAGATCATGCAGTTGCACTCCTGCCTGGGTGACAAGAGTGAAACTCCATCCCCCCAAAAAAAACTTCAGTAAAGGCTAGGCACGTTGGCTCACATCTGTAATCCCAGCACTCTGAGAGATCAAGCCAGGAGGACTGCTTAAGGCCAGGAATTCAAGACCAGTCTGGGCAATATAGCAGGACCCCATCTCTACAAAAGGTAATTTTTTTTAATTAAAAACATTCAGTATACCATGCTGTATACAGGTGTACTGTCATGTAGGCTTTGTTATTCCATTTCTAGAGCACAAGGAAAGTAGATTTAGCATAATTCTTAAGAGCCCTAGGATTTTTGAAATGGTAAGTGAGCACTGGTTTCAACTTAAAGTCACCAGCTGCCCTTGCTTCTAATAAGAAAGTCATCCTGTCCTTTGAAGCTTTAAAGCCAGGCATTGACTTCTCTCGAACTGTGAAAGCCCTGGATAGCACCTTCTTCAATAGAAGGCTGTTTGTTGACATTGAAAATGTGTTGTTTAGTGTAGCCACCTTCATCAGTAATCTTGGCAAGATCTTCTGGATAACTTGCTGCAACTTCTGCATCAGCACTTGCTGCTTCTCCTTGCACATTTTTGTTACAGAGATGGCTTCTTTTCTTAAAACAACCTACCTAACTTTAAACTTTTCTTCTGCAGCTTCCTTACCTCTCTCAGCTTTCATAGAACTGAAGGAGTTAACAGCCTTGCTCTGGATTGGGCTTTGGCTTAAGGGAATCATGTGATCTTATATCCAGATCACTAAAATTTTCTCCATCTCAGCAATAAAGCTGTTTCACTTTCTTATCATTCATGTGTTCACTGGAGTAGCACTTTTAATTTTCTTCAATAACTTTTCCTTAGCATTCACAGCCTGGCTTGGTGTTTGGCACAAGAGGCCTAGCTTTCAGCCCATCTTGGCTTTCAATGTGCCTTTCTCACTAAGCTTAAACATTTTTAGGTTTTGATTTAAAGTGAGAGACATGTGATTCTTCTTTCACATGAACACTTAGAGGCCATTGCAGGATTATTAATTGATATAATTTTAATATCGTTGTGTCTCGGAATAGGGAGGCCAGAGGAGATGGAGAAAGATGAGGGAATAGCTGGTAGTGGATCAGTTAGAACACATAAAATATATTTATCGATTAAGTTGTTCGTCTTATATGGATGCAGTTCACAGTGCCCCCATAACGATTACAATAGTAACATCAAAGATCACTGATCACAGATCATACTAGATATAATAATGAAAAAGTGTGAAATATTGTGAGAATTACCAAAATGTGACACAGAGACATGAAGTGAACACATGCTGTTGGAAAACATGGTGCCAGTAGACTTGCTCAACACAGGTTGCCACAAACCATCTATCTGAAAAACATACAATGTCAACAAAACACAATAAAGCGAAGTGCAATAAAATGAGGTATGCCTGAAATTGTTTAAATAATATATTGCTTTTGATATGTATATATTAATAATACCTCTAAAGTGTTTGAAATATTTTGTTCTCTTACGTAAATGAATGGTGTTAGCAAAACTAGGGAACATATTTTTTATCTTAGAGATTAGATTACCAGCATTTGAAGCAGTGAGGCTTCATTGTACATTTATTTTTATGTTACGTATTGCTTGGTATTTGTTCCTATGGCCTTTCATGTATGTGTGTTCTGCCTTCCATATTAAACTGGGAAATCCTTGTGGGACAGAGATTTGTCTTCTTTGTCTTCTGGACCCCAAGTATTCACAAATCAGTATTAGCACACAGTTATTAATGTGTTTATTCTTCCTTTTTTTTTTTTCTGAGAGAGTCTTGCTCTGTCGCCCAGGCTGGAGTGCAGTGCATGATCTCGGCTCACTGCAACCTTTGCCTCCTGTGTTCAAGCGATTCTCCTGCCTCAGCCTCCTGAGTAGCTGGGGTTACAGGCGCACACCACCACACCTGGCTAATTTTTGTATTTTTAGTAAAGACAGGGTTTCACCATGTTGGCTAGGCTGGTCTTGAACTCCTGACCTCAAGTGATCCACCCGTCTTGGCCTCCCAAAGCGCTCAGATTACAGGCGTGAGCTACTGTGCCCAGCCAGTTATTGATGTTTATTAACTAATGCAAGACAGGGGATACCAAACCGTAACAGGAATGTGTGATTTGTTCCTATGCCACCAGTCTGGAACTCTCTGTACTTATCCTCAAGGAGAGTGAGATATGTGGTTGGTACTTGGGGGACAGAGTAAAGAATTGATACAATCCCTGTCCCTTATAGGGAGCTCCCAGCATCCTTGAGGAGCAAAGACAAGCATAAAAGAAATCATTGGGAAGTGATATAAATGACCAAGCTTCATGATGACCAGAAGTTGAAAGTAGGGATTAGGTTGGGAGAAGTGCATTCAGGTCCCGCTGGAGCTCTTCTTGCACTGTGTGACCCTCAGTTTATCCTATCCCTATTTTATAGCTGTGGAACTTTGGGGAGGAGGGGGAACCTTTTGCCTTCAGGACCACTGAATACCAGGACCAATATTGCTTTCTTTTCTCCTTCCTTCTAGGATGTCAAAAGTACCCTGGAAAAGTAAGTGATTGTTGTATCTCTCTGAGTGAGTTAGGTCTTGGCTTAGAGAGGAGGGGTACAGTCAGGAGTTTGGGTTGGGGGTGAGGTTGGGAAAGTCATGTAGTGTGTCTGGGCAGGGTATGGGAGAATGTTCATTGTGCCCATGAAGCCAGTTAGAGAACAAATTATTGGGAATAATAATCCCTTTTCCCCTTTGAACATCAGGACTTCTTGAGAAGGAGAATGATAAGGTAGAATCAGATTCTACTTGTGCCAGTGGGTGGAATTGTGTCCAAACAAGATGGCAGGAGGAAGGGGTTGGGAGAGCAGGGAGGGCAATCATCCATTTGCATGAAATACAGGAATATTCCTAGAAAGTTCGGAGGCTCACTCTCAACGATCTGTCCACGGGATCATAAGGCTCTCCTTGGATTAGTAAAAGAAATCAACAGGTGAGCTTTTCAGGGAGGAGGAAGAAAGTGGGAAGATGGAGAATTTTAATTTCTCCCTAAAAATGTTAACATCTGAATAGTCACTTGGCTGGAGCTTCTCCCTAACCCTGCCCTTTCTTCCCCTATCTCCCTATCCCTCCTAGATGTGAAAAGGTGAAGACCATGGAGGTGACTTCAGTATCCATAGAGCTGGAAAAGAACTTCAGCAATTTTCCCCGACAGTACTTTGCCCTAAGGAAAATCCTTAAACAGCTAATTGGTGAGTTGTTCCCAAAAGGAAACTAGAAGAAACCACTAGAGAGAAGAAAGTTTTTAGGTCCTACCTTATATGGGTTTCAGTTATCCTATGTCTCACTTTTCTTACTCCCACACACACCTACCCCTTTATCTGGCTTTTAGTCTCACCCTGAGTCACAGAACTTGGAGTGAGAGGAAGCCTTAAGCGTTATCTACTCTTAGGTCCATTCTTTTCTAAATAGAGACCCAGAAAGGTTAAATAATTTGCCAAAGTCATCGGGTAGAGTGGTTATATAATTTACCATGTAAACTTGCATAACCTTCAAAGGCCGGGTGCGGTGGCTCACATCTGTAATCCTAGCACTTTGGGAGGCCAAGGCTGGTGGATCACTTGAGGTCAGGAGTTCGACATCAGCCTGGCCAACACGGTGAAACCCCATCTCTACTAAAAATATAAAAATTAGCCAGATGTGGTGTTGGGCGCCTGTAATCCCAGCTCCTCTGGAGGCTGAGGCAGGAGAACTGCTTGAACCTGGGAAGCGGAGGTTGCAGTGAGCTGAGATCACACCACTGCACTCCAGCCTGAGGGACAGAGTGAGATTCCATCTCAAAAAAAAAAAAAAAGAAAGAAACTGAAAGGGAGTGTCATTATATTAATGTGAATATGCAGGGAAAATAGTCATAAACCAGGCCAGTTCCTGGAAAACACACATGGTCACCCTATCCCTAGACCATATGCTGTCTTGCTCGGCATCCTTCTTAACACTTTCCGTTTTTTTCTGCCCCTCAGACTACACCTTGTACTTCTCTACATAGTGAGATAAATGATAATGTCAGAGGGAGATGAAGAGAGGACCAGGCGGGAACCTAGATTACCAGCCACTGCAGACTCAAGAGATTATTATCTGTTTACTTTAGGGTCAGGGTGAGAAGTGAGCCATTGCTTTCTCCCCTTCCTTAGGTGACACCATGGATTGAGAAAGTTAACCAAACCAGGTTGTTCTGGGGACCTTTAAGGGACCAGGCTCTGTAAAGGCAGGCTGGAAGAGTGAGGCAGGGGCATTTAGCTATTCCCATCCTCATCTAGCTCCCCACTCTGGCTTCTCCCGCCAGCGGATGTGACCCTGGACCCTGAGACAGCTCATCCTAACCTAGTCCTGTCAGAGGATCGTAAGAGCGTCAAGTTCGTGGAGACAAGACTCCGGGATCTCCCTGACACACCAAGGCGTTTCACCTTCTACCCTTGCGTCCTGGCTACTGAGGGTTTCACCTCAGGTCGACACTACTGGGAGGTGGAGGTGGGCGACAAGACCCACTGGGCAGTGGGTGTATGCCGGGACTCCGTGAGCCGAAAGGGCGAGTTGACTCCACTCCCTGAGACTGGCTACTGGCGGGTGCGGCTATGGAATGGGGACAAATATGCAGCCACCACCACACCTTTTACCCCTTTGCACATCAAGGTGAAACCCAAGCGGGTAGGCATATTCCTAGACTATGAGGCCGGCACACTGTCTTTCTACAATGTCACAGACCGCTCTCATATCTACACCTTCACTGATACTTTTACTGAGAAACTTTGGCCCCTCTTCTACCCAGGCATCCGGGCTGGACGGAAGAATGCTGCACCACTTACCATCAGGCCCCCAACAGATTGGGAGTGACAGGTTGGGATGTGGGAATGACTGGGGTGAGGCAGGGTCAAGTGCTACGGGCCTCCTTCCCGTGTCCTGCTGGAACGTCTTCGTGTCCACCTGGGTCCAGTCCTGAATCATCTTGGAGAAACACCTTGGTTTCTAGGATGGTTTTGTGTGGAGGGGGAGGTAGGACTGGGCTGGATGAGAGAGCACAGCTGTGACTTCCTCCTAACTGTCAGGGTGGGGAGCTGGTTCCCAGAGGATTGTCTACCCTGAAGTCCATCAGGTTTTCTGTTGCACAAGGACGGGTCAGGAAGGAAGGAGAGGCTTTTCCAGAAACAAAAAATCTGTGAGGGTCTGACTTGCTCAAACCAGAGGAGGAAACAGAAACCCCTGCACATCTTTTTAGGGGGTTCTTTGACCCAGGATAGTCTTGCTTCTTGAGGTAGATCACAGGGGTCTGTGTACCTCTGAATTCATGAGAGATGAATGACAGATGCTCTCATGGGTCTAGATATTGAGGAGTTTTTCTGAGGGCAGAGATTGGACATCAACAAGGCTAGAAGGGTCAGGGAAGTGGGCTAAAGGAACAGATTCCTAGAGATTAATGAAGAGGAGGGAGGTTTCTTTGGTCTTCTATTCCAAGGGTAAGGTTGCGATTATGGGTAAGATTGGCCAGAGGTAGGAATGTGGGGAGAAGGAGAGGCTGAAAAGAAAGCAGAGGAGAACCCAGGTCCCTGCCTCAGCCTTCAGCAGAGTTGGCTTATTGCCTGCCTCTA
The DNA here is from genome assembly GCF_000001405.40 of Homo sapiens. Classification (NCBI taxonomy): domain Eukaryota; kingdom Metazoa; phylum Chordata; class Mammalia; order Primates; family Hominidae; genus Homo; species Homo sapiens. The sequence goes on from NT_167245.2 coordinate 1,598,858, forward strand.
TACCAATAAGTCAGTCACCTTGCTCCTCTCCAGAGGCAAAGTGGAAGAGATCCTGCAAGACACATCTATCCTTTCACAGTGTTCCCAAGGGAACTTGGAAAGGAGAGTCAGGTATTAGAGGAAAGAGAAGGGTATTTGTATACAAAGCCCTGGCCTTAAAGAATGTTACTTAGTAGCTACTCCCAAATTGTCAGCCTTCTTACCTGGCCAAGGTGTCCAAGCCAGAAAGGAAAAAAGGTTATGGAGTCTTTCTCACCCTAAGGACAGGGTGGAAGAGGGTGGTATATAGGGAAGGGCCAGATAGGCAACTTCATTTGGCTTGTGTGCATCTGGCCTGGAACTGGTGTTAAGCCAGGCTTTTGCTTGTTTGTTGCCATCCCTCACCCTTTGCCATTTCCCTTTTCAGAGAATGTAAATGATTTTCATGTTAGGCCAAAATAAACAACTTATAGGGTACATATGTTGTCATAAAAGGTAAAAGTGATGCATGCCAAACCAAACTAAACCAATTTGGATTATCTGCTATTCGGGTAATCTTCACAGAAATGACTGAGAGAAGAATCTGCAGTTTACTGAGGGCATTTCAGTTCCTCCTACCACCTCAACAGGACTTTGTCCAGACTCTCCTCCTCTTACCTTTGTGCCTTGACTGTGGTTCTTTGTGGCAAGATACTTTGGTTGGTTAAAATAATATGGAACAAAGGATCCACTGAAGTGATCTCTGTGTTGTGTGGTAATTTGGTGACAGCCTTGTACTGATGTGTAAGAATCACTGGGTGTTAGACATGCATGTTCCTGGGTCTCACCCTTAGTGGTTAGTCAAGGTCTGGGGTGGGCCGGACATCTACATTTTATTTATGAGACAGAGTCTCGTTCTGTCGCCCAGGCTGGAGTACAGTGGTGATCTCAGCTCACTGCAACCTCCGCCTCCCAGGTTCAAGCAATTCTCCTGCCTCAGCCTCCAGAGTAGCTGGGATTACTATGGACTATAGCCATGCACCACCACACCCGGCTAATTTTAGTGGAGACAGGGTTTTGCCATGTTGGACAGGCTGGTCTCGAACTCCTGAACTCAAGTAATCTACCTGCCTCAGCCACTCAAAGTGCTAGGATTACAGGTGTGAGCCACCGTGCCCAGCCTACCTCTACATTTTAAACACACCACTCTCATTTGAGTCCGAAAACCCTTGTGAAACTAGTTCCAGAGGAGGTTTCAGCCATGTCCTTCCTCCCAGCTGGAGCCCTGCTTGTCTGTCCCCGCCTGGCACTGGGTCTGAAATTGGAGAGAAGTCATCCTCTCCTGACTTATGCTGCCCTCCCCATCTCAGGGTTCATTGATCTTCTACCCCTCCAATTCATGTCCCTCTGCTTCTGACTTCAGTAACTGATAGTCACTATGAGTCACAGGACACCAGACAGAAGAACTGGAAGATAGAAGAGGTCAGAGGGAGGGGTGTGAGGTGAATGTCAGTGTGGGGAGTGGGGTGAAGTTTCAGGGGCAGGGGATGCTGTTGACAGATTTCTGTGCTGTACCTAAGCCTAGGAGTTAGAAACCATTCACTCAGAAAGTGAGGATCACCTACTGTGTGTCCAGCACTGCATAACAGGAAGTGTGTTTCTTTGGTAGGTGGAATAGTAGGAGTAAACTGTGCTTTCTGAGGACCGGGAGTCCTTTTCCCTCCCTCCAGCACCCTCATGATCCTTCCCACTTTCACCCCCACTGGCACCAGTGCTTTTTTTTAATGTATTACCTCTGTGCCTTCCGTCTGTAGATCTTACAGGCATCTGCCTCGGACCTCAGGAGAGTAGGGCAGAAGCTCTAGCTGGGTATAAATTGCACATAACCATCTCCCCAACGTAGCTACATAAAGAGACCAGCCTTCTGTCCTGAAAATGGCCGATTTAAGATCCTCACCTGCTCCACTAGGTCTCTAGGTGATATAATTGGTCATGAGCTTGAGGAAGACAAAAGCACTGAAAATTCATAAAGGGACCCTGGGCATGGATTGCTGGGGTTGTGTTTAGAAACCGATGAGTTTGTGAGGCCTCCGGGAGGCTCCCGAGGGCGCGGGGACTACGTTTCCCAGGAGGCCTCGCGCGGACGCCCGGGCGGGGCTGTGCGAGGGGTGGGGCTGCGGGAGGCCCTGGAGCGCGGCGGTGATGGCGGGGCCGGTGAAGGACCGCGAGGCCTTCCAGAGGCTCAACTTCCTGTACCAGGTGAGTCTGCGACAAGGGCCCCACGGGGACGGTGCTCGGCGTCCCAGAGTGACTGCTCCCCTCCCGCAGGCCGCCCATTGTGTCCTTGCCCAGGACCCCGAGAACCAGGCGCTGGCGAGGTTTTACTGCTACACTGAGAGGACCATTGCGAAGCGGCTCGTCTTGCGGCGGTGAGACAGCCACGGGGCGGGCGGCGGGCGGGACGCGGGAGGAACGCGAGAGGGAGCGCGGGCGCCAGACCACTATCCTCCTCCGCCCCCAGGGATCCCTCGGTGAAGAGGACTCTCTGTCGAGGCTGCTCTTCCCTCCTCGTCCCGGGCCTCACCTGCACCCACCGCCAGAGACGTGAGTGCTCCAACGGAGGTGGAAGACTGCGGAGCATTGGGGGCGCGGAGGGGGGCGGGGTGGGGGGCGGGCACTGGAGGCCAACAGCGCCTTTCTCACTGTAGATGGATGTTGGGTGTGGGATTCGCAGGAGTCTTCCTTCTTCGGGTTTGGATTAAGTTCCTAACGCCACTTGCACAAACTAGGGTTTGGGCTCGGCTGTTTTTTTTTTTTTTCTTCCAGTGTGGGCAATAAATAATAACTTTTAAGAGGCAACCCCACCCATGCACAATAATAGATGTTGTTCGGCTTTGTGGAGGACGATTCCCATCACCATTCATTTATTAAGCAAATACTTATTTTCTAAAATGTGTCAGGTACTGTGCTAGATTCATTATTCTCATTGAAATTACGGTCTGATGGGACAGACTAAGAAACAAAATGGTGTAGAAAAAGATTAACTGGGGGAGTAGAATGCTCACTTACTCATGCCAGTGGTGGCGAAGTTTATGATAAGCAAAGGGAGTGAGAGATGGAAATTCTAGGCATGTGTGCAGACTCTGAGACAAGAGAGCTTGTGGTGCTGTCAAAGAAATGAGAGTTCAGGAGGCTGGAGTTTGAGGTAGGAGGGCAAAACATGAGACTGGAGGGGGAAACAGGCCAGTTCTTGAAGTCTTGTTAGGGAGTTTGAACTTTATCTTAAAGAGTTCCAGGAAATCGATGGAGCTTATGCCGAGGCCTGACACCATCAAATGTGCATTCAAATTGGGGGTGTGGTGGGGGAGCGGGGATACCTACTGAAAAACACTGGAGGCAAAACTGGCAGCAAGAGACCGTTACTTCTAAACGTGGACAGTCTTTTTCCCATGTTCACCCTAGGCTGCAGGGGACAGCGCTGGACCGTACAGACCTGCCTAACATGCCAGCGCAGCCAACGCTTCCTCAATGATCCCGGGCATTTACTCTGGGGAGACAGGCCTGAGGCCCAGCTCGGGAGCCAAGCAGGTGAGAGGTGAGGGAGAAAATGGAGGACACCCCAGAGGATAGGGACAATGGAGAACGTAGAGTGAAGAGGACACATGGACAGGTTCTGGGTTGGTGTGAGAAGTACCACAGTCAGAAAACTAATTCTGTTTCTCTGATTCTGCTCATTTACTCAGATTCCAAACCACTACAACCCTTGCCAAACACAGCCCACTCCATTTCAGACCGCCTTCCTGAGGAGAAAATGCAGACTCAGGGTTCCAGTAACCAGTGATGGATTCACCCCATCTCCCAAATAAAGTTTACTTGTTTTACATTCCATGATTCTGTTCTGTGGGTATTTCAACTCTTAATTCCATTTTCTTCTGTTTCTGTCTGTGTTTCTTGGTCACCTTTGTAATCCCACCATGCAGGGAGATCGTGATTTCCATAGACCACTTGGCCTCACTCAGCAGCTTGCATTTCCAAGGCCATGGCCCCAGTTCCCTATCAATGTCCTGAGCCACCTTAGGGCATTCCATGTTTGGGCAGCCATAATTGCTGACTGAAGAGCTGGAGAGAATGATGCCACTGCTGCTGTTTTTAAACAAGGGGAGAAATATGGGGCAGCGGAGAGTGTTTGTATCCTCTAGGCCCACTCATAGTCAGAAAAGACTCAGGTCTTTTCCCAGTCTCAAAGTTGTCTTTAATAAAATTCTGATAAAGGAAATGGCGCAAACCTGAACTAACAAAGTCAAAGATGCTAACAAAGGACACCGACAGACATTTTGCAATTATGTCCCATAGGTAAACTCTCAGAGTTTTCTTAAGAATAAACAACTAAAATGTTTTCTTCGATATCCCTAGAAAGCCTACTGAAGTACAGAATTCTTAGACTGACCTTTTTGCTAAATGCCAGCTAATAAGGTTATACCAAAAGCATACAAACAAAATTTACTACTTCCAGAATGCAGTTTTCTTTTATTTCTCTTATAAACCCTGTGTTTGCTTATCGATAGCTGTATAAAAAAATCACTTCATCATGTTGGAGCTTAAAACATAATGATTTATTATTTCCTCTGGTTCTGTGAACTAGGAATTCTGAAAGACTTTGGCTGGGTGGTTCTCCTGTTACATATGAAATCAGCTTAAATAGCTGCATTTAGCTGCTATCTCGTAGGTGGTCTGGAAGACCCAAGAAATTTCACTCACGTGTTTAGCACCTCATTGCTTCTCCAAGTAGCCTTGCTCCCTCGCTAGCTTTGATGTTCCCACAGCATGGCTGACTCAGGGTAGTTGTATTTCTTACATCCCCTCTGGCTTCTACAAAAGCATCCCAATATGTAAGTGTTTGGCTGGATGCTGTGGCTCACACCTGTGATCCCAGCACTTTGTGAGGCCGAGGCAGGTGGATCACTTGAGTTCAGGAGTTTGAGACCAGCCCGGACAACATGGTGGAACCCTGTCTGTACTTAAAATACAAAAAAATTAGCAGGGCGTGGTAGCAGGCACCTGTAATTCCAGCTACTCGGGAGGCTGAGGCAGGAGAATCACCTGAACCCAGGAGGCAGAGTTGCAGTGGGCCAAGATCGCGCCACTGCATTCCAGCCTGTGTGACAGAGTGAGACTGTCTCAAAAAAAAAAAGTGTTTATCGAGCCTCTGTTGGGGTCACACTTGCTAATGTTCCCTTGGCCAAAGCAAGGCACAGTGCCAATGCCAGATTCAATGTGGAAGGGGCTACACTGGAGTTTGAACGCTGGGAGGTTCATTAGTTCCCTGGGGATCACCAGTGTAACAATCTACCACAGGGGTCCCCAACCCCCAGGCCCTGTGGACTGGTACTGGGCTGTGTCCTGTTAGGAACCAGGCTGCCTAGTAGGAGGTGAGCAGTGGTGGAAGGGAGGGATGGGCCAGCATTACTGCCTGAGTAATCAGTGGCAGCATTAGATTCACATAGGAGCATGAACCCTACTGTGAACTGCGCATGCAAGGGATCTGGGTTGCATGCTCCTTATCATAATCTAATTGCTGATGATCTGGGGTGAAATAGTTTCATCCCAGAACCATACCCTTCCTGCTCCATGGAAAAATTGCCTTTCACAAAACCAGTCCCTGGTTAACCTGTCCCTAGTGCCAAAAAGGTTGGGGATCACTCATCTACCACATTCTTGTTTTGCCTTTGTCCCTGACTTGGTCTCTCCACTGCCTCCTTCACATGTCAGTAAATTATTTGCGTAGAAAATACTAAACAGTGTACATGTAAGTAAATGTTTCTGAGTCATCCTTTGACATTTTATTTCTGGAAATAGTGCCTACCTGGGTCAACTTTCAGTCCAACAAAAATGTGTAGCCTGAAAGTAACACCTCGTGCATACCTGGGTCCTTTGCATCCTCAGCTCACCTTCCATGGCTCCTCCAGTAAGTTTAATTTGGGATGACTGAGCTCGACTCTTGCACACTTAATCTGATCTTTGGCTAAGTTTGTCTTGAGTGTGTTATGATTGCATGTGACTGAACATGTCTACAGTGGGATAGCAGTGGGGAAACTGAGTTTCGATTTCATGGCTCAGTCACTAAGTGATTCCTCTCATGTGGGAGATCATGGGAATCAGGTCCCAGTCAGGATGAGCGGCAGACAAAACAGTATCTGGAATCTGGTTCACTTGTGAGTCTTTGTGGTTTCTTTATTTGTTGTGGGTTTCTATCAATATATAACTCTAAAGATCACAGCCCTCTTCCTCTTTCCACAGCCCTCTTCCTCTTTCCTTTTTCATGTTTAATTATAAATATATGATTACATATATAACATTTATATTCTATACATTGATACATGATTCTATGTATTAATACAGATACATCATAAAGATATATAATGTGATAGTGGCATATTATATGCAAAAATGGATTTCCTAGATGAAAGATGAAAATAAACTGAATCCCTGGAATGCAGTAGCTTTCTCAAGTGTTTCTAGAAGTTCAATAACTCAAAATTTATGCCCTTTTAGGACTCTAAATAAAATTAAAGGAGAGAGAAGAAACTTAGGTTATTCAAATCGAATCAAGAAATGAGGTCTTCCAGTAACCATAGAAACTATGCCTTAGTCACTCCCTGAACATTAAGTTCATTTAGCACTTTCAAAACTAGTGAAAACCAGTATCGTTATTGTCAGGAGGCAAAAGAGAGAAGGATTGAGAGACTGTTATTTTGAATTCAAGTAGCAAAAACGTTAGAAAAGACAGGTCTTGAACATTGAGGAATCTGAGTTATTGTCACCATAATAAATCAGTGTGTATCTCTAATTTAAAACAATTATATCACTATGAAGATAGTGCCTATGCTTAGTAACTGCTTAATAAATTTTCAAAACTATTTTGAAATATAGATTCACTGGAAGCTGCAAAGAGCATACTGAAATGTCCCCTACATCCTCACCCAGTGCCCCCCAGTGGTTCCTCTTTTTATTGTGGTAAAATATACTTAACTTAAAATGTATCATTTTAGCCATTTTAAAGTGTACAATTCAGTGGCATTAAGTACATTTGCAATATTATACAATCACCACCACTATTTAGTTCCAGATCTTTTTCATCATCCCAAACAGAAACCTGTTTCCATTAAACAGTCACTTCCAATTTTTCCCTATTCCAGCCCTTAGCAACCACTAATCTGTTTCTGCCTTTACGGATTTGTCTATTCTGTATATTTCATATAAATGGAATCATACAATTTGTAGCTTATTGTGTCTGATTTCTTTCACTTAGCATAATGTTTTCAGGGTTCATCCGTGCTGTAGCAAATGTCAGTATTTCATTCCTTTCTATGGCTGAATAGTAGCCGATTATATGGATATACCACATTTTGTTTATCCATTCAGCCATCAATGGACACTTCCGTTATTTCTGCTTTTTGGCTATTGTGAACAGTGCTGCTATGAACATTTGTGTACAAGGTTCTGTTTCAGTATCTGTTTTTAGTTTTTTTGTTGGAGGATATAGGTGCGGTTCGTTTGATAGTTTTATATTTTAACTTTTTGAGGAACTACCAAACTGCTCTTCATGGCTGCTGCACCATTTTGCACTCCCACCAGCAATGCACATGGTTCTAATTTCTCTCCATCCTAATCTACACTTACTTTCAGTTTGTTTTGTTGTTTATTATAGCCATCCTATAATAACATTCTAGTGGGTATAAAACCGCTAGAAGTCAATCCAAAACACTAGACAAAAACCACAAAACCTCTTTGTGGTTTTGATATACAGTTCTCTAATGAGTAATGATGTTGAGCATCTTATGTGTTTGTTGGCTATTTGTATATTTTCTTTGGAAAAAGGTCCTTTCAAGACCTTTGCCCATTTAAAAAAAATAGGTTGCCTTTATGTTTTGAGTTTTAGGAATTCTTTATATATTCTGAATACTAGACCCTTATCAGATATATGATTTGCAAACATTTTCTTTCATTCCGTGGATTGTCTTTTCACTCTCTTGATAGTATATTTTGATGTATAAAAGCTTTTAATTTTCATGATCTTGCAGCTACTTCCTCAAGAACCAAACTGTCTCTCTCAGACCTTATCTTCTGCCTCCATCCTGATTCTTTTTGGAGCTTGTTCTAACCCTGGCCCTGCCCACTGTGACCTTGACACTACTTAATTAGGACCCCCTCACCTCCTTTCAGACCTGGTGCCTCCAACTATATCCTGCCTCACTCTGCTTTGAAACAGGAAAGTGTTCCCCCTGGACTCTTAGAGTAGATGTGGGTATCTGAGTTTCTCTTCCTAAAATCCTTTCCTTCTTAGAGCGATCAATGAGCCCTGTTGAATGGCCTATGGAAGGGAAATGAATGTTCTAAATTTCCTCTGACCCTTTTCTTCGGACCCCCAAAGGCATTCCCCACCAGCACCCACTATGACCCCATCTCTGACTGTAATACCACCCTGAGGTGCTGGGCCCTGGGCTTCCACCCTGAAGAGATCACATTGATCTGGCAGCAGGATGGGGAGGACTATACCTAGGACATGGAGCTTGCAGAGACCATTTTATCTTTTTGACAACTTTTTTTTTTTTTTTTTTTTTTTGAGACAGAGTCTCACTCTTGCCCAAGCTGGAGTGCAGTGGCGCGATCTTGGCTCACTGCAAGCTCCGCCTCCCAGGTTGATGCCATTCTCCTGCCTCAGCCTCCTGAATAGCTGGGACTACAGGCACCCGCCACCATGCCCGGCTAATTTTTTGTATTTTTAGTAGAGACGGGGTTTCACCGTGTTAACCAGGATGGGCTCGATCTCCTGACCTCGTGATCCACCCGCCTCGGCCTCCCAAAGTGCTGGGATTACAGGCGTGAGCCACCGCACCCGGCTGACAACGTTTTTTAAGCTCTCTGTACTGTATATACATCTAATTCAGTGTTTTGGACTGCCATAGATTATGCTTTTAAAACATTTTGTTTATCCCTTTTCTTATGGATAGTCAACTAGTTTGCTTCCAACTATATGTTACCATATATATCTCTGTAGTAGAATTCTAGACCATGGACCTATGAGAGTGGGCCTCTGGAGTACTTAGCCACAATTACAAATTGGATTCTAGGTTTGTGTGTATGGAAATTACCTGAGGAAAGTCAAATTTTCCTTCAGCTTCCACAGTCTATACTCCCTAGCAATATACCAAGTTCATCTTTCTTTACATGCTCAGTTGATTTTAACTGACTTCTTAATCTTTGTCACAATCTAATCAGTATCAACTCTTTCCCTTTCTTGTTGTAACTTGAGTTTCTCTTATTGCCAGTGATACTGTGTAGCTTCAAATAAGTCATCATCATTCATTTTTCTCTTTCTTTGAACTGCCTATTCAAATGTTTCCCCCTATTTTTCCACTAGATTTCATGGTGTTCTTTTCTTTTTGCTTTGAAGGGTGTTATGGGCTAAATGTTTGTGTTCCCCCAAAATTCATATGTTGAAGCCCTAACCCCCAGTGTGGTGGTATCTGGAGGTGGGACCCTGGGGAGGTAATTAAGTTTAGATGAGGTCAGGAGGGGGGGGCCTCCGTGATGGGATTAGTGCTCTTTTAAGAAGAGGGAGATTGGAGCTCTCTTTCCCTACCTTGTGAGGACACCGAAAGAAGGCAGTCATCTGTATGCCAGGAAGAGGATCCTCACTGGAACTGAATCTGCTGTCACCTCCAAAACTGTGAGAGATAAATGTCTGTTGTATAAGCCACCCAGTCTGTGGTATTTGTTATAGCAGCCATGGCTGACTAAGACCTAAGGTTTTGGTTGTTTTGTTTGTTTGTTTGTTTGTTTTCTTGTAATGGAAAAGAATTCTTTTAGAGTTTTACCTGGTACATTTGTGCCTTTAATACATTTTGAGTTGATTTCTACAGATTGTGTGAAGTAATCTGCTGGTTCTCTAAGGCTTCAGTGAATGCCTCCTCTCCAAGCTGCACTTGAGTCCTCCCATCTGCCTGGGCCTGGAGCTTCTTATGAAGCCTCAGCTGCAAGCAGTGGTCAGTGGCAATTTCTTTCAGGAGAGAGCCTGCCTTCAGCCAGTCTCCTGACAAACAGCATGCTGGAAGCATCAGCCCTTCCCACTGCCTTTGCTTTCTGTTGATGACCCATTCTTCATGGAGAGTGGTGTTTCTCTTGTCCTTAACTCAACTATAACTTTTCTCTTTTTACATTTTTCTTATTGCCATGTAATTTGGGGCAGAGAGTCTTTGCCTAAGCATGAACTTATTGTGCCATCCTGACCAAAGCCTGTCATTTAGGGATGTGTCCTGCTTTGTGGTGGGTCATTCTGAAATTACCCGTTTCAGCCCAGTGGAATTTAACCAGAACTGTGGGATTGAAACTGTCTCTTGAAGAGGAACTGTGGGGAAAATGAACAAACCAACATTCAGGCTCAGTTGGAGTATGCTTTTAGGCTTTCCCAGGTTATGGAGTATAAAGCTAATTGTTGATTCATTCCTTCTTGGCTTTACAGTTGTAGAAAGAGATCTGGCCTAAAATCCCTATAACTGGGACAGGCTGAGTCCAGGCTCTGACATTGGCCAGCTGTGCGACTGGGCAATATTTTGTTTCACTCTCTAGCCTCATTTTCAATAGGTAATACATGCAAGTAGCAGGAAATTCAGAAAGTATGCAAATAGATAGGGGAATTAATTTTCCAGCTACCCATTTTATCTTCCAGAGGAGAATACGGTAAAAATATTCTGGATATTTTTGTAAATATATATAAACAAGTTGGTATTGATTTAAATTTTTCTTTCATACAAATGGTAGAATACTATTCTATGGGTCATATACTGCTTTTTATTTAGCAAAAAAACTTAGTGCTCTTACCATTTTAGTATCTAACATCAGCTTCATTATTTTTCATCACTGCATAATATTCTATTGTGTGGGTATACCATAATTTATTTAGTCTGCTCCCTGTTGAGTATTTACCTTCTTTCAAATGTTCTGCCCATAAACAATATGTAAAGCTTAGGTATGGCTATACATCCAGCATGGATGAGTCTTCAAAACATACTATTCAGTGGCTGGGTGTGGTGCCTCACGCCTGTAATCCCAACACTTTGGGAAGCTGAGGCTGGTGGATCACCTGAGGTCAGGAGTTCGAGACCCACCTGACTAACATGGAGAAACCCCATCTCTACTAAAAATACAAAATTAGCCTGGCTTGGTGGCACATGCCTGTAATCCTAGCTACTCAGGAGGCTGAGGCAGGAGAATCGCTTGAACCCGGGAGGCAGAGGTTGCAGTGAGCCGAGATCACGCCATTGCTCTCCAGCCTGGGCAACAAGAGCGAACTGTCTCAAAACAAAAAAAAAAAAAGAAAAAAATCAAACCAAAAAAAACATACTATTCAGCAAAACTCCAGATACAAAAGAACACATATTGTATGATTCCATTTATGTACTGTTCAAAAACAATAAAATATGAATATACATACAGACATATAATTTATTATTTAGTGATTTCTTCTTAGGTGGGAAAACTTTGAAAATAAAGCAAGAAAACATCGCCTGAAAATTCAGGGTAGTAGCCAATTGGGAGGGGATGTGATTGCTGGAGTAGAGGCACCTGGGCTGCCAGCAACGTTTAATTTCTCAAGTAAGATAGTAGGTACATTGCATGTATGCTTCATTTAGCTGTACTTTTTTGCATTTATGTCATGTTATTGTTCACGATAAAAACGACTTTAAAGTGAAGTGAAAAGAGTACTATGCTTAAGCTTTTTGCTCACATTTTATTTTACACCTGGGTCTTTATCCACATGATAAATTTCTAAAGGTTAAGTTGCCAGATCAAATACTTTTGCAGTTAAATTTTGATGGAAAATACCAGTTGCCTTTCACAGAAATTACATCAATTTACTCCCCATACAAAACAAGACACAAAATAGTGTCTGATTACCTTACCTTCACCAGCACAATAAGGCATCATCAAATCTTTGGGTTTTGATCACCTGATAAATAACGGTTTCTGTGTATGTGTGTGTGTGTGTGTTTCTGTTATAGGGCCCTAATAATGATTTATGTAAATGTGTACAGAAGTAACTCTTTCAAGTGGTCAGGCTCCAGTGGGTGGGAAACACCTTTATAAAAAAATTGAGAAATTTTGTAGTCTTATTCCAGCCTAATGTAAAAAAAAAAAAATCAAGAACTGCACAAATGTGATTTATGGGTATTGTATCCCAAACGGTCCCATCTCTACTTAACAAATGGATTGACCCATCCTGATATGTCTATTTTTTCATTTCCTAAAACAAATGAGGCTTAACTTCTCTGACCCAAATTGTCCTTGCTGTGCTTCAAGGGGGACCTAGGCAAGGATGTGGGTCAGGGGCAGATGGACTGAAAACGTGTGCAGTGAGTGAGCCAATCATGTTTTAGGAAGATTAAAGCTCCTGAGACAGAGGACTCCTAGGCAGAGATGGCAGCGAGCTCCCCAGCTCAGGCTTTTAGCACCGCCAACTCTCTGGTAAAAGCAGCTGCACCCACCTCTTCCCTTCACTCTCACCTCCTATGTTCTTGGGCATCAAACGTAATTTTGCTTCAGAGCTCAAGGGCAGTGCAGCCTAAGGAAAACTTGTAAGAATTCCTCAGTCTTGAAGTCCTTTGCCTGAAACCAAGGAGAGATCAAGGCCTAGGGAGAAGAAGGGGAACATTCTCTTTGGAATGCTGGGTATTTCTAAGCAGGAGTAGGGGGCCCTGCCCTGGAGGGAAGGTTTGCCTTGAACTGCTCTGCCTGCACCCTGCCCCAAACTCTGCACTCTCCAGGTCCTAATCCAAACAAGTACAACAGGAGGCTGAGTTTGCAGTGGAGAGTGAAATAGCATGATAGTTACAAAATTGTCAGGACTTGTATGTGGTTGGATGCTATTGTTTTTATCTTCTTTCATTCACTGTTTTCTGCAGTATCACTTTTGCCCAAATATATTTAAAGAAAAGAATTGTATCTCTACTTTCAATTTAAAACTAGTATTTTTCTAATACATTAAAATAACAAAGGAACCAATTATATATTAATATAAACAAAAAACTAAATTAAAAACTAACTTGGGCCATGTGTGTCTATAATCCTAGCACTTTGGGGGGCTGAGGCTAAAGAATCGCTTGAGGCCAGGAGTTTAGAACCAATCTGGGCAACATATTGAGGCGCTATCTCTATAAAAATTAAAAAAAAAATCAGCCGGGCCTAGTGACATGCATAGTCCCAGCTACTTGGGAGGCTGAGGCAGGAGGATCGCTTGAGCCCAGGAGTTCCAGGTTACAGTGAGCTATGATCTCGCCACTGCACTCCAGCCTGGGCAACAGAGTGAAATCCCGTCTTTAAAAATAAGAAAAACTAATCTGTCATTCTGCCAAATAAAGATGCCTCTGGGAAATCCAACTCTGAGTGATGTCTCAGCTATCTTCTACACATCAGTTCTCAAGTGAACCCCCTTCCCTCAGGACATGTGGCAATGTCTGGATATATTTTGATGTTGTCACAATCAGGAAGGTGTTGGTGTTACAGGCATCTAGTGGGTAGAGGCTAGGAATGTTGCTAAACATCCTACAATTTACAGGACAACCTCCACAATAAAGAGTTATGTGGCCTGAAACATCAAGTACTCACTGTAACGCTGAGGTTGAGAATCCCTGCTCTACACAGATCCTCTGAGCCTGATGCTCCAGGCAGGCTTCCTCCCCTGTAATACCCACAACACCTGCATAAATTGCTGTGTTAGCTCTTATCACACTGCAAGGTCATTGCATTTATTGTCTCCTCTTTACAACTGTGGGTTCCTGGAAAGCAGGGGCTCTGTCTGATAGCTATGTTTTGTAACTATGTGTTTTATGCCTTATATTTTTCTCAGCACTTGAACATTGCCTGGCACATAATATTTGCTCCACAAATAACTGCCAGAGGCATGAGTTTAGTTTTGAGACACCTAGGAAACAGCAGAAATTAGCAATGATTAGTGAGATAAAGAGAAGGTTATTAATAAAGCCCTCCCTTTATTACATCGGTCCTTCCTAAAACCCCAGTGTGGATGGTAACATGATTACATCCATTTTATACATAAGTTAATTAATGCTTAGATAATTTACATGACGTGTCTAAGATCTCATGACTGGACAGCGGACTAGTTGAGACTCTCGCACAACTTATCTGACTTTAAAACTTCAATTCTCCTATTATTATGCAAAGACTGCCCCTTAAATATACTCCTACTAAAAGACTATGAGTGGCCGGGTGCGGTGGTTTGTGCCTGTAATCCCAGCACTTTGGAAGGCCAAGGAGGCCGGATCACTTGAGGTCAGGAGTTCGAGACTAGCCTGGCCAACATGATGAAACCCCGTCTCTACTAAAAACACAAAAATCAGCCGGGCGTGGTGGCGCATACCTGTAGTCCCAGTTACCTGAGAGGCTGAGGTGGGAGAATCGCTTGAACCCGGGAGGCAGAGATTGCAGTGAGCCGAGATGGCGCCACTGCACCACAGCCTGGGCGACAGAGCGAGACCCTTTCTCAAGAAAAAAGAGAAAAAGAAAGACCATGACAGACGCCTCTGCCTTCAAGGTGGCCAACTGGGCACAAAATCTTTCCTCCTTGACTCTTAAGATATTGTTAAAACGTTATTAGGGGAACTGAAATCCAAATTGTAAAGAAGGATGAGTCCAGTGGTGAAAATTTTCCACAAATATTAGAAATAGAAAAAAACCCTTACTGACCTATGAAAGAAGGCAGAAGTCCTAGCGCATAAGAAACGCTAGAGGGGGCTGTAGCCCAGAGAAAACCAATCAACCTACCAAATAGAGCCCCAGAAAGAAACCTCCTCCTCGCCCCTCCGCCTTCCTCTGTGTTCCTGCCGCTCCTCCATTCCTTCTTTGGAAGACGCAGCTCCTGCATTCCTTCTTTGGAAGACTCCCCCCTTCACCGAGGTTACCTACCAAATCCGCCATAGGGTGTGGTCCAGGGTCGAGTTATCACAGACCTGTCTCCCCAAGGTCCCCGCGTCGCGTTATCTAGGCAGAAGCGCTGACCCCGCATCCCTCCCGTCGGGACCCCACGCGCTGCCCCAGTGAAATGAAATCCTGGTGCTTGTGGCGTGCGCTGCGCGGTTCCACTCCGCTGTGCCTTCCTTTCCGCCCGCCCCCGACGGCTGGACGCCCCTCTGTCGATTGGAGCGGTCCTTAGTGCTACGTGTCCTGGGATCCCCAAAGTTGACCGCCCCCACAGGGTGTGCCAAAGCTCATCAAGCGCCATTCCAGTCTCAACCTTTATCTTTTACAATTTAAAATTTATTTATTATCCATGTAAGGAGAATAACTGGTACACTCAGCGCAGTTCTGCATATATATAGGCCATAAAAGGAAATGAAGCTTGCGTGACACTTTCCGTGAAAGCAATAGTACCGAACTACAAATCAAACTGCATCTTAGCCGATCTCCTGAAGAAGAGGAAAAGCCTTGCCAAATGCGTCTTCCCAGCAGGATGCAAACCTCCTTCAGCAAACACTGAGTAAATCTGGGAGTGCTGAGACATAGTACAATGCGAGTTTTCAGTGTAATTGAAAAAATTGAAAAAATTGAAAAAAAAATAACTAAATTAAGATTTTCGACTGTTTTCAAGGACAGTACTGAGGCAGCACGTTTGCAGAGTGATATTTTTCAAAAATGCTGTAAGAAACTATAAAATCAGCTGGAGATATTCTGTTGAAATGTGTTTTTCTACAAAGCAGAGTCAAAAATCACACGCTATGTAGTACACAAATAAAGTGGAAGCTGTCGATACACGTATAAATATAAAGGATTTTTGCTTACACAAAAAATATTCCAATGTCCCAATATGCAACATTGCTGAACAAATATGGAGCTAAACAAGTGGCTTCTAATGAATTATTCTAATAAATTTTACTCCGATAAATTACATACTTAAAATATTATATTTAAAAACAAACTGGAGAGCTGTAGAAGAAACCCTATTTATCCTCATGTGAAGTTTGAGATTTGTTTGTAATTTTTTTTAAATTAATGCAGGAGAGAAGTGCGTCGTTGAAACAACCACCTCGAGTAAAACAGCATTTCTTCTCACCACACAACAAAACAAAAACCCCACTTGCTGCATTTCAGTTTAGAATTTATTGTGTTCACTTTAAGCAGGGAATGTATCAAAACTCAAAATTTAGCAGACGTTTTAATGATTTAAGAACTATTATAGAAAATACTTTTTTTCCAGGAATAAGTTGCTATATCTTAATTACTAAGTAACCCCAATTCCTATTGCTTTTAGAACTTCCCAGTTTGCTTCAGAGTTCAACGGCCCAGTGTGCAAAACTGACTCGTGAATTTTGTAGGTGATGTGGATTCACCCTGTCTAGCAGGAGTCTGCAGCACTGGCTGAAAAAACTGTTTCTGTGGTGCCTGATGAGAGACTTATGCTTTTGGCAATTGCATACTTAGATACGTCACCCTGTAGAGCCTTCACTGCTTCCCAATCCACCCCTCACTCCCACCTAATCTCTGACCAGGAGTAAACCCTAAGATGAGCTTAGAGGCTCCTGTGGCTAAGGGCAGTGAAATCCACTAAAGTGTGTCAGGGCTGAGAGAATATCGGAATTCTGCAACTGTGCCCCAAATTCAGGATTCTCTACTTTCAGTTCATCGTGGCTTTTGTGGAGCAGGGCTACACATTGTGGGTAATCTGTGGGGTTTCAGTTACCTATTGCAAGACATTGTTTACTCTTCTCACTCCATGTCCTTTATATGGTGCAGTAAAACTCTAGTGGGGGCTGCTGGTGCTGGGTGTTGGCGGGGGCCTCCTACCCAGCAGCTGCTGCTGCTGAGCTCTGGAAGTTTGCTATGGGCCATGGATTGGGTAATGTGTGTCTAGGTTCTATGTAGGAAGGCTGACCACTTCCACCTGGAGCCATAGCTCAGGAAGGAGGCAGATGAAGCAGATGAATAATCACCAGCGTGTCTGGAAAGAGTGAGACACTCTGGAGACTCAAGGGACAGTGTTGGCGATTTATTGGAGGTTTGCAGTGTCACAATAGGAGGGTGTTTCAATAGGAGGAAAACATGGTCCAATTGAAGAAAGGGCCAGAAGGAAGAAAAGAGGAAGATGGGCTCCAGTGCTAGAAAAGAGAGACCAAATACAGTCGAAAAAGCAGAGAAATGTATTTTTCCTCAAGTTCTTCTGCTGTCACTTTCACTGCAGATCTCAGCTTTGCTCTTCCAGAGTCCCTCCTTTGGCACTGCACTGCAGCCCTCTAGCCGACCGAGGGCGGCTCCTGTTCTCTCTGCAGACTGCACATCCCTGTCCTCGCTCAGCGCTCCCCATCTGCTGTCGCTCCTTCCAAGTGCACGAATACTTAGAGCTTAATCCCCGCAAACCTAGTTTGCGTGACAGTGCCCCAAGCCGGGAGACCCACAGCTCCTTTCCCTCTGGACCTCTAACTGACCTGCAGCAGCGGGCTTAGTACTCAGCTCAGCACGCTTCTGGTCTCTGGTTCAGCCTTCTCTCCCACCTAGGCCTATGGAGCTACTCCATCTCAGGCTTCTGCTCTTGTCTGGGGTGCGAATCGTAGTGTGTGGCCACTTCCCCAGCTCAGATCATCATTGCCTGTCCCTGGGATTTCTGCCAAAATTTCCCAACACATTTCTTTGCCTTCAGTCTTGTTCTCCTCCAAAGACTGCCTGCAACCAGAGAGGTCTTTGTAAAGGAAAATGTCATCTGTCTCTCTCCTACTTCAAAACTTTCATGGTCCACATAATCATCTCGATTGACACAGAAAAGCATTTAACAGAATTCAACACCCTTTCTGATAAAAACATTCAACAACCTAGGAATAGAAGGAAACTACCTCAACACAATAAAGGCGATATATGAGCAGCCCATCACTAACATCATATTCAAGGAGAAAGAATGAGGAAGGCTTTTTCTCTACCATCAGAAACAAGACAAATATACCTATTCACCACATCTGTTCAACTTAGTATTGGAAGTTCTAGCCAGAGTAACTAGGCAAGAAAAATAAAGTAAAACACCCAAAATGGAAAGGAAGAAGTAGAATTATCTTTGTTAGAAGACAGCATGATCATATATGCAGAAAACCCTAAGGATTACACACACACACACACACACACACACACACACACACAGAGGAAGAGAGAGAGAGAGCACTAATAAACAAATTCAGCAAAGTTGCAGGATACAAAATCAATATGTAGCAGTCAGTTGTATTTCTATACCATGCCTTGCAACATGGTGTTTCTTCTAGTCCTGAAGAGGCAAGTTGACCCAGTCCAGGTAGAGCACCGACTTAGAAAGAGAAAGAAGGAAACAGCTGAAAAAATCTGAGAAGGCATATCAACTTGTGAGCCAAATATAAATCATAATGTGTGTTAGATTAACGAAATGTACTTTCTCATAGTAATACAGTATTTCTAAGTTCTGCTCAGATACTGTTACTGTGTATGTTTCTAGAAAACACAGCCCCAAATGTGCATAGTCTTGAATACAAAAGAATCAAAAGCCATCAATATGTGGTATAAATCCTTAAAGCATTTTAATTGCTAAAAATACATGCCAAAGTCACAGTAAACAACATTGCTCTGCAAACTATAAGATATAAATAATTTGCCTCTCTATAATAATTTTACTCACAAATTACTACCTGAGTAATCTCGTTAATCGTCCCTAATCTCATCCTAATCCCCAGAAACTGTGAGTGTTGCCTTATTTGGGAAAAAGGACTTTGTAAATGTGATTAAGAATCTTGAGAGAGATTATCTTGGATTTGCTGGGTGGGCCCAATATAATCACAGTGGTCCTTATCAGAGGAGGCAGGAAGTGTCAGAGTCAGAGGAGAAGGGAATGTGATGATGCCAGGAGAGACTGAAGTGATTCATTTTGAAGGTGGAGGAAGGGCTTACAAGCCAAGTAACATAAACAGCCTTAGAAGCTGGACAGGATTGGGGAATGGGTTCTCCCCTAGAGCCTACAGAAGGAACCAGCCCATCTGACATCTTGATTTTAGTCCACTGAAAGTAATTTTGAGTGAACTGAAGTCCACTCAAAATTATTTTAATTTGCTGATTTCAAGAGCGGTAAGTGAATACATATGTTTTATATTAAGTCACCAAATTTGTGGTAATTTGTTATAACAGCCATAGGAAACTAATGTACTACTTTGGTAGTCTGGAAGACAACCCTTCCAAGGATATCCATGTCAAATCCTTGGAACATGTAACTATTACTTTATATGACAAAAGAGTGAATATTACTTTGTATGGCAAAAGATATGATTAATTTAAGAATGTTGAGAGGATGAGCTAGCCTGGAGTATCTGGGTGAGCCCTAAATGCAATGACATGTATTTTTATAAAAGACAAGGAGAGGGAATTTTTAAAAACTTTTATTTTAGGTTTGAGGGTACACGTTGAAGGTTTGTTACATAGGTGAACCTGTGTCACAGGGGTTTGTTGTACAAATTATTTCATCACCCAAGTATTAAGCCCAGTACCCATAGGGAATTTGAGGTTCACAGACACACAGAGGAGAAGGTGATGTGAAGACAGAGGCAGAGATTGGAGTGATGCAGCCACAAGCCAAGGAATGCCTGCAGCCACCAGAATATGACAGATGCAAGGAACTGATTCTCCCCTAGATCCTCTGGAAGGGGCATAGCCCTACTGAGATCTTGATTTGGGGCTCCTGGCCTCCAAGGTTGTGAGAAGATAGATTTCTGTTGTTTTAAACCATCAAGTTTATGGCAATTTGTTGCAGCAACCACAGGAAACTAATACAACTATCACAATCTAATGTTTAAAAAGCAATTAATTGGATGGTTGTAAGGCAAAATTATGTATCTCAAATTTAAAAGTTGATACCTGTTTGCAAGAAACTCATTAAATGCCAAAGAAGTACTTGATTCAAACAAGTTCCTTGAATTCAAAATCAATTATTTGTATCTAAAAGTATAAATTGCGTTCTATCTGCATCACCATATGTTAACAAGACAATGCAAAGCTCAAAATGTAATTTTGTATTATTTTAAGTATTTGTGAAACATTATACAAATTAAATAACTTTGTTTTAAAAAAACAGAAACATCGCTGTGCTACAGTATTCCAAAACTTCCAAAGATCCTACTACCCACTTATGTTGTT
The DNA here is from genome assembly GCF_000001405.40 of Homo sapiens. Lineage (NCBI taxonomy): Eukaryota > Metazoa > Chordata > Mammalia > Primates > Hominidae > Homo > Homo sapiens. The sequence goes on from NT_167245.2 coordinate 1,619,021, forward strand.
ATTAGACATTATAAATTTGCTTTTTGATTCAAAAATTTCACTGTAGTAAACAGAGCTATTTGTTCCTGAAAACTAACTTTTAGGGTTTGTACCGGTGAGAACTTTCTCCTTCAGGAGCCTGCAGTATGTGTGGGCAAAATCAGATTCTATGATGCCTGGTATGGAACTTCTGTTTCCTTCAGGGTGACAGAGGGTCATATTGTTCTCTGCAGAGCTCCAATGCATCCCCATCTTCAATCCCGCCAGGCCAAAAGCAATCCCTAAGATAAGTCTGGGTCTTTGTGGCTGATGTTTGTAAACTGTGTTGAACCTGTAATGAGGCCTTCATTTCCCTTTAGGCTTTGGTTAAAAGTGTGTCACAATTGTGGATCAATGATTAAGTTAAACTTCTCATGAAGTGGCAGATTATATGCTGTGCCTGGTGGTGAGGTTTCAGGTTTCAGGTTCCTGCTGCTAAAGCTCTGCATCCCTTCCACTGCAGGCCCTTACTTGGGGCAACAGTACTTGTCCTGTGAGGACCTGTCAGTGTCACCCCCAGTGCTGGTGGTGCTCAATGGTTGTTATGGAAACCAGGGATTAGGTAATGTTCTCTAGTTTCTACATAGGAAAACTGATCACATTCAACTGAGGAAACATTGCTCACTAAGGAAACGGATGGATCCCCACCAAACTTTCTTGAACGGCACTCAACATTGGTCCCTCAATGTCAGACTACATGTTCAACAGAGTAAAATATGCCCCTGGGATTCTCTCAAGATTGCTCAAGGCTTTGCTTTGGTATGTCATCATTTTATGCATCATTGTTGGAAGCGAGAAAAGTTTTAACAATTGTCATGTTATATCCAGAGGATAAAGCTGAATCTAATATCTAGATTTCTATGTATCAACTGGCAATGTTTGGGAACCGGCAATACTTAAGAACCTTATAAAGTCAGGGCTTTGAAGTGTACTTTAAAATAGATTTCCCATCCTCTGAAGTACACAAACATCTTTCCAAAGGCACCTAACCCACAAGGATTCCTCTTGATAGAACCAGATGTGAAGTTGCTACAAAGAAATGATGGTGTATGAGAAACCATGACTTCCCAGGGTCTGCGTTTGCTGAAGTCACTGATTATGAAGTCATTTTCTCTGTGGGTTTGGGTGTTAGGAAGAATCCACTGTGACTCCATTGTGGATCCATCCTCACTCAACATTCAGAAAATCAGCAGCACATTTGGTCAACACGGCATCTTTCCCTTGCACTGCTGGATGGAGCTAGTCCAGGCGACATGAACTTCTTTCTCTCACTCTCTCTCTCTTTTTTTTTTTTTTTTATACAAAGTCTTGCTCTGTTGCCAGGCTGGAGTGCAGTGGCATGATCTTGGCTCACTGCAACCTCTGCCTCCCAGGTTCAAGTGATTCTTCTGCCTCAGCCTCCTGAGTAGCCCATCTAATTTTGTATTTTTAGTGGAGACGGGGTTTCACCATGCTGGCCAGGATGGTCTCGATCTCCTGACCTCCTGATCCACCCTCCTCACCCTCCCAAAGTGCTGGCCTTTTCCCTTTTGTAGTCTTCACAGTGTCTTTTGATCTTGGGCTCCACAGAGTGGCATCTACAGGTCATAGTTGTCAGTGACTCAGGGAGACCAGGAGGTGGCAGGCAAGTGAGGGGAACCCAGAAGTAGCCAGTACCTGTTCAATGCCAGAAAAACCTGGCCAGGACATGCCCTTCAGTATTGAGGGACACAGTGGCAGCTGTGGTGAGAACTGTGGAAACCAGCATAAAGCTGAATTATAAATCAGTATATGTGGTCCAGTACAGACTGCTTCCAGGCTCTCTGTGGTCACAATCACAATTAGAATTGGATTATAATTAAATCCAAGTCTCTCTGAGCATTATATTGTCACAGTCTATCACTGTCTCTAGAGGAGATTAAATAAATATTTTTGGATCTATCATTGATGCATTATCAATGATTTTGTAAAGTAAATTATGAAAACCTAAAAAAATGTCTCCTGGCTATTTATCCTTCACTTGCCAGTCACTATGATTGTCTCTTCCCATTTTCCTGTTCTTCTCAGGGTGTTTCTGGGACCTTCAGTAGAAATTCTCAACTCCAGGTTTTCAGCTGTTTCTGCACAGAGGACATAGTCCTGTCCCAAACTCTCTAGTGTCACACACACACACACACACACACCCCGTCCTGAGACCCCTTCCTTTCTCTCAAGTTTCTGGGATCACATCACATGTCCCAGTGGTTGTACCTCCAGGATTTTGAAGTGTCTCATCTCCTCCTGCTTTCCTAAGGAGAAAGGATGGAGGAAAGGAGCCTGGTCTCTTCAGGATTTTTTTCATATTTAGGCCCTTCTAGCCTGGGAATGAAAGGACACCACACATTAGTGAGCAATTATGGAGGCACCAAGAGACGTCATCCAGCAACTGTGCATGGGAGGGAGGTTCAACAGGAGGACCAAAGAGCCAGATCATAGAAAGGATCACGAGAAAGGAGTGGGGGAGCTAGCAGGTTCCCAGTGGCAAATCAATTACAGAGTAGACCAAATGCCTGCAAGTGTGCAGAGGTTCTGAGCCAGGGGTTATTGTCTTGTGCATCTTCTAGCTACTTTGGATTTACCTTCCCCTACATGACTCCCACAACCTTTAGCTGCTGCACATCTTGTTGAGTGACAACCTGCAATTCTACTCTACTCTGGGCTCCACACTGTGTTGCCCACCCCGTCCTAGTGCCAGAAACATGGAAAATCCCAGCCCAGGGGCTCCCTTGTTCACTCCCATTCTGCCCCTTCACTGGGGTGTGCAGGTGTTAGACCTCTCCTCTGCTCCACAAGTGGGAGCTTCAGGCTTTCCCGACCCTGCCCCCGAGCCTTTGTAGCTGCACCATCTCTAGTGCCTGTCCTCCTGGATCCCAGCGTAGTCTCCACAGCCCTAGATCTTGTCACTCTTTCTGTTGTTCAGAGTTCTTCAAAATCTCCCAACTCATTTTATTGCCTCCAGTCTTGCTCTGACCCAAGCAAGACTTGGGTCAGTGCCCTACAATTGCAGGAATCCTGCTGAAACAAAAATCCACTTTTGTTTCTTTCTTACTTAAAATATTTTAATGACTCACTATTAACCTCAGGATAACACCCAAATTCTTAACCAATTTTCCCAACCCTGTGTGAACAGGACCTTGCACACTTTTCCAATTTTCTCTCTCTCTCCTCTTGCACTAGCCAGTGATTCTGCTTACAGTTTCACAAACATGCTGCAAAGCCTTTCATTTTTTGGTCGGACTAGGTGTTCCCTTTGCTTGGGTCTGCCTAATTCCTGCTTTTTTTTTTTTTTTTTTATACTTGGATTCCTGTTGGAAGTTTAGCCTGCTTTCCTGAAACTGGCTTTGCTCTTCCTCCTTTCTTTTCTCACAGATCCTTTCCTTCCTTCTCAAAGCACTTTTTGTAGTAGCTTCTATTCATCTGGCTCATGTATTTCTTTCTCACTACACTGTAACTTCAGAACATAAATGCCTATGTTTATGCTCCTCACTGTTCTATTTTCAAGGAGGAGCACAGAAGCTGGCATATTCTGGGCCTTCAAGCTGTATTTGTTGGATAGATGAAAAATAGGGATTCTTACAGTAACAATGCACACTGAGAGTGTCTCTCCATAGTGAGAGTTCAAGAGACAACACATACAAATTTAAAAAAAATTTACTTTTAAAATGTGTAACATTAGGTATGACACTAAAAAAGGTGTCCATCTCCCCTACTGGACACCAGGATCAATGAAGACAGCTACACTGGCTTACTTACTTTTCCCTCAAACAGTCTACGTTTGATCCCTGTTTGTTGAAATAGTGATTCACATAAAATGGATGAGAAAATGGAGACACAGAGAAGTGAAGGACTCTGTCTAGAATCACACAGCTGTCAAACTCTCGGGCTTAAGCCATTTCCATGCCTCTGCCTTCCAAAATGCTAGGATTACAAATGTAAGTCACCACACCAGCCAGCATCATATAACTAATTTGTTATTGCTTAAAAAGGAAAAAATGGAAAGTGAGCTGATGGAGAATGAAATATGGACAGAGGAAGATGATGGGAAGCTTTGAAGGGCTGCCCTTGACTCTGTGTGTGTGTGCGTGTGTGTGTGCGTGTGTGTGTGTGTGTGTGCATGTGCGTGCCCCTTATTCTCTCTTAAGCTACGTCTAACCTCATAGGGATCACTGGGGTCCCTGTCAGCCACAGCCACACACATCCACAGAAACCTTGACCTATTGACAGATGTAAGAGGGTGGCCTTTGAGAGTTCTGAATCCCTACCTCATAGGATTCTGGATATCTGGACACTTTCTTCTTACGCTGTTTCTGCATCGACCTTAGGGACTGTGTTTGGGGTGTTTCCTGCACTCATCTTGTGATAGAGTTCTATTTGCTCCTCAGATGGCCTCTTTTCCCTTGGAGTGGAACCGTGGCTATCAGGGTCTTGGGCCGAGCATCCATGAGTGACTGTGTGAGTTGCTAGAAGCAATCTTATACTTTCATAGCCACCCCACACTTCACAGTGATACTCATCTCTAAGAAATTATTCAAATTAAGAGAGAAAGCTACACATATAAACAATTGATGGACTTGATTGATTAACATGGAAAAGCATTAACTTTCCAGTTTTCTGCCTCTCACTGGAATTTTATCCCTACACTTTGAACTCATTTCAAACTTCTGGCTTAACTAGGAATTGCTATAGTCAGGCTATTCTAGACAGCTCCTGTGAGCCACTAGGATTCAGAGAATACAACACATCTTTTCCAATTTAAATATGTAGTTCTAGAAAAAAACTATTTTAAGGTCAGGCTTGGTGGCTCATGTCTGTAATCCCAGCACTTTGGGAGGCCGAGGCGGGCAGATCACTTGAGGTCAGGAGTTCGAGACCAGCCTGGCCAACATGGTGAAACCCAGTCTCTACTAAAAATACAAAAAATAAAAATAAAATTACCCAGGTGTGGTGACACATGCCTGTAATCTCAGCTACTTGGGAGGCTGAGGCATAAGAATTGCTTGAACCTGGGAGGTGGAGTTTACAGTGAGCCCAGATCATGCCACTGCACTCCAGCCTGGTGACACAGCAAGACTCCATCTAAAATAATAATAATAAATAAACAAATAAAAAGAAAAAGAAAAAACTATTCTAAAATTCATATGGAACCAAAAATAGCTAAGGCCATCCTAAGCAAAAAGAACAAAGCTGGAGGCATTATGCTATCTGACTTCAAACTATACTGCAGTGCTACAATAACCAAAACAGCATGGTATTGGTACATAAACAGACACATAGACCAATGGAACAGAAAGAGAACTCAGAAATGAGGCTGCACACCTACAGCTATTTTATGTTTGACAAACTTGACAAAAACAAGCAATGGGGAAAGAATTCCTTATTCAATAAATGGTGCTAGGATAACTGGCTAGTCATATGCAAAGATTGAAACGGGGCCCCCTTCCTTACACCATATACAAAAATTAACTCAAGATAGATTAAAGACTTAAATGTAAAACCCAAAACTATAAAAACTCTAGAAGACAACATAGGCAATACCATTCAGGACATAGGAATGGGAAGAGATTTCATGATGAGGACACCAAAAGCAATGACAACAAAAGCAAAAATTGACAAATGGGATCTAGTTAATCTAAAGAGCTTCTGCACAGCAAAGAAAACTAGCAACAGAGTAAATAGACAACCTACCCAATGGGAGAAAAGTTTTGCAAACTATGCATCTGACAGAGATCTAATATCCAGCATCTATAAGGAACTTAAAGAAATTTACAAGAAACAACCCCATTAACAAGTGGGCAAAGGAAATGAACAGACACTTCTCAAAAGAAGAAATACATACAACCAACAATCATATGAAAAAAGCTCATCATTGATTATTAGAAATGCAAATCAAAACCACAATGAAATACCATCTCACACCAGTCATAATGGTTATTATTAAAAAGTCAAAAAATAACAGGTGCTGGCCAGGTTGCTGAGAAAAAGGAACGCTTATACACTGTTGGTGGGAGTGTAAATTAGTTTAACCATTGTGGAATACAGTGTGGCAATTCCTCAAAGACCTAAAAACAGAAATACCATTCAGCCCAGCAATCCCATTACTGGGTATATACCCAAAGGAATAGAAATCATTCTGTTATAAAGACATATACATGTGTATGTTCATTGCAGCACTATTCACAACAGCAAAGACGTGGAATCAACCTAAATGCCTACCAATGGTAGACTAGATAAAGAAAATGTGGTACATATACATCATGGAATATTATGCAGCCATAAAAAAGAACAACATCATGTCCTTTGCAGGAACATGAATGGAGCTGGAGGTCATTATCCTTAGAAAACTAAGGCAGGAATGGAAAACCAAATACCACATATTCTCACTTATAAGTGGAAGTTAGATTATAACACATGGACACAAAGAGGGGAACAACAGAGACTGGGGCCTATTGGAGGCTGGGAGGAGGGCAAGGATTAGGAAAAATAACTAATGGGTACTAGGCTTAATACTTGAGTAATGAAATAATGTATACAATAAATCCCCATGATACAAGTTTACCTATATAACAAACCTGCACACGGACCCCTGAACTTAAAATAAAAGTTAAAAAAACATAAAGGTCTAGCTGGATCAGTGGGCTTCTAGGATCCTTCTTCAGTAATACTGAGGTAAATAGCACAAACCATGAGTTTACTCTTTTCATAATCCATGACACATCACACTTAATATTTGCTGAGTTTAAACAAGTCTCTTAAACACATCACTAGTTTACATCAGCTGTGGAATCTTTGCTTTGTCAATCAGGGGTCAACAAGCCCATCTACACTTGCCATCATTAACTAATGTGCAGGATTGTGTCTTATCAAATCAGCAGCCACCTTCTCTGCCGAGAAGCAAGGAGTATGTCTCCCAGAATCCCCTTCCCTGTGTAGTTCCGATTCACATTTTCCAATCAGAGAAACTTGCATGAGATATGGTGCCCAGAAGAGATGGAGAGACAGGCCTCTACCCATCAGTCGTGGCTGCAGGCAGAAGAGTAGGCAGATGTCAGGTTCTCAGTGGCTTCTGTGCTAGGCCAAAGACCCATCTGCTTTGCCTGTGCAGACCGAGATGAATGGTGGGAGCTTTCTCAGAGGTTCTGGAGAATGACAGCAATCTCCCAGCAGGGTTCTAGGAACCTCCCACCTGTGCTTCAGGCTAAGTTCTTCAGCACATGCTTCCCTGACCTCCCAGCTGCAGCCTCCAAGAGCTACAATGGTGACTGGTATTAGTATTCTGTTTCTGCTGTAACAAATTACTGCTATGAAGTGGCTTAAAACAACGCAAATTTATTATCTTACAGTTCTGGAGGTCAGAAGTCTGATATGGGTCTCTCTGGCCTAAAATAAGGGGTCATCAGGGCTGCATTCCTATGGCGGCTCTGAGGGAAAATCTGTTTCCTCACCTTCTCCACTTCTTAAGGCTGCCTGCATTCTTTGGCTCGTGGTTCCTTCCTCCATCTTCTAAAGTCAGCAGTCCCATCACTTTGACCTCTGATTCTGTTGTCACATCTCCCTCTCCAATTCTCACTCTGCTGCTACCTTTTTCACTTATAACGACCATTGTGATTGTATTGGACCTGCCTGAATAATACAGGATAATCTTCCCATCTCATGAGCCTCAACTTAATCACATCTGAAAACTTCCTTTTGTCATATTAGGTGACATTTTCACAAGTTCCAGGGGTTAGGACATAGGCATCTTGGGAGACCTTTATTTTGCCTACAACATGACTTCACCAATATTTGCTCTCCTAGATTTTCCAACATTAGTATAGGCTCTAATTCCTATATTGAACACGTTATTCCTAAAATGTTATACTAGAGTGTGGTGGTTTTCCTGGAAAAAGCTACACTAATACACTTCCTTACCTCAGAAGAGCTCAAAAGTTACCTTTCTATTATCTTTTTTTTTTTTTTTTTTTTTTGAGGGGAGTGTCGCTCTGTTGCCCAGGCTGGAGTGCAGCGGCGCGATCTCGGCTCACTGCAAGCTCCACCTCCTGGGTTCACTCCATTCTCCTGCCTCAGCCTCCCAAGTAGCTGGGACTACAGGCGCCCGCCACCATGCCTGGCTAATTTTTTTTTTTTTTTTTTTTTGTATTTTTAGTAGAGATGGGGTTTCACCGTGTTAGCCAGGATGGTCTCCATCTCCTGACCTCGTGAACCGCCTGCCTCGGCTTCCCAAAGTGCTGGGATTACAGGCGTGAGCCACCGCGCCCGGCCTACCTTTCTATTATCTTAAAGTCTCCAAATGGTACCACCATCTCAAGGTGCAATGGCTGTAATTTAAGCAACGACTTTGCGGGGGTGATGGAGGGAGACAAAAAGAAATGACTGGAAAGCACTTCTGATTCCATGCCCTGTCCCTGGTGTCTGGCCGTCTTGGACTCTAGGCTGCAGTTTCTCTCCTACATAAACCCAGTCATTTCTGAGTCTCCAAGAGTGTTTTATAGGATTCATGTCCACTTCTTGGCTCTGTCATCTTCTCTCTACCTTGTCTTATAGCTCCGCGCTTACATTTTCTTCTCACCTACTGCTATAGTCCTGCCTTGATTCTTCAGCCATTGTCCTCTTTTTACCTTGTGTATGCTTAAGCCAATTCTCCAAGAAGAAATTCCAGATGGCTCTTTATTGCTGTTTGTTTGTTACTATTTTTTATTTGGCTGAAGAGTTTTCAAGATTCTTAACTTTCTATTTTTAAAATTTTAGTGTACAAATAATACATGCTCAGAGTTGGAAATGAAATCATCACAATATGTATAAATATATTTTAAAATATCTTCTATCTCTAAATCTATGCCCACTTTACTAAGGTAATTTATGTTATCAATCTACTCTCTATGTGTCTACTTTCTCCATTTTCATACAAACATAGGCACCTATATTAAGTGTTGAGTGTTTTTACTTTGTAGCTTTTTTTTAGCAAAAGTCCTCAAATTTTATTTGTAGTTTAATCATTTTACAACAACTTGAGATATAATTTACATATCATAAAATTCACACATTCATTATATACAAGTCAGTGGTTTTTAGTATATTCACATAGTTGTGCCAACATTATCATTATCAATTCCAGAACATTTTCATCACCCCACAAAAAACCCCATACCCATTGGCAGCCACTCCTCATTTCCTCTCAACTCCCCTAGCCCTAGGCAGCCACTAACCTGTGTTCCATATCTACAGATTTGCCTATTCTGGAAATTTCACGTAAGGGAAATTATACGATATGTGGCCTTTCGTGTCTGGCTTCTTTCACTTACCGTAACATTTTCATGGTTCGTCTGGGTTGTAGCATGTGGCAGTACTTCACGTCTTTTTTATTACTGAATAATATTTCATTGTATGGATATATCACAATTTGCCTATTCATTTATTAGTTGATGGACATTTGGGTTCTTTCTATTTTGTGCTATTATTAATAATGCAGCCGTAAGCATTTGCGTATAGGTGTTTGTGTGGACAGATGTTTTTGTTTCTCTTGGGTATGCTGTATACCTAGGAGGGGATAGCTGGGTCATATGCTAACTTAGTGTTTGACATTTTGAGGAAGTGCTGGCCTGTTTTCTAAAGGGGCTTCACCTCTTTATATTCCCACCAGCAGTATATGAAGCTTCCAGTTTCTCTGCATCCTCATCGGTGTTCATTATTATCTTTTTATTGTAGCCATTCTAGTGGGTGGTTACAACTAAGGGAAAAAATCAAACTTTAAAGAATTAACTTAGTTTTATTTGGAAATCTTACTGAGGACTATAGACGGAGGCCTACAACCCAAGAACAGCCCTTTAGAGAGGCTCTATCAGACTGTACCAGCTCAGTATTTCAGCCCACTGCTTATATTATAGGTGTTCTGTATTGCAACATCACATCACACTTGGTAAGAAGTTACATTAAAGCAGAATCACATCAAAGTTTGGAAGCAGGAATACGTCCAGTGTAGATTACAGAAGCATGATCACTATGCCCGTCAGACATTATCTTATGTGCAGGGAAAAGCAAGGGCATTCATCTTTTAAGGAATATAGTGGCTTAGGCAAGAGACGTTGGGGGCTGTGTGCTTTATCCTGTTTTGTCCTCAAAGCATCTTTCCAGAGAGTTGCACATCCTCACGATGAACTAGGAGGATGTGCAACTCTCACAGGGACTTTGTGAAATTATGCTGGCAAGTAAAAGTCAGCTTCTGACATTTACTACTTTGTCTCACAGTGTGAAATACTATCGCATTGTAGGGCCGATTTGCATTTTCCTGATGGTTAATGATGTTGAACATGTTTCCACGTGCTTATTGGCCTTTTGTATATTTTCACTGGAGAACTGTAAATCCAAATCCTTTATTTTTAAATTTGATTATTTGCCTTTTTACTATTGAGTTATAACCGGTTTTATATATTATAGACAAAATTTTCTCTTTTACCATATGTATGATTTGCAAAAATTTTCTCCCATTCTGTGGGGTTTTTTTTTTTCACTTTCTTGATGGCATCTGTAAACATACAAAAGTTTTTAAATGCGATGACGTCCAGTTTATCTTTTTCTTCTTTTTTTGCTTATGCTTTTGGTGTCACATTTAAGATTAGGTGCCTTTACTTAATCCAAAGCCATGAAGATTTATGCCTATGTTTTATTTTCTTTCTTTCTTTCTTTTTTCTTCTTCCTCTCTTCCTCCCTTCCTTCCTCCCTCCCTTCCTTCCTTCTTTCCTTCCTTCCTTCCTTACTTTCTTTCCTTTTTTTTCCTTGAGACACAGTCTCACTCTGTCACCCAGGCTGGAGTGCAGTGGTGCAATCACGGTTCATTGCAGCCTCAACTTCCTCAGGCTCAAGTGATTCTCCCACCTCAGCCTCCTGAGTAGGTGAAACTACAGGTGCATGCCACCACACCCGGCTAAATTTTGTATTTTTTGTAGAGACAGGGTTTTGCCATGCTGCCCAGTTTGGTCTACCAACTCCTGGGCTCAAGCAATCTGCCCACTTTGGCCTCCCAAAATGCTGGGATTACAGACATGAGCCATCGTGCCTGGCCTGTTTCCTTCTAAGAGTTTTCTAATGTTAACTCTTTCACTTAGGTCTTTGATACATTTTGAGCTACTTTTTATATATAGTTTCAAGATTTTCATTTTTCATTTTTCATTCATTGATACTGTATAGAAACACAATTGATTTTTATATTTTGATTTTGTATCCTGCCAATGTGATAAAATTCTTTAGTTGTAATGCTTTTTTAAAGTAAATTCTTTTGGATTTCTATGTATAAGATCATATCATCTGTAACGAAGGTAGTTTTACTTCTTTCTTTTCAATTCAGATGAGCTTTATTTTATTTTCTTGTTCATTGTAGCAAAAAATTCAACTATTCTATTTATAATGCCCTGTTACTTGATGTTTTTTATTTATATTGTGAACATCTCACCAATTTCATAGAGAAAGCTTGAGCTCATCATTTTAAACCCTAATTCCATAGTATTTTGCATGCAACTGCTTCTCTAGTGTAAATATTCAGATGGTTTCCTTTAGTTGTCACTACACTGAATGTCCACTGCACAGACATCTTTACACACATATCCTTACAGCCATCCCAGAGTTTTCTGATTTCCCACAGCACTACATGATAGTGGTTAATCTGATGATCTAACTGACTAGCTAGGCAGACTGACTGACTGACAATCCCATTGCTTCTGTATATAAAGTCAGTAACTACATTTGGAACTCAGCTTCTCTAGGCCCAGCCACGCTTACTTTCCTAGTCTTAGAGGTTCCCTCTCTGCCTCTAAATTTCTCTGTCCCTGAAACCACCCTTGTACTCCAGCCCAAGAGCGCTTGCAAACAGGTAGAAGGTATCATCTGGAGAAGGTAAGTAAGAGACTTATCTCCATTCCCTTCATATCTAATTACCAAATCTTCCATCTAGCTCAGTCAGGTTGAGTTGAAAACATCTTGACTTTAGTCATTTAGCCACTGAGCACATCATAGCTCTTTTCATACCTCAGTCTTATTCAAATATTTAATTTATCAAGCTCACTTATAAATGCCAAGCCTCTCATTTGGCCACCTCTGACCCTACAGCTCCAAAGCCCCTCCCATTTTGAGAACATGCTCTTGCCAGGCCAGTCTCCTCATTGCCCCCTGATTATCCATCACTCTGTCCGTTTCTGCGCCTTTGCTCATTCTGAACTTCTTGTCAATTCTCAAGTGTCAGCAGCCACCTCTAGTTGCAACAGAGTGGACTTTGCTTAATCTTATTGCCCTCTCAACCTCTCTAGGGCATTCTATAGGTAGAATCCTCCTTTTTGTGGTCCCTAAGTTGGCCTGGATATTACACTCTAAAGTCTAGAATGCAGTCATGCCAAATCCCACGGAGAACCTTTTATAAGTAACTATTTCTGGCCCTCTCCTAGGCCTACAGAATCAATCTCCGGAAGCAGAACACTTCACTCTTAAAAATTCTTGGGGGATTGTGAGCAGCTAGTCAATGGATCTGGGGTTGGTGTCCACCATACCACACTCCAAGTCCTCCTAGTTTCTGCTTTCCTCAGTCAGTTAATCTGCGAGCTACCTTGCTTCTCATCCTCTCTTCTGTGAGAGGTCAGGCACCATGTTCTGGCAGTTTTCCCAAACATTCCTCTACATTCTTAGCCCCACTGGTCTCCCCTCACTTATGGACCTTTTATCATTTTATCTAACGGATAAAGGTTTGTGTTTATGTTCTTGCTTATGCTTCCTTCCATCCCTTCCAAATTTTAACCTTCGTATATGCATTTATTTAACAAGTATTGACAGCTTACTAATTGGAGGAATTGCATTAGGTGCTATGATTCAATTTCCCCAAACATGTTTTTCATATTCTTATATGTATTTAAAAAACCACTGCATCGGGGTGACAGAATAAGGTTTTAAAATTCTAATATTAGACTGTCCACTACATTGTCTCAGTCTATCTTTCTGTTCAGTCAGTTAATTATTAGGATAAGAAGATACCATCAATCTGATTTTTCCCCCATATTTTTAAAGGAGAGGAGAGAGAACAATTTGGAAGGTCAAGAAGTTGGTATGCCCAGGAGCTCACAACTCTCACCTTTGGGGTTTTATGGAATATTTTTAGGCCTTATTTATTTATTAGTAAAAAAAAAAACAGAATAATGAGTTCTTCTCTGACAACTGTACAGGATTGTAAGGATCAAGTGTGTTTATGTGTATGAAGCACCATGAATATTATATATAATGTAATTGCAATAGAATATATATAGAAGTAGAAATCATATTTTGAAATAACAAGTGGCAGAAATATATATTGAAAAATATTAGTGGAGGATGTCACAAAGTTTGAGTTACTTGTTTTTCATTTCATTTTAAAATAAGCATATCTGAGTATGATGAGTTCTAAGGATTCCTTTCAGGGCAAAAATTGAGGCTACCCCATTGCAGTTGTCCAGTCTTTCCACAGGATGGCAAAGTATAGCCAGTATTTCTTTGAAATGTTTGCTTGCTTATGCCACTAAATTTTGAACTTAGCCTTCTAGAAATGAGTTTATAACTTATCTTTCTTGAAGGTAATCTCAGAGTACCTATGAAAAGACATCTATAAAATACTTTTGCAAAAATACCTAATACATCAAATGTGTGCTCACCACATCTCATCAAAGCAAAGTGTAAAACGTTCTCAGGGACCTGTAGAGCTAAAATGTCACCTTCTATGTTCAAGATATATGTTGAATTCTATGTCCGATTTCTTCTCATTATTGGACTTAATTCTGTAAAACATGAGGCTTGAACTTTTCATGAACTGATTGGTGCATCCTCTGCTTAATTGATTCTTCCCATTTGACTTGGAGGATGGTGTTGGCCAGAGGTCCTTTTTTGCGGAGGCCTTTAAAGATATTTATTCAGAAGAATGTACCACATGAGGCATTTGACTAATAAAAACACTGTTATTAACACTGACAATAAGCAAACACATATTTCTTTAGCTGTCTTGCAATTGGTACATTCTCCTCTTCCCATTGAGGAAGTATCTGCTCTACCCTTGCTTCAGATTAAACATTTTGAAACTCTCAGTTTTAACATTATTGAGCCTTACTATTATTGAAATAATTCTTTTCCCAAAACACCAGACTACACTCAAACTCCAGAAGATGCCCCTAACCAAGACTAATATTCTGACATCAAAGGAAATCTGTGGATAAGATATTGGGAACTTCTGAAAAATTTTAGTAGGGCTATGCCTAGAGAATTTTCATGATCTTAACAAATCTTGCTCATTCAGCAAGTCCTTAGAGAGCCTTCATGGGAACCTATGAAAAAGAAAGTCCTCAATGTATTACATGGAAAATAACGATAGCAACAACTATAATAATAATAGTGGCTGCATTTAAAGGGCACTTGCTGTATTCCAGGCATTGGCTTAAGTACCTACATAAGTTATTTTGTTCAGTATTTATCACAACCATATGAAAAAAATGTTCTTATCCACAATAAAGAAATGAAGTTTAGGCTGGGTGTTGTGGCTCACACCTGTAATCCCAGCACTTTGGGAGGCCGAGGAGGGCGGATCACCTGAGGTCAAGAGTTCGAGACAAGCCTGGCTAACATGGTGAAATCCTGTCTCTACTAAAAATACAAAATTAGCTGGGCTTGGTGGCGGGTGCCTGTAATTCCAGCTACTTGGGAGGCTGAGGCGGGAGAAACACTTGAACCCGGGAGGCAGAGGTTGTGGTGAGCTAAGATTGCACCATTGCACTCCAGTCTGGGCAAAGAGAGCAAAACTCTGTCTCAAAAGAAAGAAAGAAGGAAGGAAGGAGGGAGGGAGGGAAGGAAGGAAGGAAGGAAGGAAGGAAGGAAGGAAGGAAGGAAGGAAGTAAGTCAAGAAGTCTACAAAGTATAGGTAACTTGCTCAAGAAAATTAGGTTCAGAAAGTTTAAGTAACTTGCCCAGGGTAACACAATTATGAAGATTTGAGGCCAGAATTCAGTTCCAGGCAGTTTTGTTCTAGATCTATTGCTCTTCAGCCACTATAGTGTCATGCCAAGACTGGCCTAAAGTCGTGTCTTCTGCTCAAACAGGTCCTTCTATGGCAATGACCATGAAATACATGGCTAATAAAGTATTAGGGGCAGGAAGAGGGGGAAGAAGAATGCAGTATTTGAGACTATGGTTACTGACTATATTTAAAATCACAGTTTCATGACTATTAAGGTTCTTTTTAAACTTTTCTCCCTGATGTATCATGGTATCCAGGTGAAAGAGGATCTGGCTCCCTACATCCCAGGACGTGTAGAACTGTCCATGGTTCTGAAAGACAAACTAGCAGGTCCCACCACCTTTACAAATGGCAATCTTACTGTGGAAAACTGCACTAGTGAAAACTCTACATATGACTTTGTACATGCATCACTTACAAGGATTCAGCAATCCTTGGAAAGATGACATAGAAAGACCCACAGAATATTCCCTTTATATGCCCTATACTAAAATGTACAAAGCAAAATCAAATTAGACAACACTATGATTTAGAAGTTTATCTTGAAATTTTAGATCAGAATGTAAAGAAAAGAAATCCAGCATTATTGTATGGACAAGAGAGAATGGATATAGATTTTAACTAACTATATATTCCCTCAAAACTCATATGCTGTCCTTTTTAACCTCACCTTAATTTAAATTTAACCACACATTTACTTTCATTTTTGATTTTTATTTTGTATTTATGTTTTCTTTTATCTTGTATCTTCCAACCAGGATTTCGCCTTTTGCCTGAAGCATATTCTTTAGAACTCCCTTCAGTAAAAGCGTGTTTGTGTCAAATTGTCTTTGCTTGGAAAAAATCCATTGAGACTTGATTTTTATATTATCATGTATTTCATTTCTAAATGTTTTATATTTGTCTTTTCAATTTTTCCTGAACATTATTTGTAGTTTCTGATTAACTGGAAGTCTTTTAAAGCCTGTTTTTTAATCACAGGAAGCAGGGCTATTTTATGTCTTATTCTTATTATTCTGCTGTATGGTGTTTCTGCTTGATCTTTCATGGTGACTTGTATCTTGTAAATAGTTTTGTTGTTGTTTTCCTGGTAAGTGCTCATTTTGCTTATGGAATAATTTTAGGAAATTTTAAGTGTGGTTGATGACATCTTCCTCCAGAGAGGATTTGTGTTTGTTTTGCGTGTTATTTGCGTTTGTTTTTTGACAGGTTCCTTGGAGCCTGGCCCACTATAAACTGAATTCACAACTTGATGATTGCCAGACAATCCAGGTAGTGAGAACTTGGGCTGCAAATACATGTGTGGGGCCATTGTGTTTACTCCCAGTTCCACTCAGCACCAAGGCAGCTGTTCCTGCAGTCCTTTGAGCATGGGGCATTTCTCTTACACCGAGGAACTGAACTTAGGGGTCCCAGCAAAATGGAGGAGATCATCCTAGGAGATTTCCCACTTTGAGTGCTACTTGAGACTTGCCTCCTATTCCAAATTCCTTATGAGGCCATGGAAACTAAAGCTTAACTTGTCTACATTGAGCAAATGAGCTCAGGATAAAAGTAAATTCAGAGCTTCCTGATATTTATTAGACAGTTTTCACTGATGTGAAAGCCTCTCAGTGCTTTTATGATGTATTTTATCTTTTGATAACCCATTTTTTGTTAGCATGAGAGTAGGCGT
Source organism: Homo sapiens (assembly GCF_000001405.40). Classification (NCBI taxonomy): domain Eukaryota; kingdom Metazoa; phylum Chordata; class Mammalia; order Primates; family Hominidae; genus Homo; species Homo sapiens. The sequence goes on from NT_167245.2 coordinate 1,635,739, forward strand.
AGATACCTAATATGCCACATTAGTGGTTCACACCTTATCCTTAAAGCTCCTTATCACAAACCTTCCCATCTTGTTCCTTTGAAGTCATTGAATACCTGAGCAAACTATTAGTCACTACCCATGCATTGATGAGGATCTAACAATAAGATATTTCTTTAGGCAAAATGAACTTCCAGATGGTCTGATTGAAAATCTTCCTGCTGGAGGTACTTTCCTTTCCACTCTTCTTTATGACAATTCCTGAAAAGGGCTGTAATGCTGCAAAGTACACTTTTGGGTATTCAAAGCATATTCAAATTTCTTCTTCTATAGTCAACAGTCCTTAGGGAACTCCTCAAGACCCCAAGGATGAGACAAGGGAGAGTGGATTTACCGGTGGTAATAAGAATACTAGGAATATAGTACATATTATGAGGCAACTTAGCTGGCCTTGCTAAGGACCAGCTCAGGTCTGATACTGTATGTATATACAGTATATATATCCACTTCCTCCTGAATGCTCACTGAGTGCTGGTGACCATAAGTGAATAAATAAAATCCAGGTCATGGTGGACATCTCAAGTCACTTGGTCATTTGCTGTATCATGATCATGGCATTCAGAATCTACCAGGGCTCAGTAGCAAGCCAGGAACTGTTATTTAGTAGAAGAATAAAGAATAAAGCTTTTCTTCGAAGCCCTGGAACTTGAGCAGTGAGCTCCTATGCCTGTTTCACACACACACACACACACACACACACACGCACACACACACACACACGCGCACACACACACACACACACACACACACACACATATCCAAGGAAGCATTTAGGCCAAATGGCAGATATGTTTGATGCCTGCCTGGATCAGAATGACATTTCCATTTCTTATGGAATGTTTTGAACTTGTACTAACTTACCGGATTTTGGTGCAGAGAAATCCCCTCACAAGATAAGAAATCACATTTTTTCTTTGTTGAAATTATTTATCTTCATTAACGTTTAATAACACCGGTGCAGTTATTTTTCAAAGAGCTTGTACTCCAATCTTGGAGGAATTCCTTGAGTTGAAAAGCCCAGGGCCTGAATAATGAGGGAGTCTCATTTCCAACAGCTTCCAATCAGCTGTAGGATTGAATGAAGACACATGTGATTGCATGATTTTAAGAGAGGGTAGGGGAGAGGGGCAGTGCTTGTTTCACACTTAACTGAACTACTTCCTTGGCCTCCACTCAAATTTAACTGCAGCATTGGTGACTTGATTTACAGAGTCAGAAATTTCCTAGGTATGGAATGTGCTGTCTTAAATAGTAATGAGTCCAATCTATGTAGAGTGTCCTTCTTTATCATTGGGGGTCATATGAAGTCAGCGATTCTTTTAGAAATTTGGGGTTACAAACAGAAGGCCTCAACTTACTTCAATTTGAAAAACCTGAACAAGGAATCTCTGGTGTCTGGATCCTTATTTGTCTCACAAAATTGAATTGTGAGCTGTGACATTTTCTCCCAAAAGTCTCTTTTAGGACAGAACTTCTGGTAATGGCAACATGAACAGGTAGATCAGCAAGTCTTCCTCTAAATAGCAATATGAGAACTGGACAAAATCATAAAAATAAATATTTGAAGTCACTGGAAAACAAACAAAGGCGAGCAGAAATGTAATAGTGCTTTGATCTTGAGACTATCTATTGGGTAAAAGCTGCAAGTTGGTGGCCTTTCCTCCTTACCTATGAGTTTGCTCCAAACTCCCAGCAGGTAACTGCAGCCCTAATGGATCAATAGGGCAGTTTATAGAGTTAAAAGCCCAAATAAGCTAAAAATGTTTACATTTTTACATGTTTACATCAGTCAGGCAATTTTGAAAGAGATCTGCTGAAGAATTCAGATTCAAAATCTGAATACAAACTATGCTCACATCCCTGGTTGAACACTAAACTCCCCATGGGTGTGGGACACTCAGGGGAACCTGGGGAAAAATCAGAAAGAACCTAGAGTGAGGTCTACCCTTGAAAGAGTGAAATAATCCTGGCAATATCTGAAAGTCTGCAGTAACATAGACTGCTTGCATTTGTCAACCTGCATACAACACAGGCAGAAGAAAGCAAAAATCTTACTGGACTGAGGGGTGAAAAGGCAGGATGCAGGACAATTTAGAGGGGATTCCAGAAGCAAAACAAACACAGAGAAGCTGAATTGCAAAATCTTAGCAGAAATAGCCCCAGTACTTGTTAGTCCATGTTGTGTTGCTATAAATACCTGAGAGTGGGTAATTTATAAAGAAAAGAGGTTTATTTGGCTCATGGCTATATAGGTTGTACAAACATGGCACCAGCATCTCTTCAGCTTCTGGTGAGACCTCAGGAGCCTTTTACTCCTGGTGGAAGGGGAAGGGGGACCAGGCATGTCACATGGCAAAAGAGGAACAGGGTGGGAGGAGCCAGATTCTTCTAAACAACCAACTCTCTTTCAAAATAATAGAGCAGGGGCCGGATGTGGTGGCTCATGCCTGTAATCCCAGCACTTTGGGAGGCCGAGGCGGGTGGATCACGAGGTCAGGAGTTCGAGACCAGCCTGGCCAATATGGTGAAACCCCATCCTTACTAAAAATACAAAAATTAGCTTGGCATGGTGGCATGTGCCTGTAGTCCCAGCTACTCAGGAGGCTGAGGCAGAAGAATCACTTGAACCCAGGAGGTGGAGGTTGCAGTGAGCCAAGATCGCACCACTGCTCTCCAGGCTGGGCAACAGAGCGAGACTCTGTCTCAAAATAATAATAATAATAATAATAATAATAAAGCGAAGAGAACTTACTTATG